>NC_000005.10:157882536-158185566 GCF_000001405.40 Homo sapiens
CCCAGTATGGATCCCCACTGAGACCTTGATGCAGACCACGGGGACTGGAGTTGTAAACATCTGTTGACCTGTGTTCTAGAAGGACTAAGGAGAATTAGGAAAAAGCCCATGAATTATTCAATGATGTCCACCATAACTCAGGGAAAGGAAGAAAATCCTTCTGCCTTCCTTGAGTGGCTATGAGAGGTCTTAAGGAAATATACTCCCGAGTCACCTGAATCACTCGAGGGTCAATTGATTCTAAAAGATAAGTTTATTACCCAATCAGTCACAGATATCAGGAGAAAGCTCCAAAAGCAAGCCCTGGGCCCTGAACAAAATTTGGAGGCATTATTAAACCTGGCAACCCCGGTATTCTATAATAGGGACCAAGAGGAACAGGCCCAAAAGGAAAAGCAAGATCAGAGAAAGGCCACAGCCTTAGTCATGGCCCTCAGATAATCAAACCTTGGTGGTTCACAGAGGACAGAAAATGGAGCAGGCCAATCACCCTGTAGGGCTTGTTACCAGTGTGGTTTGCAAGGACACTTAAAAAAAGATTGTCCAATGAGAAACAAGCCGCCCCCTCATCCATGTCCACTATGCCAAGGCAATCACTGGAAGGTACACTGCCCCAGAGGACAAAGGTTCTCTGGGTCAGAAGCCCCCAACCAGATGATCCAACAACAGGATTGAGGGTGCCTGGGGCAAGCGCCAGCTCATGTCATCACCCTCAATGAGCCCAGCTACGTTTAACCATTAAGGGCCAGGAAATTGACTTCCTCCTTGACACTGGTGCGGCCTTCTCAGTGTTAACTGCCTGTCCTGGATGGCTGTCCTCAAGGTCCATTACCATCTGAGGAATCCTGGGACAGCCTGTAACCAGGTATTTCTCCCACCTCCTCAGTTGTAATTGGGAGACTTTGCTCTTTTCACATGCCTTACTTGTTATGCTTGAAAGTCCCAAACCCTTATTAGGGAGGGATATATTAGCCAAGGCTGGAGCTATTATCTACATGAATATGGAGAACAAGTTATTCATTTGTTGTCCCCTGTTTGAAGAGGGAATCAACCCTGAAGTCTGGGCATTGGAAGGACAATTTGGAAGGGCAAAAAATGCTGCCCAGTCCAAATCAGGCTAAAAGATCCCACCACTTTTCCTTATCAAAGTCAATATCCCTTAAGACCTGAAGCTCATAAAGGATTACAGGATATTGTTAAACATTTAAAAACTCAAGGCTTAGTAAGGAAATGCAGCAGTCCCTGCAACATCCCAATTCTAGGAGTACAAAAACCAAACAGTCAGTGGAGACTAGTGCAAGATCTTAGACTCATCAGTGAGGCAGTAATTCCTCTATATCCAGTTGTACCCAACCCTTATACCCTGCTCTCTCAAATACCAGAGGAAGCAGAATGGTTCATGGTTCTGGGACTCAAGGATGCCTTCTTCTGTATTCCTCTGCACTCTGACTCCCAGTTTCTCTTTGCCTTAGAGGATCCCACAGAAAACACATCCCAACTTACATGGATGGTCTTGCCCCAAGTGTTTAGGGATAGCCCTCACCTGTTTGGTCAGGCACTGGCCCAATATCTAGGCCAATTCTCAAGTCCAGGCACTGGCCCAAGATCTAGGCCACTTCTCAAGTCCAGGCACTCTGGTCCTTCAGTATGTGGATGATTTACTTTTGGCTACCAGTTTGGAAGCCTCATGCCAGCAGGCTACTCTAGATCTCTTGAACTTTCTCGCTAATCAAGGGTACAAGGTGTCTAGGTCAAAGGCCCAGCTTTGCCTACAGCAGGTCAAATATCTAGGCCTAATCTTAGCCAGAGGGATCAGGGCCCTCAGCAAGGAATGAACACAGCCTAAACTGGCTTGTCCTTTCCCTAAGACATTAACACAGTTGTGGGGGTTCCCTGGAATCACTGGCTTTTGCTGACTATGGATCCCTGGATACAGCCAGATAGCCAGGCACCTCTATACTCTAATCAAGGAAACCCAGAGGGCAAATACTCATCTAGTAGAATGGGAACCAGGGGAAAAAACAGCCTTCAAAACCTTAAAGCAGGTCCTAGTACTAGCTCCAGATTTAAGCCTTCCCACAGGAGAAAACTTCTCTTTGTACGTCACAGAGAGAGCAGGGATAGCTCTTGGAGTCCTTACTCAGACTCGGGGGACAACCCCACAACCAGTGGCATATCTAAGTAAGGAAAGTGATGTAGTAGCAAAAGGCTGGCCTCACTATGGGTAGTTGCAGTGGTGGCTGTCTTAGTGTCAGAGGCTATCAAGATAGTACAAGGAAAGAAACTCACTGTCTGGACTACTCATGATGTAAATGGCATACTAGGTGCCAAAGGACGTTCATGGCGATCAGACAACCACCTACTTAGATACCAGGTGCTACTCCTTGAGGAACCAGTGCTTCAGATATGTATGTGTGTGGCCCTCAACCCTGCCACTTTTCTCCCAGAGGATGGGGAACCAATCGAGCATGACTGCCAACAAATTATAGTCCAGACTTATGCTGCCAAGATGATGTCTTAGAACTCCCCTTAGCTAATCCTGACCTTAACCTATATACCAGTGAAATCTCATTTGTGGAGAATGGGATACAAAGGGCAGGTTATGCCATAGTTAGTGATGTAACTGTACTTGAAAGTAAGCCTCTTCTCCCAGGGACCAGTGCTCAGTTAGCAGAACTAGTGGCACTTACCCGAGCCTTTGAACTGGGAAAGGGAAAAAGAATAAATGCAAATACAGATAGCAAGTATGCTTATCTAATTCTACATGCTCTTGCTGCAATATGGAAAGAAAGGGAGTTCCTAATCTCTGGGGGAACCCCCATTAAATACCACAAGGAAATTATGGAGTTATTGCATGCAATGCAAAAACCCAAGGAGGTGGCAGTCTTACACTGCCAAAGCCATCAAAGTGGGAAGGAGATGGGAGAACAGCAGCATAAGCAGCTGGCAGAGGCAGCAGAAAGGAAAGAGAGAAAGAGACAGGAAGTCAAAGAAGGAGACAGAGAGGAAGAGACAGAGAGACAGAAACAGAGAGACCAAAAGTCAAAGAAAGAAGGAGAAAGAGAGGAAGAGACAGACAAAGAGGGAATCAGAAAGAGAGAGACAAAGATGGAGTCATAGAGAGAGACAGACACAGAAAGTCAAAGAGAGAGTCAGAAAGAGAGGAAGAGACAAAGAAGAAATCAAAGAGAATGAAAGAGAGATGGAAGTAGTAAAGAAAAAAACAGTGTACCCTATTCCTTTAAAAGCCAGGGTAAATTTCTGTCTACTCAGCCAAGGCATATCCTTCTTATGTGGAACATCGACCTATATCTGCCTCCCCACTAACTGGACAGGCACCTGTACCTTAGTATTTCTAAGTCCCAACATTAACATTGACCCAGGAAATCAGACCTTATCAGTACCCCTCAAAGCTCGAGTCCGTCAGCACAGAGCCATACAACTAATACCCCTACTTATAGAGTTAGGAATGGCTACTGTTACAGGAGCCAGAATAGCCAGTTTATCTACTTCATTATCCTACTACCACACACTCTCAAATGATTTTTCAGACAGTTTGCAAGAAGTAACAAAATCTATCCTTACTCTACAATCCCAAATAGACTCTTTGGCAGCAGTGACTCTCCAAAACTGCCAAGGCCTAGACCTCCTCACTGCTGAGAAAGGAGGACTCTGCACCTTCTTAGGGGAAGAGTGTTGTTTTTACACTAACCAGTCAGGGATAATGCAAGATGCCACCCAGCGTTTACAGGAAAAGGCTTCTGAAATGAGACAACACCTTTCAAATTCTTACACCAACCTCTGGAGTTGGGCAACATGGCTTCTCCCCTTTCTAGGTCCCATGGCAGCCATCTTGCTGTTACTCGCCTTTGGACCCTGTATTTTTAACATCCTTGTTAAATTTGTTTCCTCTAGAATTGAGGCCATCAAGCTACAGATGGTCTTACCAATGGAACTCAAATGAGTTCAACTAATGACTTCTACCGAGGACCCCTGGACTGTTCCGCTGGCCCTTCCACTGGCCTAAAGAGTTCCCCTCTGGAGGACACTACAACTGCAGGGCCCCTTCTTTGCCCCTATCCAGCAGGAAGTAGCTAGAGCGGTCATTGGCCAAATTCCCAACAGCAGTTGGGTTGTCCTGTTTACAGGGGGGGATTGAGAGGTGACAACGTGTTAGCAGCCCTCACTCACTCTCAGCACCTCCTCGGCCTTGGCAGCCATGCTCGAGGAGCCCTTCAGCCCACCACTGCACTGTGGGAGCCCCTCTCTGGGCTGGCCGAGGCTGGAGCCGGCCCCCTCTGCTTGCGGGAAGGTGTGGAGGGAGAGGCGCGGGCGGGAACTGGGGCTGCGCGTGGTGCTTGCGGGCCAGTGAAAGTTCCAGGTGGGTGTGGGCTTGGCAGGCCCCGTACTCAGAGCGGTCAGCCAGCCCTGGGCAGTGAGGGGCTTAGCACCCAGGCCAGCAGCTGCGGAGGGGGCACCGGGTTCCCCCAGCACTGCCGGCCCACCTGTGCCACACTCGAATTCTTGCTGGGCCTCAGCCGCCTCCCCGTGGGGCAGGGCTTGGGACCTGCAGCCCGCCATGCCCGAGCCCCACTGTGGTGGGCTCCTGTGCGGCCCGAGCCTCCCTGATGGGCACTGCCCCCTGCTCCATGGCGCCTGGTACCATCGACAACCCAAGGGCTGAGGAATGCAGGTGCATGGCACGGGACTGGCAGGCAGCTCCACCCGTGGCCCCAGCGCGGGATCCACTAGGTGAAGCCAGCTGGGCTCCTGAGTTGGGTGGGGTCTTGGAGAACATTTATGTCTAGCTGGAGAATTGTAAATGCACCAGTCAGCACTCTGTGTCTAGCTCAAGGTTTGTAAATGCACCAATCAGTGCTCTATGTCTAGCTAATCTACTGGGGACTTGGAGAACTTTTATGTCTAGCTAGAGGATTGTAAATGCACCAATCAGCACTCTGTGTCTAGCTCAGGGATTGTAAATGCACCAATCAGCACCCTGTCAAAATGGACCAATCAGCTCTCTGTAAAACTGACCTATCAGCTCTCTGTAAAACAGACCAATCAGCTCTCTGTAAAATGGACCAATCAGCAGGATGTGGGTGGGGCCAGATAAGGGAATAAAAGCAGGCTGCCTAAGCCAGCAGTGGCAACCTGCCAGGGTCCCCTTCCACACTGTGGAAGCTTTGTTCTTTCACTCTTTGCAATAAATCTTGCTGCTGCTCAGTTTTTGGGTTTGTGCTGCCTTTGTGAGCTGTAACACTCACCACGAAGGTCTACAGCTTCACTCCTGAAGCCAGCGAGACCATGAACCCACTGGGAGGAATGAACAACTCTGGACGGGAGGAACGAACAACTCTAGACGTGCTGCCTTAAGAGCTGTAACACTCACCGTGAGAGCCCGCAGCTTCATTCTCGAAGTCAGTGAAACCAAGAACCCACCAATTCTGGACACACTAGGATTATAGGCGTGAACCTCTGCACCCAGCCCTACTTTTCTTTTAAGAGTTTTGTAGTTTTAGTTCTTACATTCAGTTCTTTGATCCATTTTGAACTAATATTTGTATATGCTATGAAGTAGGGACCCAACTCCATTCTTTTGCATGTAGGTAACCAGTTGTTCCTGCACCATTTGTTGAATAGACTATTCTTTTTCCAATGAATTATTTTGGTACTTGGTTAAAAATTAATTGATGATAACTCTCAGGAGTTATTCCTAATGTTAATAATGATCAGAATTTTTACTGGCTCCTGGTTTATATCAAGAACCTTTGCTCCTTTCCCTTTGAGCACGTCTGTTTCAGAGATCATTCCAGGATCTCAAATTTGTGATCTTGATTAACACAACAATGAACACCCTAAGGGGCCAGAAGGGCACTCCAAGTGTGATTAGATAAGGGTGTGTGGGTAAATAACTTTGTAAACTTTCCTAATTTATAACATGGGGATAATAAGAATACTTGGCTGGGCACAGTGGCTCACACCTGTAATCCCAGCACTTTGGGAGGCCGAGGTGGGAGGATCACCTGAGGTCAGGAGTTCAAGACCAGCCTGACCAATCTGATAAAACCCATCTCTACTAAAAATACTAAAATTAGCCGGGCATGGTGGCATGCACCTGTAATCTCAGCTACTTGGGAGGCTGAGACAGGAGAATCGCTTGAACCCGGGAGGCAGAGGTTGCAGTGAGCCGAGATCGTGCCATTGCACTCCAGCCTGGGCAACAAGCGTGAGACTCCCTCTCAAAAAAAAAAAAACAAAAAAAAACCGAAAACTTGCCCATAGGGTGGTTGTGGGGATTAAAGGAATTTAAAAAGTTGTCAATGGAACTATGCATTAGAGGGAATAATTGTAAAATGCTTTATAGATATAAAGAAGGCAAACATCAATGCTTTGGCAAGAGTTGGACTAGGATGTCAAAAGCAAGCTTTGCTGTGTGATTAATTAGCTGGGTAACCTTGTGTAATCACTGAAACTCTCCCAGTCTCAATTTCCTGGTCTATTTAATGTAGGTAATGATGTGAAGTCTAATGACCTTTCTGGGTTATTGTGAGATTGAAGCAATGTAGTAGGTGTAAAAGTGGTTTGGAACACTTAACTTGTTATTCTGGGCATTGTAAAGGATTCATAGAGAATTGCTTGCTTTCATTCTAAAAATTGCCTTTGAATTGTTTATAATGCCGGATTGATTCCTTCCATTGGGGCTAGCCCCAGGTAATGTTTACCACAATAAAACATTAACATGAGATTTTTCACCTCTTACCTGGGTAAGGACCAGAGCCTGATACTTGGCTCAAAGAAAGTATTTATACAGGGTTTAATAACAACCAGGCCCTCAGGGAATTCTCTATAAATAGTTTTGGTGCTGGGATAGAATGTGACCAGGAAGAATATTAACCATAGTCTTTCTTTTATTGGTCAGTTACAGTGTAGAGGAAGTATGTTAAAAAAACCCAAAATCTCAGATGACCTTATTCACATTGTGGTGGAGCTGGAAGACCACCTCTCCTCCTGTCCCAGGCAGTCATGGGGAGGAAGATGGTCTGCCCAAGGGAATCCTAATTTGAGGGGAAGAGGACAGTGAATCAAATAAACTAACCATAGTAGTCCATAGCACCTACTCCATTGTTGAAGAAGATACGTTGGCAAATTATGAAGTATTTAAAGACCTTTCTTGACATCCTTGTGGGTTGGTTAAGACGAAACTGCCTCTGACAATTAATGTTAATATTTGGGAGATGCAAATATGACTCAACAAGTATTGACAGGCCATGATAGAATAAAGATCTTTAACTGTCACCTACCATGTTAGAGAGACACCAAAGAGGACCAGACACCTGGAGTACCAACAATTCCCCCTGCCAATTTTCTCAGTGTTATTCTAGACTAACTCACACTTGGATATTTTTCCCCTGTGGGGAACACATTTCACCTGGTGGAGGAAGAGGGCTGGCATGGGGCAAGAAAATCCCTTGTGAAGAAGGGTGGAATTTTGCAGAGAGGAAGGCAGTGCTCTCATATAAGAATATGAGGATTGCTGGGTGCAGTGGATCATGCCTGCAATCTCAGCACTTCTGGAGGCCAAGGCGGGTGAATCACTTGAGGTCGGGAGTTCGAGACTAGCCTGACCAACATGAAGAAACCCTGTCTCTACTAAAAATATAAAATTAGCTGGGCGTGGGTGGTGCATGCCTCTAATCCCAGCTACTCAGGAGGCTGAGGCAGGAGAATCACTTGAACCTGGGAGGCGGAGGTTGCAGTGAGCCGCGATCACGCCATTGCACTTCAGCCTAGGCAACAAGAGTGAAACTCCGTCTCAAAAAAAAAAAATAAATAAAATAAAATAAAATAAAATAAATAAATAAATAAATAAATAAATAAAAGAATATGACGATCAAGAAATAAGGTTAAGATCTTAGGGCTCCCAAAAGGAAACTCCCCTTATGAAAGGTTTAAACTTTCAGGTGCTTTCCCTGTAAAGTTATACTTTCTATATAGTTTTAAAGTATTTCCCCATAGTCTGCAATTCCCCTTAGCTTCCTCCAACAACCTCTCAGTAAAATGTGATACACAGCTACTTACTAGCTGTGCCTCAGTTTCCAGTTTCCTTATCTGTAAATTGGAGATAATACCTTCTTCATAGTGTTAACAGTGGAGGGTCTTGACTACAAGTTGTCATCCAGGTTCTTGGCGTTTTGAACAAAGAATTGAACAAAATGCACAAACAAAACAATGAAAGAATGAAGCAATGGAAACACAGATTTATTGAAATGAAAGTACACTCCACTGAGTGGGAATAAGCAAGCAGCTCAAGAGCACTGGTTACAGAATTTTCTGGGGTTTAAATACCCTCTAGAGGTTTCCCACTGGTTACTTGGTTTACACCAATGTAAATGAAGTACTGGCCTGTGAGCAGTCTGATTGTTTGTGGAAGGTGACCAATCAGAAGCTGAATTGAAGTTACAAAGTTACACCCCTACGCAAATGAAGACTAGGCCTGCAACCAGTCTGATAGTCTGATTGGTTGCAGGAGGGGACCAGTCAGAGGTACTTTCAATTTTTCATCTGCAAGGCAGTGCAAAAGGAGTAGCCTTTGATCCTTTTGTTACTTGAGACTAGAAAGGTGGAGTTTTCCTTTTGATTCAGTTCTAGGAAGTCAGCTCAAATGGGCCTTAGGTTCCCTGCCTCCAGACCCTATTCTCCTGCCTAAACAGGGTTGTCTTGAGGATTTAATGAATTACTGCATGTTAAATGTGCTAATAAATGTGAGTTAAGTTAGAACACTCACCAGTGCCTGGCACAGAAAAGTGCTCAGTGTGTGCTAACTGTTGTTGCAGCTGTTAACCACAACACCTTCCCCTCTTCTTCCTCTTCAGGAAGGTCTTTCAGATATTGAGCTATCTTCGGGTATCTTCCTCAAGGCCTTTCAGATATTGAGAGAAGCCAGGGCCACTTCCATTTTTTGAGGCTACTTATAAGAAAAAATAAGGAAATTACAAAATAAGACTTCAAAATATTGTGGTATGCTTTAAAAACATTTACATAGGCCAGGCTCAGTGGCTCACGCCTGTTATCGCAGCACTTTGGAAGGCCGAGGTGGGCGGATCACAAGGTCAAGAGATTGAGACCACCCTGGCCAACATGGTGAAACCCCGTCTCTACTAAAAATACAAAAATTATCTGGGCATGGTGGCGCGTGCCTGTAGTCCCAGCTACTCAGGAGGCTGAGGCAGGAGAATTGCTTGAATCCGGGAGGCAGAGGTTGTAGTGAGCCGAGATCACGCCACTGCACTCCAGCCTGGTGACAGAGCAAGACTCTGTCTCAAAAAAAAAAAAAAAAAAATTACATATAGCAAATTAATACTTTGCAACACAAAAAGATACAAGGAATAAATAAAACTGTGCTATTTGCAGGGTATTTACACAGTGTACAAATTGCTTACTCTGAACACTGTAGCTCAGGGATTAGATACAACCTTAAAGCTAAACATCAACATCTTCCAGTTCTGTCAGCCTTTCTATCTTTGTATATAACCTCTTTTGGAAATAACTTTATTTTTTATTCATTTATTTATTTTTAATTTATTATTATTATTATTATTTTTGAGATAGAGTCTCACTCTGTCACCCAGGCTGGAGTACAGTGGCGCAATCTTGGCTCACTGCAACCTCCACCTCCTGAGTTCAAGCAATTCTCCTGCCTCAGCCTCCGGAGTAGCTGGGGTTACAGGTGTGCGCCACCATGCCCAGCTAATTTTCATATTTTTAGTAGAGACGGGGTTTCATCATATTAGCCAGGCTGGTCTTGAACTCCTGACCTCAAGTGATTTGCCTTCTCGGCCTCCCAAAGTGTTGGGATTACAGGCGTGAGCCACTGCACCCAATTTGGAAATAACTTTAAAGGGAACTTTTTAGTCTTTTCATGAATGAGATGCCAGATCTTTTTTTTTTTTTTTTTTTTTTTTTCTGAGACAGGGTCTCACTCTGTTGCCCAGGCTGGATTTCAGGGGTGCAGTCACAGCTCACCACAGCCTAGAACTCCTGGGCTTAAGGGATCCTCCCACCTCAGCCTCCTGAGTGGCTGGGACTACATGTGCATGCCACCCACCTCGACCTCCCAAAGTGCTGGGATTATAGGAGTGAGCCACTGCTTCTGGCCGAACTCTTTTGTACCCCTCCACACAGATTGATAAAGGGAAATCAGAGGCCCTGCTCCTCAGACCCGTCCACACCACCTTTGCAGAGGGAGGAGTGGCCAGAGAATAAGCAGCTTGAAGGGGCAGTGTCAAGATGATTCTGGAAGGGGCAAACTCTTTTCCTAATATTCATGAGGAAGATAAAAATCTGGAGGGTTAGAAATGCTGACATTCTAGTAGTTTGAGTAATGCCTGGTTGTAGAATATTGCAGGAGAGCTGAGCTTGAGTTTCCTGGGCTGAACCTTTCATTTTTATCTGTTTTGATGGAAATCTTTCTAAAATGGAGCTACTTCCCTGTATTATTAAAAAGAGCATAGTGAAAATGAAAAACAAAACCAAAGCATACTCTCCAAATGAAAATGATTGATATTCTATTTGAGATACCATGTGCATGTGAATCATGTCTGAGTAGTTTCATTTTATGTAGAGAAGCATCTAGAAACTCACAGCGGAAGATAAGGATGCACACATATTTTCCCGCTCTGTGCTTCCTTCACATTTTCACGTCAGTGTCATAACTCAAAATTTGTCATCGTGAGGATAGAGAAGCTTTGGTATTCATTGCTATAAAAACAAACTTGCAGAATAAATGTGACTATAAGCACTTCTGTTGGATGAGGGCCATTCTTAAATGGGGTTTTTTGTTTGTTTTTTGTTTTTGTTTTTTGTCTTTCAAAAATAAAGAGCACCGGCCGAGGCTCACACCTGTAATCCCAGGACTTTGGGAGGTTGAGGAGGGCAGATAGCTTGAACTCAGGAGTTCAAGACGAGCCTGGGCAACGTGGCGAAACCCGGTCTCTACAAAATATACCCCAAAAGATTAGCCAGTTGCAGTGGTGCATGCCTGTTATCCCAGCTATTCGGGAGGCTGAGGCACGAGAATCACTTGAATCTGGGAGGTGGAGTTTGCAGTGAGCCGAAAGGCTCACACCTGTGGACCCAGCTACTAGTTGGGAGGCTGAGGTGGGAGGATCGCTTGAGCCTGGCAGGCAGAGGTTGCAGTGAGTGGAGATCAGACTACTCCACTCCAACCTGGGTGATAGAATGAGACCCCTGCCTCAAATAAATAAATAAATAAATGAATAAATAAATAAATAAATAAATCAAGCACTAATAGAAGACAAGGCAAAGTAAGCTCCTAAAACAAACAAAGAAAACTAAAGGGTTTTTTCCAGATTGAGGCTCCCTCTTGACTCAAGGATCTGCCGCTATTTCATTCTTTTTTGGGCTCTAGATGCAGAAAGGGGTAAGGGAAAGGACATACACGTTATAGACCAAAATCCTGGGTGCTGGTCTATCTCAGGTCCTCACCAGCTTGTGGTTTTAGGCATCTGAGTCTTAGATTCCCTATATGTAAAATGTGGATGACCCATTTTTCCCCTGCTCCAGGAATGTTATAAAAATGAAATGCAATAGAGATTTTTAACTATAAATATAGACGGATAATGTTGCCTAGGGCCCGCCCTGGAACCTCGCTGGTTCTCTACAAAGGGTAACTTCTATTACTTGTTAGCCATGCTTTATTTCTAATTTTGCTCCTTTAGTACATTAGTCTTCCCTATTTTCATCTCAGTGGTTTTGCCTTTGCCCAAAGGGATGCATGACATAATCACCCATCTATCTGTCTGTTCATTTATTCATTAATTCATTTATAAACATTTTATTATGGAAAACTTTACATAAACATAAAAGTAGAGAGAATGGTATAACAGACCCCGAGGTACCCATCACCCTGACACAACCACTAACTCATTGCTGCTTTTATTTCACCTATACTCCCTCTGTCTCCTTCCCTACTGGATTAGTTTGAAATATATTCCTGACATCGAATCATCCACGTAAATGTATCAATATATATCTCTAAAAGATGACGACTGGTTTAAAAAACATAACTGCAATGCCATTATCAATCTAAAAATATCAATAATTCCTTAGTATTGTAAAACAATCCAGAATCAGTTAATGCTCAGATTTCCCAATTGCCTCATAGTGTATCTTTTTAAAAAGTATTTGTTTTGCCGGGCGCGGTTGCTCACGCCTGTAATCCTAGCACTTTGGGAGGCCGAGGCAGGCGGATCACCTGAGGTCGGGAGTTTGAGACCAGCCTGACCAATATGCAGAAACCCCATCTCTACTAAAAATACAAAAAAAGAATTATCCAGGCGTGGTGGCGCATGCCTGTAATCCCAGCTACTTGGGAGGCTGAGGCAGGAGAATCGCTTGAACCCGGGAGGCGGAGGTTGCAGTGAGCCGAGATCGCACCATTGCACTCCAGCCTGGGCAACAAGAGCAAAACTCTGTCTCAAAAAAAAGAAAAGAAAAGAAAAGAAAAAACACTTAGCTGGGCGTAGTGGCACATGCCTGTAATCCCAGCTATTTGGGAGGCTGAGGCAGGAGAATCGCTTGAACCTGGGAGGAGGAGGTTGTGGTGAGCTGAGATCACGCCATTGTACTCCAGCCTGGGCAACAAGTGTGAAACTCTGTCAAAAAAAAAAAAAGGTATTTGTTTTAATTGGGATTCATACAAGGCCCACATCTAGCATTTGGTTTATATAGTTCTTAAGTCTCTGGCAATCTACAGGCACCCTCCGATCTCTCTTTTCTTTTCTTTTCTTTTTTCTTTCTTTTTTTGTGGTTGTTGTTAGTTTCACCTCATCACCTAGGCTGGAGTGCAGTGGTGCCATCTTGGCTCACTGCAACCTCCACCTCCAGGGTTCAAGCGATTCTTTTGTCTCAGCCTCCAGAGTAGCTGGGATTACAGGCATGCATGACCAAGTCCAGCTAATTTTTGTATTTTTAGTAGAGACAGGGTTTCATGTTGGCCAGGCTGGTGTCGAATTCCTGGCCTCAAGTGATCCACCCGCCTCGGCCTCCCAAAGTGCTGGGATTACAGGTGTGAGCCACCATACCTGGCCCTTTTTTTTTTGTCCTTGCAATTTGCTTTTTATGGAAAAAGGTCAATTGTCAGCAAGAGTTTTCCAAATTCTGAATTTTGCTGATTGCATTCCCTTTGTGGTGTTTAACATGTTTTTCTCCCCTCTATATTCTCTGTAAACTGGTATTTAGTTCTGAATACTTGATTTGATTCACACTCTTGGTTTTGTTTATTTGTTTGTTTGTTTTGACGGAGTCTCATTCTGTTACCCAGGCTAGAGTGCTGTGGCACAATCTTGGCTCACTGCAACCTCCACCTCCCTAGTTCAAGTGATTCTCCCACCTCAGTCTCCCGAGCAGCTGGAATACCAGCGCCCGCCATTATGCCTGGCTAATTTTTGTATTTTTAGTAGAGACAGGGTTTCACCATGTTGGCCAGGCTGGTCTCGAACTCCTGACCTCATGATCCGCACACCTCAGCCTCCCAAAGTGCTGGGATTACAGGCATGATCCACCGCACCTGGCCTCACATTCTAGTTTTTGACAAGACTATTTTGTGGGTGGTGTTATGGGCTGAATTGTACCCCTGCAAAATTCATATGTTGAGGTTCTATCCCCAGTACCTTGGACTGTGACTGTATTTGAAGATGAGGTTTTTTAAGAGGTAATTTGATTAAAATGTAGTCATTAGGATAGGCCCTACTCCCATATGACTGGTGTCCTTTTCAGAAGAGGAAATCTGGCCACAGACAGTTACAAAGGGAAGGCCACATGAAGACACAGGGAGAAGATGACCGTCTGTAAGCCAAGGGCAGAGGCCTCAGAAGAAATCCACCCTGGCGATGCCTTGATCTTGGACTTTTAGCCTCCAGAACTGGAGAAAATGAATTTCTGTTGTTTAAGCCACCTAGTCTGTGGCACTGTGTTACAGCAGCCCTAGAAACTAGTACAGGTGGTGATGGGAATGTCCATTAGGAGGCACACAGTGTGGGATGTCTCTTTCTATGGTAATATTGGCTGCCATTGATCATTGTGTCCTAGATCCATTATCTCATTTGGAGTTTGCAAAAGTAGTCAGGTTCTAATGCTATTATTATTATTATTTACATTTTTTGAGACAGGGTCTCACTCTGTCACCCAGGCTGGAGTGCAGTGGCGTGATCTCAGCTTACTGCAACCTCCGCCTTCTGGGCTTAAGTGATTCTCCCACCTCAGCCTCTAGGGTAGCTGGAACTACAGGCACATGCCACGGTGCCTGGCTAATTTTTTGTATTTTTAATAGAGATGAGGTTTTGCCATGTTGGCCAGGCAGGTCTCAAACTCCCGGGCTCAAGTGATTGGCCTGCCTCAGCCTCCCAAATTGCTGGGACTACAGGCTCAGCCATTATGCCCGGCTGGTCATGCTCTAATTCTATCATTCCTTTTCATTCCTTTTAGCTGGAATTCTTTTCTAAAGATGACTTTTTTCACTCATCAATTATTTAGAAATTCTGAGAACAAGGATAAATACTTGATTCTGTCTCTTTATTTACAGGTATTCAGAATAATGAGTTGGTTCCCAAGTATCTTTCAAAAGTGAGTAGTTTTGTTTTTTTTTTTTTTTAATGAACTCATGACATTTAATACATTTGACCTGTTTCAATTAATTAGTTATTGCTCTTTTGGATATTCACATTATCCCAGTTTTGGCCACGGGAGCTTTTTCACCATAGCTGCTGAGTCCTTCTGATACAACACAAGTCTTCTTTAATATTGCTTCCTTAGGCCGGGCGGGTGGCTCACGCCTGTAATCCCAGCACTTTGGGAGGCTGAGATGGGCGGATCACCTGAGGTTGGGAGTTCGAGACCAGCCTGACCAACATGGAGAAACCCCGTCTCTAGTAAAAATACAAAATTAGCCGGGCTTGGCGGCACATGCCTGTAATCCCAGCTACTTGGGAGGCTGAGGCGGGAGAATCGCTTGAACCTGGGATGCGGAGGTTTCGGTGAGCCAAGATCTTACCATTGCACTCCAGCCTGGGCAACAAGAGTGAAACTCTGTCTCTCTCTCTCTCTCTCTCTCTCTCCATATATATATATATATATATATATATATATATGTGGCTTCCTTGCTTTTTATTACAACATGATATCCAGGCTCATCTTTATTTTGGGCAGGCCCCAACATTAGTCAATCATTTCTTTTTTTTTTTTTTTCTTGAGACAGATTCTTGCTCTTCCGTGCAGGCTGGAGTACAATGATGCAATGGTGCAATCTCAGCTCACTGCAATCTCCACCTCCCGGGTTCAGGGGATTTTCCTGCCTCAGCCTCCTGAGTAGCTGGGACTACAGGTGCACATCACCACACCTGGCTAATTTTTGTTTTTGTTTTTCTTTTTTGAGATGGAATCTCACTGTGTTGCCCGGGCTGGAGAGCAGTGGCACCATGTTGGCTCACTGCAACCTCTGTTCACTGCAACTTCTGTCTCCCAGGTTCAAGCAATTCTCCTGCCTCAGCCTCCCAAGTAGCTGGGATTACAGGCACCCGCCACCATGCCTAGCTAAGTTTTGCATTTTTGGTAGAGACGGGGTTTCACCATGTTGCCCAGGCTGGTCTCAAACTCCTGACCTCAGGTAGTCCTCCTGCCTCGGCCTCCCAAAGCGCTGGGATTACAGGCGTGAGCCACTGCGCCCAGCCTTAATTTTTGCATTTTTAATGGGGGTTTCACCATGTTGGCCAGGCTGATCTCAAACTACTGACCTCGGGTGATCCGCCCACCTCAGCCTCCCAAAGTGTTGGAATTACAGGTGTGAGCCACCACACCTGGCCGAGTCAATCATTTCTCTAAGGAAATGGTATCTAAATACCACAATCTGGGTATTAGCAGTGCTCATTTCTTTTGGGTTTACTATTACTTCTAGGACTTTTTCATTGACAGAGCTTGGAAATACTTTTTATTTTTAAGAGGAAAGGCAAGAGCTTGTAATAATTCAAAATTTATCATTACAGGATATTAATTCTTTGATTTTTTATTTGTATTTTTTTCTCCTATTCTGAAAATCTTGGTTCTTAACATTAACAATGGCTTATGGCAGGGCAGAGTGGCTCACACCTGTAATTTCAGCACTTTGGGAGCCTGAACGGGGAGGATCGCTTGAGCTCAGGAGTTTGAGACCAGCCTGGGCAACATGACAAGACTGCATCTCTACAAAAAATACAAAAATTAGCTGGGCATGGTGGTGCACACCTGTAGTGGCAGCTACTTGGGTGGCTGAGATGGAAAAATCATTTGAGCCTGATAGGTGGAGGTTGCAGTGAGCTATGATGAAGCCACTGAACTCCAGCCTAGATGACAGAGCAAAAAAAAATTTTTAAACCCCAGAAAACAAACAAACAAAAATGACATACTTGCTTTCTCCTGCAATGAGCATAACAGCTTCAGAATAATAATAGCAAAATTATTACTAACAATATAATTACTGAAAATAGTTTAAGATTATTTTTGTAGTTCTTTCTTTCCTTCGAGATATTCCACTGGGGATATGTAGTCAGATTACTAAAGCCATGTGAAATAATTCCTTTCAAAGTACTGTTAGTTTTTGTAAACTAATAGTTTTGTGAAATAAAAGGGAGTACTTCTATTTTTATTAGCTAATCACTTAAACGATATGGTTGAAAGTCAAATCTATGAAATAAATTATATTAAGAAGACAAGTTTCTCACCTTATCCCCTCTACCCGTTGCCCCTTCCTCAATGAATAAAACTCTGTTTCAAATATATATAAGCATATTATACATATGTGTGTGTAGGTTCATGTAATATACATACAAGTGCATACATATCTGTGTACATATCTTTTCCTTTTTTTGAGACAGAGTTTCACTCTTGTTGCCCAGGCTGGAGTGCAATGGTGTGATCTTGGCTCACTGCAACTTCCGCCTTCCGGATTCAAGCGATTCTCCTGTCTCAGCCTCCGAAGTAACTGGGATTACAGACGTATGCCACCATACTCAGCTAATTTTTGTATTTTAGTAGAGATGGGGTTTCACCATGCTGGCCAGGCTACTCTTGAACTCCTGACCTCAGGTGATCTGCCCACCTCGGCCTTTCGAAGTGCTGGGATTACGGGCATGAGCCACCATGCCCGGTCAAGTGCATATGCATGTAAACAGTAGCTTACTAAAAATATTTTTCTCTGCTTTGCTTTCTCACTCATTATTATACCTTAGATACCACTTCACAGCATTTTTACAACTCCATTGCAGGCATGTACTATTATTTATTCAGCTAAGTTTATTCAGTTTCCAGTCGTTTGCTATTCTTATTAATGCCAACTTATACTTGGCATAGTATATGTGCAGCTTTTCCTATTTCTGTGAGTGTATTTTTGGGACAGACACTTGGGTTTCTGGGTCAAAAAGAAAATGCAAAGGAAAAAACTTTTTTTTTTTTTTTTTTTTTGAGACAGAGTCTTACTCTGTCCTCCAGGCTGGAGTTTCTCCCAGGTTCAAGAGATTCTTGTGCCTCAGCCTCCTGAGTAGCTGGGACTACAGGCATGTGCCACCATGCCCAGCTAATTATTTTATTTTTAGTAGAGATGGGGTTTTACCGTGTCCAGCTAATTTTTGTATTTTTAATAGAGATGGGGTTTCATCATGTTGGCCAAGCTGGTCTCAAACTCCTGGTCACAATTGATCTGCCCACCTTGCCCTCCCAAAATGCTGGGTTACAGGTGTGAACCACCGTGCCCAGCTGCAAAGGAAACTTTTATAAATCTTCCCAATCTCTTCTATAAGAATTGTACCCTTTTGCCTTCCTGCCATCGACAAATGAAAAGATCTCTTTCAGAATACCATCACAGAACACATTGTCAATCTTTTGGATTTTTTTGCCCATCCAATAGATGAGAAATGGTATCTTATCATGGCTTTACACCACATTTCTCTCCTTATGAGCAAGATTGATTTTTTCATGTGTTTAAAAGTCATTCACGTTTGTCTTTTTTATGACCTGTGTTCATGTCTCTCATCTATTTTGCTGTAGAGTTGGTCTTTTCTCTATATTTAGCTCTTTCTTTGTGAATGATTAGCAAACTGGGGTCCATCATTAACAACTGTGTTGGACGCCTTTCCTGGCTGCTCCCTTCTGTGGTCTCCAGGCCTCTCAGGTCCCTGCTGCCATCCTGTTCAGTCCTTAGGCCTTTAGAACAACACTAAGCTGTGCACTTCCTGCAACTGTGCTTTTGTCCTCACAGGCCAGGTGGTGGGAGCACAGCAAGAGAAACAAAAACAGCAGGTGTTCTCCCCACGTTGTTGGGACTATAGCCCCTGTGATTGGAGAGGATGGTTCACCCCCTCAGAAGGTTAGCCCCCGGGCACCTCCACTGCTGTTACCGTGGCTATCATTGCAACTGTTGTGACCATTGGATTGCCTTGGGCTGGCATATGAGAGAACAGAGAAAAGAAAAGACAAATCCCTTTTTTTTTTTTTTTAAGTCAGAGTCTCGCTGCATCGTCCAGGCTGGAGTGCAGTGGAATGATCTCAGCTCACTGCAACCTGTGCCTCCTGGGCTCAAGTGATCCTCCTGCCTCAGCCTCCCGAGTAGCTGGGATTACAATTGTGTGCCACCTCGCCCGGCTAATTTTTGTATTTTTAGTAGAGACAGGGTTTCACCATGTTAGCCAGGCTGCTCTTGAACTCCTGCCCTCATAATCCACCCACCTTGGCCTTGAAAGTGCTGGGATTACAGATGTCAGCCACTGTGCCCAGCCGTGAAAAGAAAAATGTTAGTTCTGCTTAGCATTAGGCATTCCCTTTCTCTCTCCTGAAGCAGAAACTGGAGGGATTCTCCTGCCTCACGCCTTCTCTGTGTCCAGTGCCCAACTTTGGGCATCAGGATGTCTTGAAATCAGAACAACAACAAAAAGGGAAATTCACAGCTGGTTCAGTGGTATTTCAGATTGTGGTCTTCTCCAGTCTGCCTTCTAGTGCTTAAATTAAGAAAGCTCCATGACTTCTGCCTAGGTTTTATAGCTACATTCACGGGGAGAGACAGGATGGAATGTGCTTACATGGTCTTACCTGGAACCGGAACTGCTGCCTCAAGGATTTTGCACTTATTTTCTTCCCTGCTTGAAATAATTTTCACATAGATCATTGATTATCAAACTCCTACTCATATTTCAAGTTTTACCTCAAATGTCACCTGCCCGGAGAATCCTTTCTTGACTGCCCTCCTTAAAGTGGCCTTCTTAAACCCACACACCCCTGGCTACATCATGCCGTTATATTGTCTTCATAGCATCCAGCACTGCTTTACATTATCTTGTATGTGTGTGTCTTGCTTCATGGCTGTTCTCCCCCTAACCTCCACCCTCTCCTCCCTGAAGGCAAGCACCTATCTTGCTAATTACTTTCTTACCTGTGTTTAGAACATTGACAGGTAGAGAGTGCCCAGTAAAATACATGTTGAGTAAAGGAATGGAAAGCAATTAAAGCTGGGCATGGTAGCTCAAGCCTGTAATCTCAGCACTTTCGGAGGCTGAGCAGGAGCATGCCTTGAGCCCAGGAATTGGAGACCAGCAATATACCTGCAATACCAGCAATACCTGGGCAATAGAGTGAGACCTCGTCTTTACGAAAACTAAATAAATTAAATTAAAGAATTAAACAGCATTTGAGTAAAATAATATTTGTTGGCTAATGTCTGAAGGAGACAATTTTACTGCAGATGAGGCCACAGACATGGGACAGCAGGTCTAGGCAGTGCCGTTCACGAGACAGGGATGGCTGGAGGGGTGGTCTTATGGCGCAGGAGTGAGAATCCGAGACTGTGGCCCCTGTCCTGGCTTTGCCACTAAATTGTTCTGAGATTCTGGAAAATCACTTCATCTCTTTGGGCCTTAATCTCCTCGACTGAGAAATACTAGAATGAGATTTTTTAAGCCATAAAGTCCTTTCAACTTCAGCACCTTAGGCTTCTCAAGCATTTAAGTCAACTTAAATGCTTTTCAGTTTAGTTACAGAATCCGGAAGGATTAGTTATGCCAGAAGAACCTGTCTCTGCAATACGAAATCTTCTTTTGGCAAGAAAGGGAATGAGATAATTATAGCAAGTGTTCTCCTTAGATCCTGACATTAAAAGGACCTGCTTGCTCCCAGGAGTATACATCTATTTTAACAATTATTTTTTTCTTCTCCAATTTCATGTATAACATCGACGCAGAATATAAGACCCCATTTACGTACTGTAGTGTCTTTTGGCTTTGGGAGCTGTTAGGTGGGTCATTTTCCAGATTCCCCATATACACAGCACACAGAGAAAGAGGGCGTTGCTTGAAATTTTTGGCACCACCAACCCATCTCCTCCCTCAAACATTTTTCCCGGCACTGACACTCTGGTTGGGTCTGGAGTATCAGAGTCACACCTCTGCTTCCCAGTGTAATGGGTATGGACACAGAGATCCTATTATTTTTAGTTTGCTGCGGACATCATGGGCCCCTCCAATTGGTGTAAACATTTTGGTTTCGACTAAGTTCTCCAGGAGATGTATTTAGGAGACACACAGGCCAGATCCAAACATGCTGAGGCACCTGGAAGGCTGCTTCAGGAATGTGGTAGTGTATAAATAAATTGCTCTGCTATTTCTTCTGTCTACAGTTAATATGTGAATCATATTCAAGTTATTTGCCACAATGGAATGAATAGCCTTTTTCAGCAAAGTTAGAAAGAGCCCTTTTCTCCCTTTCCCTGGTTTCCCTCACATTTTTTTCTGTTTATCTGTGCCTGAATAGTCACTTACCTGTTTATCTTTTATCTGGGCCTGGATAGCCATTCACTCACAGGACATTTGCGATGTTCTAGTTACTGTCTAGCCCATGAGATGAATCTACATTCAAGAAGAGCTTTTGCTTTTCTTCATAAATATTTTGACATTTTATTGCCAGTCAGTTCTTCCGTTGCTACATCTCTGAATCTCTGAGAATATAGTGCCAGTGGTTTCCTTAATATGAAGCTAATAAAATTGTCAAAGCATTTTTAAATGACCTGTGTAATTATAAGATAGCACTGCTGTTGGGCAGTGAGGTATAATTTGGTTTCGTTGTCACAGAGTATTCAAGTGAGAAAGTTTATACCCTGCATGTTCTATCTGGAAAGAATTACTTTTCATTACTTGTGTGGGCTTTTATTTATTTTATTTTATTTTTCTAGATGAGGTCTTGTTCTGTTGCCCAGGCTAGAGTGCAGGGCACAATCACAGCTCACTGATGTCTTGACCTTCCAGGCTCAAGCAATCCTCCCGCCTCAGCCTCCCAAGTAGCTGGGACTACAGGTGCATGCCAGCATCCCCAGCTAATTAAAAAAAATTTTTTTTTTTAGAAGTGAGGTCTCCCTACGTTGTCCAGGCTGTTCTCAAACTCCTGGCCTCAAGTGATCCTCCTGCCTCAGCCTCCCAAAGTGCTGGGATTACAGGCATGAGCCATCGGTTCTGGCTGGCCCATATTAAGAAATGATGCAGAGTTTAAAAAGTGAAGCCGGGTGTGGTGGCCTGTAATCCCAGCACTTTGGGAGGCTGAGGTGTGTGGATCACCTGAGGTCAGGAGTTGGAGACCAGCCTGGCCAACATGGTGAAACCCTGTCTCTACTAAATATACAAAAAAAATTAGCTGGGCATGATCGTGGGCACCTGTAATCCCAGCTACTCTGGAGACCGAAGCAGGACAATTGCTTGAACCCTGGAGGTGAAGGTTGCAGTGAGCTGAGATCGAGCCATTGCACTCCAGCCTGGGTGACAAGAGCAAAACTCCATCTGAAAACAGAAACAAAAACAAAAACAAAAAATGAAGCGCATAGTGGGTTGGGGGGCAAGGGGAGGGAGAGCATTAGGACAAATACCTAATGCATGCGGGGCTTAAAACCTAGATGACAGGTTGATAGGTGCAGCAAACCACCATGGCACATGTATACCTATGTACCAAACCTGCGTGTTCTGCACATGTATCCTAGAACTTAAAGTAAAATTAAAAAAAAAATGAAGTGCATAATAATCACACTTTAAGTTTAGAGATGTTCATTACAGTGGTATTTGCCAAGCAAAACATTAAATATGATCTGATGATCTGATTATACAATAGAGAATTCATTAAATAAATTAGAAGAAAATTCAGTACAGCTATTACAATTATTTTAGAGTTGCAATAATATTAGAAGGTGCTTATCTTATTAAATAGAAGAATTAGTTTACAGCAGCATATGATTTCAATTTCCTTTTTAAAATTATAAATAGCTGGGCGTGGTGGCTCACGCCTATAATCCCAGCACTCTGGGAGGCCCAGACAGGTGGATCACGAGGTCAGGAGTTCAAGACCATCCTGGCCAATATGGTGAAACCGTGTCTCTACGAAAAATACAAAAATTAGCCAGGTATGGTGGCACTCGCCGGTAGTCCCAGCTACTCAGGAGGCTGAGGCAGAAGAACCGCTTGAACTTGGGAGGTGGAGGTTGCAGTGAGCCGAGATCGTGCCACCACACTCCAGCCTGGGTGACAGAAGGAGACTCTGTCTCAAAAAATAAATAAATAAATAAAAATTAAAAATTAAAAAAAATTGTTAGAAATATGTAAAAATGTAAAACCCATATAAAAATTATTTACATGTGGACCAGGTACTGTGGCTCACGCCTGTAATCATAACGTTCTGGGAGGCCGAGGCTGGAGGATCACTTGAGCCCAGGAGTTTGAAACCAGCTCAGGAAACATAGTGAGAACTCGTTTCTACAAAACATTTTAAAAATTAGCTGGGTGTGGTGGTGCATGTCTGTAGTCCCAGCTACTCATGAGGCTGAGGTAGGAGCACCGTTTAAGCCCAGGAGTTGAGGCTACAGTGAGCTATGATCATGCGATTGCACTCCAGCCTAGGTGACAGAATGAGACCCTGTCGCTAAAATAAATAAATTGTGTGCGTGTGTATTTTGAGGGGATGGCTAGAGATGGGGGTCTCACTGTGTTGCCTAGGCTGGTTTTGAACTCCTGGGCTCAAGCAATCTCCCTGCCTTAACCTCCCAAAGTGCTGGGATTATAGGTGTGAGGCACCATGCCCATCCTAAAACAAATAAATTGTAAATAAATAAATATATTTACCAGTATATAGTTTATATATGTATATATTTACCAACATGAAAGAAAATATAAATTTTCCATAAATATTAGTAATCAGTGTTTATCTTTAGGACTCTGGAGCTGGCCTGCATGGATACAAATCTTGGTTCTACCATTTGCTGGCTCTGTGAACTTTTTCAAATTTCATAACCTCTACATACCTCAATTTCCTCTCTGCACAATAGGGATGATAAAAATTGTACCTACCATGGCCAGTCACAGTGGCTTTCGCCTGTAATCTAGCACTTTGGGAGGCTGAGGCAGGCAGATCACCCGAGGTCAAGAGTTCGAGACCGCCTGACCAACATGGAGAAACCCCATCTCTACTACAAATACAAAATTAGCCAGGCGCGGTGGTGCGTGACTGTAATCCCAGCTACTCAGGAGGCTGGGGCAGGAGAATCTCTTGAACCCGGAAGTGGAGGTTGCAGTGAGCTGAGATCGCGCCATTGCACTCCAGCCTGGGCAACAAGAGGGAAATTCTGTCTAAAAAAAAAAAAAAAAAAAAAATTGTACCTCCCTTCTGGAATTGTTTTGAGTAATAAGTTAGTTAAAACAGAAAAAGTGGCCAGGTGTGGTGGCTCATACCTGTAATCTCAGCACTTTGGGAGGCCGAGATGGGCAGATCACCTGAGGTCAAGGAGTTTGAGACCAGCCTGGGCAACATGCTGAAACCCCATCTTTACTAAAAATACAAAAATCAGACAGGTGGTGGGCACCTATAATCCCAACTACTTGGGAGGCTGAGACACAAGAATTGCTTGAACCCAGGAGGCAGAGGTTGCAGTGAGCTGAGATTGTGCCACATCACTCCAACCTGGATGATAGAGTGAGACTCAGTCTAAAAAAAAAAAAAAAACACAGGAAAAGTGCTAAAATAGTGCCTGGCACGTAGTACACACAATATAAGTGTCGTTATAATTTCTAGTATTGTCCATATTATTAGCAATGAACATGTAGTCTTCTATGCCTAGAAAACAATTCAGTAGGCCAGGTGTGGTGGCTCACGCCTGTAATCCCAACACTTTGGGAGGCCGAGGTGGGCAGATTACGAGGTCAGGAGATGGAGACCATCCTGATCAACATGGGGAAACCCCATGTTGTAAAAATACAAAAAATTAGCCGGGCGTGGTGGCGGACACCTGTAGTCCCAGCTACTCAGGAGGCTGAGGCAGGAGAATGGCATGAATCCGGGAGGCGGAGCTTGCAGTGAGCCGAGATCACGCCACTGCACTCCAGCCTGGGTGACAGAGCGAGACTCTGTCTCAAAAAAAAAAAGAAAACAATTCAGTAAATATTATTTTTTAACCAAAAACATGCTGCATTATTGATGCAATCTTTACAGAAATGTATCCCCCTTGTATCATAAACGTTTTGGGTTAGCAGGAAATGACAATAAAATTAACATACTTTAGGTTTTTGTAATAAACTATTTAAAAGCTGTTAATAAGTTCACATTTTTTCTGTCCATTTATTATCAAATATAAGCAGTGAATGAAGAGTTTCTCCTCCTGCAAAATTGTCAAACTTTTGCATTCATCAGAATCAACTGGGGTCTGATTAAAATACATATTGATTGCTGGGCTCCACCCCAGAGATCCTGATTCAGTAGATCTGGAGTGAGGCCTTAGAATTTGCATCTCTAAGAAGTTTCCAAGTGATGCTGCTGCTGCTGCTGGTTCAGGACCATACTTTGAGAACCACTGACCTATAGCACCAAATGCAGAGATAGTAAGAAAAACCTGTGACAAGGAAATCAGCACCCTGGGATTTTGATCACTCCCAGCTGTATGATATTCTTTCTTCCTTCCATCCCTTTCTTCCTTCCACGAACATTCATGGGGCACCTACCATGGGCCGGGCATTGTGTTTGGTGCTGGGGATTAAAAGCTTTTGCTTAAGGCTGGGCATGGTGGCTCATGCCTGTAATCCTAGCACTTTGGGAGGCCAAGACGGGATGATGGGTTGAGGCCAGGAGTTCAAGACCAAACTGGCCAACATAGTAAGACCCCATCTCTAAAAAAAAAAAATTTTAAATTTTTGCTAATTAGGGTCTTATGGTTATAAGGAATCTTAGGCAAGTTACTTAATCAGCTCTCCAATAGCTCAACCAGGAAATGAAGACTATAATCATAAATTTATTTTAATGGCAATTATTGAACATTTACTATGTCCCAGGCTCTACGAAAAGCAAAAAGAAAAAAAAAATTTATTTTTATAATGTTTTCAGTATGCAAAGAATATCCATAAACATCATCTCAATCAAGCTTCACACTAAACATTTGCAGTGGAAAAGACATGATTAACCCTGTTTCACAGATGAACCAACCAAAGAAAGCATGAAGAGACCAAGAGGTTTGCCTGAGCTGGAAAGCAGCCAAGAGGGACTTGAACTCCAGTCCTTGCTTCCTAATCCGAATTTTTTCGTCTATATACTTCATCAACTAAATTTTCTCTAAGTTTTCTTCTTGCTCTTTTAGTGACTTGGTGGTAAATATTTGTTGAATTAAATGGTGACCATTTTTACCTATGGTTTGAAAGCAGTGGATAATACTTTTAGATAAGCATAAGCATTGGAAACGTATTTCACATCATTGGTAATGCAAGTCAGCAAGTATTTATTCAGTAGATAACATGTAATAGTGATGCACTTGATGTATTAAGGGCTGGAGATTTTATATATATATGTATATATGTGTGTGTGTGAGATTTTGTTTTTGAAGGCTCTCAAAGTCTAGGAGGACAGATAAATAAATAAGAAATATAATGCTACAATAAAATGTGGTAAGGACAATGACTGAAGAATGCAAGGGGGCTGCAGAGTGAGGACACAAACCCAGCCTGGGGAAAGGATTGGGGAGCTTTCCTAGGGAAGCTCATGGCTTAGCTGATTTGTGTGAGAGGAATAATTTGCATAGCAAAAGGAGTAGGGAGCAGGTGATCATGGTGGAGGGACTCTACATGCTAAGGCTTGGCGGTGTAAAACAGCAGGGCATGTTCAGGGCATTGTAAGTTTTTTGATGGACCTGAACTATGATGTGTGACAGTACATAGTCTGGAGAGGTAGGGAGGGGCTAGATCCCAGAGGTCCTAGTAAGGAACATTTGGATACCTCCTATATATGGCAGGAAGACTATGTTATGTATCATAGAACTTCCAAGCTTGGGATTTGGAATCGGACTTTTTTTTTTTGGAGATGGAATTTCGCTCTTGTCACCCAGGCTGGAGTGCAATGGCATGATCTTGGCTCATTGCCACCTCCCCCTCCCAGGATCAAGTGATTCTCCTGCCTCAGCCTCCAGAGTAGCTGGATTACAGGTGTGTGCCACCATACTCAGCTAATTTTTGTAATTATTTTTGTAATTACTAGTAATTTTTGCCACCACACCTGGCTAATTTTTGTAATTATTAGTAGAGACGGAGTTTCACCATGTTGGCCAGGCTGGTCTCGAACTCCTGACCTCAGGTGATCCACCCGCCTTGGTCTCCCAAAGTGCTTGGATTACAGGCATGAGCCACTGTGCTGGCTAGACAACATGTTCTTGACCCCAGTTCTTTTACATATTAGCTAATGATCTTGGGCAATTTAATCTCTCTGACTTTTATTTCTACAACTGGGAAACAGGGATAAAAATGCCTACTTCGGTGGGTTGTTGAGAATAAATAAGGTAACACGTGCACAGCTCTTGATACAATGCTTACCACAAAATAAGCTCTCAATAAATGGTAATATAAGATGATGATGATGATAGTTACTAGTTACTAGCTTTGTATCATATCATAATTATACTAAAAAGTAAACTTGATGGTGACTCCTTGAGAATTTACTGTTTTAGAGACCACATTGGCATGGGCAAAGAAAGCATGAACAACTTGTGTAAGCGACTTTGCATTTCTATGCCTATCAACAAAGATTTACTGTTAGTTACCAAAAGTGGGATGATATGGTTTAGCTGTGTCCCTACCTAAAATCTCATCTTGAATTGTAAGCCCCATAATCCCCACGTGTCTAGGGAGAGACCAGGTGGAGGAAATTGAATCATGGGGGACAGTTTCCCCCACGCTGTTCTCCTGATACCAAGTGAATTCTCATGAGATCTGATGGTTTTATAACTTTGGTATTAATAGTCCCTCCTGCATTCATTCTCCCTCCTGCTGCCTTGTGAAGAAGATGCCTGCTTCTCTTTTGCCTTCTGCACTGACTGTAAGTTTCCTGAGGCCTCCCCAGCCATACAGAACTGCGAGCCAATTAAGTCTCTCTTCTTTATAAATTAGCCAGTCTTGGGTATGTCGTTATAGGGGTGTGAGAGCAGACAAATATATGGAAGGAGGGAGAGATAGCCATGTTTCTGTATCTGGCAGACTGTCATTAATAATTATTTAACCTATGCTTTGCTTTGCTTTACTCATTATGGTAGAATCAGGACCAAGGCATGAATAGGTAAATTTTCCATTTCTAAGGAAAGGCAGGCAACCTTGAGTTTTGGGTTCCCCTGCTCCATAGGTGCATGACACATGACAACTTTTCTGGGGTTTTTTTTTTTTTTGAGACAAAGTCTCACTCTATTGCCCAGGCTGGAGTGCAATGGCACGATCTTAGCTCACTGCAACCTCTGCCTCCCAGGTTCAAGTGATTCTCCTGCCTCAGCCTCCAGAGTAGCTGGGATTACAGGCATGCGCCATCACGCCCGGTTGATTTTTGTATTTTTAGTAGAGATGGGGTTTCACCATGTTGGTCAGGCTGGTCTTGAACTCCTGACCTCAGGTGATCTGCCTGCCTCAGCCTCCCAAAGTGCTGGGATTACAGGTGTGAGCCACCAGGCCCGGCCGACAACTTTCTTTTTCTTTTCTTTTTTTTTTTTTTTTGGAGACAGAGTCTTGCTCTGTCACCCAGGCTGGAGTGCAGTGGTGTGATCTCAGCTCATTGCAACTTCTGCCTCCCGGGTTCAAGTGATTCGCCTGCCTCAGCCTCCCAAGTAGCTGGAATAACAGGCACGTGCCACCATGTCTGGCTAATTTTTGTATTTTTAATAGAGATGGTCAGGTTAGTTAGGCTGGTCTTGAACTTCTGACCTCGTGATCCACCTGCCTCAGCCTCCCAAAGTGCTGAGATTACAGGTGTGAGACTTTCTATTATTTTTCTTTTATTTTTTGAAACAGAGTTTTGCTCTGTCACCCAGGCTGAAGTGCAGTGGCACAATCTCAGCTCATTGCAACCTCTGCCTCCTGGGTTCAAGCGATTCTTGTGCCTCAGCCTCCCGAGTAGCTGGGATTATAGGTGCATGCCACCATGCCTGTGGCTAATTTTTATATTTTTAGTAGATACAGGGTTTCACCATTGGCCAAGCTGGTCTCGATCTTCTGGCTTCAAGTGATTTGTCCACCTAAAGTGTTGGGATTACAGACATGAGCCACTGCGCTTGGCCAACAATTTTCTTCATTTTGCAGATGAGAGGAGGAAGGTTGTGTTGAAGTCCCTTCCTAGATACTGGGAAGGGATAGGGAGCGTGGATTTCTTTGTAGGGTATCTGAAATATAGGCTGCTTCTTGTACAGAGCATTTCAGGCCCTTGGCTAGAGGGCAGTGGTGTGGATGGCACACTTGGGAAAAGTGTCTCGGCTCCTGCGGCCTAGGAACTAGGGAGAGGAAGGCTGAAGGAGAACACAGAGCAGCCAGCACCAAGACATGGAGGGAGCAGCTCTCAACCACAGTGCATGTGTTAGAAGGAGCAGTGGTGGCCGGGCGCAGTGGCTCAAGCCTGTAATCCCAGCACTTTGGGAGGCCGAGGAGGGTGGATCACCTGAGGTAGGGAGTTCAAGACCAGCCTGGCCAACATGGGGAAACCCCGTCTCCACTAAAAATACAAATATCAGCCGGGCGTGGTCACGGGCGCCTGTAATCCTAGCTACTTGGGAGGCTGAGTGATAAGAATCGCTTGAACCAGGGAGGCGGACGTTGTAGTGAGCCGAGATCGCGCCACTGCACTCCTGCCTGGGTGACTAGAGCAAAACTCCATCTCAAAAAAAAAAAAAGGAAGAAGAAGAAGGAGCAGTGGTGATAGTGATAGTAATGACAGTGAGGGACTGATGACTAGAACTCTCGCTTCCATTTCTCCTGGACTGTATCAGCACCCATGCTCAGAGAGGAAGCCACAGACATGGTGGCAATTCTCACTGACCTCAGTGTGTGGGGCTCTAAGGTGGATTTAGAAAAATAAAAACATGGGCTGGGCATGGTGGCTCACACCTGTAATCCCAGCACTTTGGGAGGCCAAAGTGGGCGGATCACTTGAGGTCAGGAGTTTGTGACCAGCCTGGCCAAGAGGGTGAAACCCCGTCTCTACTAAAAATACAAAAATTAGCTGGGCGTGGTGGTGGGAGCCTGCAATCGCAGCTATTCGGGAGGCTGAGGCAAGAGAATCGCTCGAACCTGGGAGGCAGAGGTTTGTGGTGAGCCGAGATCCTGCCATTGCACTCCAGCCTGGGCAACAAGAGCGAAACTCCATCTCAAAAAAAAAAAAAAAAAAAAAAAGAGCCGGGTGTGGTGGCTCATGCCTGTAATCCCAGCACTTTGGGAGGCCGAGGCGGGTGGATCACCTGAGGTCAGGAGTTCAAGACCAGCCTGGCCAACATGGTGAAACCCCGTCTCTACTAAAAAATACAAAAATTACCTGAGCATGGTGGCTTGTGCCTATAATCCCAGCTACTCGGGAGGCAGAGACAGGAGAATCGCTTGAACCTGGGAGGCGGAGGTTGCAGTGAGCCGAGATGGTGCCACTGCACTCCAGCCTGGGAGACAAGAGTGAAACTCTGTCTCAAATAAATAAATAAATAAATAAAAGCATATGACCTTGCTCAAACCTGAAGTCCTGAGTCACCTACTCATTAAAGTAACTTTCATATAGACTTCAATTTATAAATTATAATGCAAGTATTAGCAAGCTCCTAGTCATATGCCAAAGAAAACTGGCATAGGAGTAACCTTCCCCACCCCACTGCCCTAGCTGAAACACCTGATTGTGGGTGTTACTGGCTTTCTCACTTCCTTCTCTGTGTACACGCAGTCTCTAGTACCGAGAGTACCCTATGTACTGGCAGGGTCCCAGAGAATGGAAGGACACAAAAGAGAGTCTCGGATGGGTGCCTTTGAAAGGCTGCCGAGCCTGGATGATTGCATTTCCTGATGGTGGTCCGGATGTTTCAGTAGGCACTATATCTTTTTCTAGTAATGGCTATCCAGATTTTTGGCTGTTATCAACTCTGCTGCTGCTACTGTCACACACCTGGTCTTCACAAGAGAATGTCACCGCACCCTTTGCATGACCCCATCCACCTATCACACCCGTTTCTCCTTGTAAGCCTCAAAAACCTCCAAGGAGGGAGCAAGTTGCCACCTGCTGCACTGCCCTCCACCAGCTTGACTGGTTTTTCCTGCTAAGGCAACGCAGTCCTTCTGCGTCTGAGGCCCTGGTGACCCATGGAGACCTATGTAGTTAGCAGCCATAGGACAAAAAACTCGAGTTTGGCAGGCAAACAGTAAAATAGGTCTTTTCAAGTGATTCTGAGAACCTGAAAAGTGACTTTGTTGTAAAACCTGTGATTTTCCTTTCTCCTTTCCAATGAGTTGGATTTTTGAACTATACTTAGTATTCAGAACTCAAAGTACTCTCTGTTCTCATTGCTTGCGAATGTATTACAAAGTGAACCCTTTCTCCCAGTAAGGGGCAGAGGGTTTTTGAAGAACCCTGCTGCTGTCCTTCAGATGGTAATCATATTTGACACACTTCAACTGGCCATCGTCACACCAGGTTCTAAATACATTTCTGAGCAAAGAAAAGGAAAAAACTATTCTCTTACTCTTTAAAAAAATATACAAAAGTTATTAATTTAGTTCCAGCCTTCTCTAGATAAAAATGATTGCTATAGAAAGTGAGGCAAGAAACTAACACCTACTATGTGCCAGGGGCTTAGCATGCACACTCTTACTTAATCCTCCAGAAGGCGGGCTTGACAGGCTGCTATTGATGTCTGGCAGGCTCTCATTAATTAACACAGCAGGAGCTCCAGAGGAGCCACACCAGAAGCTACAAGGCCTATTGAGTTGCCCAACGTCACTTATGCCATATTCTATTGCTTCAAGCAGGTGATGAGGCCAAGCCAGATTCACAAAGTGGGGAAACAGATTCTGCCTGTGTATATACTAGGGCTGGGTGGAATTATTGAGGCTAGCTTTGCAAATCAGTTAACACACTGGACCTGAATAAAAAAGAGTAATGAAATCTGGCTTGTGCCTAGCGCCAAAGGTGTAATATTAAATGAAATAACATTCACAAAGTGTCTTGAGCCACTTTACAGAAAAGTGCTGTGCAATTAAGGTGGAGGTGCAAATTTCTACTATAAACAGAAGTAGTTTTTGTTTGTCATCATGATGTGTAAAATCAATTAGGTGGATTTAATCTGATTTGGAAGGTATGTTTGCAATGATCAGATAGAATACAGGCAATATTTATTCGGCATACATGCGATTCACTGCGAAGAATTCTGGAGAAGTCATTCAATAGAGCAGCTGAAATTGAACTGAGGCACACAGCCGGCTGGCTGGGAGGAGGTGCCAAAGGATTAAGATGCTGTGGGCAGGGTGAACAAATTGGCTTCAAATACGAGACCCAAATTGAGAGTCAAAAGAATGGATGCTCCTAATGACAGGTGTTGATTTGCAACTGAGCTGCTTCTCACATAAACAACCCTGAGAAGCATAGACCTAGGTGGGTAACAGCCAAGATTTGTTTATCTAACAAAGGTTAATGATTCTCCAAGCCACACCAGGTAGACATGCTAGTTATTAGTGTTTATTGTTATTTCCTTATCTCTAAAGGCGTTAAGTCTCTGACTGTTAGCTGGGATAAACTGGACTTTATGTCTCCATGAGGTTTGTGTCTTAGAATGGCTTTGGTGTGTCTGTTTCCGGGTGATAGATTCAGAAAATGGCCAAGGGAACACTGCAACTGATAGGAGAGGGATGGAAAAATCCCTGAACTTAAAATACTGCACCCAGAAGAGGAATGGCAGTGATATCAGATTGGGATGTAGAAGACTTTGCTTTATTTTTTTATTTTATTTTATTTTAGAGACAGAGTTTCGCTCTTGTTGCCCAGGCTGCAGTGCATTGGCACAATCTTGGCTCACTGCAACCTCCACCTCCCGAGTTCAAGCGATTCTCCTGCCTCAGCCTCCCGAGTAGCTGGGATTACAGGCGTGTGCCACCACGCCTGGCTAAGCTTTGCTTTACTCTCCCTCTGCTACTCACCAGCTATGCAACCTTAGATGTTTCCCCCTTCACCCCCGCAGCAGGTAGTACGTCCGTGGTTCTCTTGAATCTAATGACTGAATTCCATCTCTCCTACCATTATCCAGGTCTTTATCAACTGTCTTTATTTTTTATTTTAGAGACAAGGTCTTGTTCTGTCACCCAAACTTAAGTGCAGTGTTACTATCTAGCTTGCTACAACCTCAAACTCCTGGGCTCAAGCAATCCTCCTACCTTGCTTTGGCATCCTGAGTAGCTGGGATTACTGGTACACACCACCACATCTGGCTATTTTTTTTAATTTGTATTTTTTGTTGAGATGGTATCTTACTATGTTGTTCAAGCTGGTCAGCTACCTTTTGGGTTAAAGCAATGCCTGTCTAGAGTTCATATCCGATCATGTCACTCTTCCATGGCTCCCCATTTCCTCTCCAACTCCTGAGGTTGGCACACAAGACTTTTCATGATTTGGGCCTGTCCGTCTCTCTTGGTTGACATCTTGCCAATCCTCTCTCTCTACAGTAGGTTGATTTGGAGGCCAAAAAAAAAAAAAAAAAAGACCAAATTCTCCCTCCTTGTGTTCACATGATTTGCAAAAATGTTGTGCAGCTTCTCTCATCAAGGGGTGGAGTCTATTTCCCTGCCCCTTGACTCTAGTCTGGCTATGTGACTTGCTTTGGCTTTTTAAATACACTGGAAGTGGTCCTGTGTCAATTCTGGGCCTAGGTCTCAAGAGGTCTGGAGTACTTCTGCTCTCTCTTGGAACCCTGCCACCACCGTGTGGACAGGCCAGGCTGCTGGAGAATGGGAGCTGATTTGGAAGACAGCCCAGTCGTCACAGCCAAGGCTATCCTAGACCAGTCTACAGCTAGCGGATGCCTAGGCATGCAAAAGAGAGCCGCCTGCCCAGCTCTCAGCTGACTGCCAATACATGAATGAGCCTAACTGAAACAAGAACTGCTCAACTGACCCATAGACTCATGAGCAACAATAATGCTGTTATTATTTCAAGCCACTGAGTTTTGCCATGGTTTGTTATATAGCAATAGCTAATTGGTACACCCTTAATTCCATTTCTGTACACTGTGGGCTCTAGCCAGGCTACATCTTTTGCCGTTTTCTGTGTGTACCATCCTCATTTTTACCTTTTGGCCTTTGAACAGGTGGGTTCCTCTGGCTGAGATGCTCTTATCTTCCAATTTTACACTCTGCTTGGCTAAAGTGTATTCATGTTTCATGATTTGGCATAGATGTGTCTTCTTCCAGCAAGTTTTGCTTCTCTCTCATCATGACTAGGTTAGCTGTCACTGCTGGCAAAAGATCCCTTCTGGACCTAACTCTAGTGAGGCTCCTCTAAATCCTGTAGGCCTTGAGCTTCAGTGTCCATCCTTGCTGGACTCACATCACTCAGTTTTAGCAAGAATCTTGTTAAGTTAGCGCAGTGGTTTGAATGTGTCCCCAAAAGTTCATGTGTTGGAAACTTAATCCCCAATGCAGCAGTGTTGGGAGATGGGGCCTAATAAGAGGCGATTTGTTCATGAGGGCTCCACCCTCATGAATGGATTAATGCTGTTATCACAGGAGTGCTTTTGTTATCATGAGAATGAATTTATTTAAAAAGTGAGCTCAGGCTGGGTGCAGTGGCTCACGCCTATAATCCTAGCACTTTGGGAGGCTGAGGTGGGTGGATTGCCTGAGCTCAGGAGTTCAAGACCCACCTGGGCAACATGGTGAAATCCCGTCTCTACTAAAATACAAAAAAAAAAAAAAAAAAAAAAAAAAAATTAGCCGGGCATGGCAGCGTGTGCCTGTAGTCTCAGTTACTCGGGAGGCTGAAGCAGGTTAATTTCTTGAACCTGGAAGGAGGAGGTTGCAGTGAGCCGAGATCGCGCCACTGCACTCCAGCCTGGGTGACAGAGCGAGACATCCGTCTCCAAAAAAAAAAAAAAGAAAAAAAAGTGACCGCAGCCTCTTCTCTTGCCTTTTCACCTTCTGCCATGGGATGATGCAGCAAGAAGGCCCTTTCCAGATGCGGGCCCCTTGACCTTGGACTTCCCAGCCTCCAGTACTGTAAGAAATATTTCTTTTCTTTCCTTTTTTTAAATTTTTTTGAGACAGAGTCTTGCTCTGTCACCTAGGCTGGAGCGCAGTGAGATAATCATGGCTCACTGCAGCCTTGACCTCCTGGTCTCAAGCAATCCTCCCACCTCAGCTCCCTGAGTAGCTGGGACCACAGGTGTGTGCCACAATGCCTGGCTAATTTTTTATTTTTAGTAGAGACAAGGTCTCACTATGTTGCCCGGGCTAGTCTTGAACCCTTAGGCTCAAGCAATCCTCCTGCCTCAACCTCCCAAAGTGCTGGGATTACAAGTGTGAGCCACTGCACCCAGCTATTTCTTTTCTTTATAACTTACCCAGTCTGTGGTATTCTGTTATAGCAACACAAAATCAACTAAGACAGTAAGTTTACAGAGAATCCTCACCCTTGATATCTGATCACCCTGGCCTGCCTTTAGCAAGAATCCTGTTAGGCTAATTTAGCAAGAATTATCCTACCCTCCTAGTGATTTCCCATCCATTCATGCCTCTGCCCTGCTTCTTGGCCAAAATCCCCATTTTTTTGTTGTTGTTGTTGTATTTGGAGTTGTGCCCAATCTCCCTCCCCTACTACAAAACCCCATTACAGTAGTCTTTTGAATAAAGTGTTCCTTATCAGGATCAAAATAATTCTTTTTATTTACCACTGTCATGCAGCCACCCAACAGGTTAATTTGCCACTGGCCAGATACAGACAATTTATCAAGACAGGAATTGCAATATAGAAAGACTTTAATTCACACAGAGCCGGTTGAATGGGAGACCAGAGTTTTATTATTACTCAAATCAGTCTCCCTGACAATTCAGAGACTGAGGATTTTAAAGGATAATTTTGTGGGTAGGGAGCCAGGGAGTGGGGAGTGCTGATTGGTTGGGTGGGAGACAAAAATCATAGGAAGTCAAGGCTGTCCTCTTGTGCTGAGTCAGTTTTTGAGTAGAGGCCACAAGACCAGATGAGTCGGTTTACTGGTCTGGGTGGCGCCCTCTGCTGCATCAAAATGCAGGGTCTGAAAAGTACCTAGAGCACTGATCTTAGGTTTTACAATAGTGCTGTTATCCCTGGGAGCAATTAGGGAGGTTTGGAATGTTGTGGCCTGTGGCTGCATAATTCCTAAACCATAATTTCTAATCTTGTGGCTAATTTGTTAGTCCTACAAAGGCAGTCTGGTCCCCAGGCAAGAAGGGGGTTTGTTTCAGAAAAGGGGTGTTATCTTTGTTTCAGAGTTACACTATGAACTAAGTTCCTCCCAAAGTTAGTTTGGCCTATGCCCAGGAATGAACAAGGATAGCTTGGAGATTAGAGGCAAGATGGAGTCAGTTAGGTCAGATCTCTGTGACTGTCATAATATTCTCACCGTTACAATTTTCACAAAGGTGTTTTCAATGTTCTCTCATAGCATCTTGCCTTCGTCTCTTCTTTCCACTTGTTATGCTGTATTGTAATTTCCTGTCCACTCATCTTGTCAGCAGCAGCAAATCCATACCTCAGAAGATAAAATTTGACCGAAGGGCACAAGGCAGAGGGAGAAACCGAGGGAAGTTTTAGAGCAGGAGTGAAAGCTTATTAAAAAATTTTAGAGCAGGAACAAAAGAAAGTGAAGTACATGTGGAAGAGGGCCAAGCGAGCGACTTAAGAGATTCAAGTCCATGGTTTGACTTTTGACTTGGGGTTTTATATACTGGCATGCTTCTGGGTTCTCGTGTCTCTTCTCTGATTCTTCCCCGGGGGTAGGCTGTCTGCATACACAGTGGCCTGCCAGCACTTGGGAGGGGCCACATGCTCAGCGTGTTTACTGAAGTTGTGCACTGCCTCACTTGAGGCATTCTTCCTAACTAGTTGAGTGTTCCCAGAGGAAGGTCATATACCAGTTAAACTCCACCCTTTTGCCTCTTAGTGCACATATTTGAGCCCACTCGCCCAACTCCTGAGATCTTATCAGGGGAAGTGGCTGATCACCAGCTTCAGGTGTTTTCTATGTATTGCGAGACTGCTTTTCCCTGCCACCAGCTGCAGCTAATTACTACGTTAGAGAAACAGTTTAACAACTGCCTCACCATCATCTGATGGTGGTGGTTGATGGGCTGGGCGCTCTCCTGCCCTGCTCATATCTGCCTGACTGCCTACTCTAACAACCTGACTTCCTTTTCTCCCTTAACTTCCTGAAGGAAAGGGTGTGTCTTGTTTAAAGTAACATTGCCTGAGCGTAGCAGAGTGTCTAGTGTATAGTAGGTGTAGCAGGACAAGCCGCAGACAAAACTCCTCAGACACCGAGTTAAAGAAGGAAGGGGTTTATTCAGCCGGGGGCATCGGCAAGACTCCTGTCTCAAGAGCTGAGCCCCCCAAGTGAGCAATTCCTGTCCCTTTTAAAGGCTCACAACTCTAAGGGGGTGCGTGTGAGAGGGTCATGATTGATTGAGCAAGCAGTGGGTACGTGACTGCGGGCTGCATGCACCGGTAATTAGATCAGAACAAAACAGGATAGGGATTTTCACAGTGCATTTCTATACAATGTCTGTAATCTATAGATAACATAACTGATTAGATCAGGGGTCGATCTTTAACTACCAGGCCCAGGGTGCGGCACCGGGCTGTCTGCCTGTGGATTTCATTTCTGCCTTTTAGTTTTTACTTCTTCTTTCTTTGGAGGCAGAAATTGGGCATAAGATGATATGAGGGGTGGTCTCCTCCCTTATAGGAACTCACTATAACTTTGTCAATGATCAAATTATTCTACTTCCTTAGGTTTCAGTTTCCTCACCTATAAAATGTAAGGGATAAAGAGAATCGAGATGCCAGTAGGTTTGTATTGTATGCTGACTTTGATCCATTGGTTCTGACTGTCCACAGCTCCATACTGAGAAGGATTATGTGACTGTGACTGCAGTTATAGGGAAGGAGTGTCACGATTAATTAGCTGTAACTGCTACGGTCAGGAAATAAGAAGTGACAGCAAACTGCCAAATATCTGCCAATCTAGAGGAAGATGATTTATCTGGCTCCTGCGAACATCAATCTTGCTCAATCCAGCCATGTCTGCATTATATATTGTGCCAATGAAGAGAAAAACCAAATGTGAAACTGACTAGCTGCCAAAGTTAATGTCATTTGCTGTGGGAGAGACCAGGTGCTTGCCAATCCATTTTCTTTTCACCAATCCACTTTCAGCACACAGCTGGATTATGTTTTTCCAGCCCCTTTGCATTAAGTTTGGACCACAGAGTAGCTACCCACAATGTAATGTAAGCTGCAATGATGATGTAACAGCTCAATGGGTTCTTCTTGCCTGCTGCCCAGATGGAGCTGATTTATCAAAGCAGGGAAATTGCAATGGACAAAGAGTTTAATTCATGCAGAGCTGGCTGAACAGGAGACCAAGGTTTTATTATTATTCTAATCAATCTCCTCCAATGTTTGGAAGTTAGGGGTTTTCCTTTTCTTTTTTCTTTTTTTTTTTTTTTGAGACGGAGTTTTGCTCAGTTGCCCAGGCTGGAGTGCAGTGGCGCAATCTCGTCTCACTGCAAACTCCGCCTCCCAGGTTCAAGTGATTCTCCCGCCTCAGCCACCCGACTAGCTGGTATTACAAGCACTGGACATCATGCCCGGCTAATTTTTGTATTTTTAGTAGAGACGGGGTTTCAGCATGTTGGCCAGGCTGGTCTTCAACTCCTTACCTCAGGTGATCCACCCGCCTCGGCCTCCCAAAATGCTGGGATTACAGGTGTGAGGCACCACTCTCTGCCAGGTTAGAGGTTTTTCAAAGATGGTTTGGGGAAAGGGGTGGAGGTGGATAGACAACTGGGGCTTGCTGCTGATTGGTTGGGGATTCAATCATTGGGGTGTGGAAAATTGTCCTCCTGTGTGCTGAGTTGCTTCTGGGTGGGGCCACAGGAGTGGTTGGCAGGTCCAGATGGAGCCATCGATGTCAGACTTGTAAAAAACTGGAAAATACATTTGTTTAGTTTTTTTTTTCCTTGTTTTGAGATGGAGTCTGACACCCAGGTTGGAGTGCAATGGTGTGGTCTCAGCTCACTGCAACCTCTGCCTCCTGTCTCAGCCTCCCGAGTGGCTGGGATTACAGAAGTATGCCACCACACCCAGCTAATTTTTGTAGTTTTAGTAGAGAGGGGGATCCACCATGTTGGCCAGGCTGAGTCTCAAACTCTAGACCTCGTGATCCGCCTGCCTCGGCCTCCCAAAGTGCTGGGATTACAGGAGTAAGCCACTGCACCCGGCCCGGAAAAGACATCTCAAAAAGTCAATCTTACATTCTACGATAGTGATGTTATTTGCAGGAGTAATTGGGGAAGTCACATATCTTTTCACTTCTGGAATAACAGCAGCAACAATTTACACCTCAGCAGAATTCAAGCTCCTCTATCCTCCTAGCCTGGTAGTCTCTCATTAGGTTTATAAAGGCAGTTGAGTTTTGGGGAAGGGTGATTATCATTTAAACTATAAATGAAATGTCTCCCAAAGTCAGCTTGGCTTAAGTCCAGGAATAATTAAGGGCAGCTTGAAGGCTAAAGGCAAGAGGGGGCTTGGCTAAATGACAGCCCCCCACCAATGCGATAATTCTCTCACTGGTATAATTTTTATGCAGGTGGTTTCAATGTTGAGTCACATCTGGTCAAGTACAGGAGAGCCTTCTTTATGCTCCTTCTTTCTCCCTTATTGGCTGGTTCCATATAGAGAATCCGCTGGAAGGATACAAGCACCTGAGTGATGGCATCCCACTTGGACTTCGATGAAATGAGAAGTGTGGGAGCCATAGGTTCTTGGCCCTCTAAAGGTTTGGTAAAAATCACTGATATGAGGTGGATTGGTTAATAGGAGAAGAGGCATACAAATGTATGTAATGTGTATACACAGGAGCCTTCAGAATGAAGACCCAAGTTTGCAATGATTTACAGAAATATATATACCATTTTGAGATTACAGAAATAATAAGGGCTTAGGTTCTGATAAAAAAGTTTATAGGAGGGGGAGTAGAGGCTTGGCTAGCAAAGGTGGCCTTGTTATGTAAATGAAGCCTCCCTCAGAGAGAATAGATGTGAAAGATTTCTTTTTAGACTTTTAAAGATGTCAGACTCTCAATCTCTTCTGTGTCTGGCGAAAGGGATAGGAAGGGGAGGACAGGCTGCATTCTTGTAGACTCCATACAGATTGAAAATGTCCCCACTTAAGACAGCTTTTCAAGGCCACTTCTGTCAGGATGGCCAAGCCACAGCCATTTCAAAATATGTCATAGAAATATAATTGGGCGGCTGGGCGCGGTGGCTCACGCCTGTAATCCCAGCACTTTGGGAGGCCGAGGCAGGTGGATCACTGCAGGTCAGGAATTCTAGACGAGCCTGGCCAACATGGTGAAACCCCGTTTCTACTAAAAATACAAAAATTAGCTGGGCGTGGTGGCAGGTGCCTGTAATCCCAGCTATTCCGGGGAGCCGAGGCAGGAGAATCGCTTGAATCCAGGAGGCAGAAGTTGCAGTGAGCCGAAATCGCACCATTGCACTCCAGCCTGGGGGACAAGAGCGAGACTTCATCTCAAAAGAAAAAAAAGAAATATAATTAGGCATAAAATATTTTTTCTTATATATACATATTTTCATAGAGACGGGGGTCTCATTATGTTGCCCAGTCTGGTCTTGAACTCCGGGCTCAAGTGATCCTCCTACCTCAGCCTCCCAAAGTGCTGGGATTACAGGCAGGAGCCATCATGTCCAGATGGGGTAAAATATTTTAATTTCCTTCAGAGGTACTTTTATCTCTCAAGCCACTGAGATTTTGGGAGTCAAGGAGGGTTGTTATCCTAATATATCTGCCTGTCTTATTTTCTTTTTATTTTTAGGTGTGGAAGCATTGGGGAGGAATAAGCCAAATGTTAATGGCATTCGTGGAAGTCAATAAAAATTATGTTTGATAATTCAAGGCTTCAGCTAACATAAAGTAATGACTTAAGAACTGGAGAAACTTTAGGCCGGGTGCGGTGGCTCATGCCTGTAGTCCCAGCACTTTGGGAGGCCGAGGTGGGCTGATCACCTGAGGTCAGGAGTTTGAGACCAGCCTGGCCAACATGGCGAAACCCCATCTCCACTAAAAGTACAAACATTAGCTAGGCGTGGTGGCGGATGTCTGTAATCCCAGCTACTCAGGAGGCTGAGGCAGCAGAATCGCTTGAACCTGGGAGGTGGAGGTTGCATTGAGCCGAGATCATGCCACTACACTCTAGCCTGGGCAACAAGAGCAAGACTCCATCTCAATATATATACACACACACACACACACACATATATATCTATACACACACGCATATATATATATGCACACATATATACACACACACATATATATACACACACACATATATACACACACACACACATATATATATCTATACACACACATGCATATATATATACGCACACATATATATACACACACACACACACATACCTGAACTGGAAAAATTTTAAAAGCTTGTGTTGTTCTGTTCTATCTGCATTTACTATTGTTCTTCCTACCCTTGGTTCTTTTTCCATATAAGGTGACCCACCACAGGGGCATGACAAAAACCTCACATGTAGTATTCCCTACCCCTTTCCCTAGATATCGATTACCCCACAGTCCCTGCAGATGAAAAAAGTTTATGGCTCTTTAAGCCCAAGAAGCTAATGATTTTTCCCTTCAAACTTCCTGCCTTCTACAATTTGGCTGCAAAAGATTTCAAGCTCATGACAGAAACAGAAAACATAGGTTTAAAATATTCACGCCTCTCTGTCTGCAGCAACCATGAATATGCATATCCAGCCAGACAGCTGCTGCCTTCTGGTTCTGGAAGGCAGGGCCTGGGCAACGCGAAGGGAAAGTGGGAGAAGTTGACCTTCCCTGGCTCTGCCCTACAACCTTGGACATCTTACTTTCTAAGCTCCTAGCTGTTGAGCCCTCATTCTTCCCCACTAGTTATGGTTGGAGAGCTGCTTGATTTTCATGAAGTAAAATGTTTTCTCCCTGTGGTCCCATCAAAACTTCCCCATCCCAAAGCCCAGTTCCTTCACCTGGCTCCCTTTTCAATGCACCGGTCTCACCAATTTTGGGGAATTGATGGCTTACTGGTTCCCTAGTAAGTGAAGTGGCTTTCTTTGCTGCCCATGTGATAAATGAACATCTCTATAGTAGCTTATGGGGGACAATGTCGCTTGAACTGGAGGTTTCACACTGGGCATTTTAGGCCAGTGAGGAAAAAAGAAAGGCTCTGCAGCAGACCAGTGGGGGAGATCCTTGGAAGTACATGTTCTTCTTGCCCTCCTCAAATCATCCTTTGAAGGTAGCAGTGTGATGTGCCAGTACCCAGGGCCGGTCCAGTGTGTCTGCTGACCAAAGCCACAGAGACAGTGGGAGTTTGATGTAATGGGAGGCAGGATTTAAATGTTGTGTGCCAGGGTGCATGTGGGAGGGCATTCTGAGCCAAGGTCAATGGGATGGTATAGATTTCTGGTTAAAACAGGGCAGCAAAAGGACACTGAAACTGGGTGGAGATAGAGGTTTTAGAATGCAACCAAGGGCAAATAAGAGAATAAGGCAATTTGAAGTTTGTTTTTTCATTGTTTCCTTTTCTTTTTGTTCTTTTGTATTTATTTTTTGTGGGTGTCATAGAGTAGGCCTGAGGGCTTGAATTCACCCACGACTTTGAGAAGAGAAACCCACACCACTACTGCTATTAAAGTATCATATTTATTGAGCCCTTACCATGTCCCAGTGGCTCATTTATTGCTTCTTGCAACTCTGCACTAAATATCACGATCCCACGTTCATAGATGAGGAAACTGGGGTTAAAAAATAACTTTGAGAGGATACAAAGCTAGTAAAGTGGCAGAGACTAGAGCCTTGTTCTCAACCACCACACCTTATTGTTATAAGAACTCCAGAGACTTAAGGGGGGCAGAGAGCTTTGTAGGGCTTGGACTACCTGTTATCAGCCCCACCTTTTTCAGGAAAGGTTAGAGAAAGGCCAAAAGGGTGGGGAAGCCAGTGCAGAGCTGTTCTGTCAGGAGCTGGTCCTGCCAGCAAGAATTTCACCAGCATCTTGAGCTGGCAACATTCTCTCAGGGCAAGGCTTTGCAACCAGTATCCTTGGGCCACTTTGACAAAGCAGGCTACCAGTTCACATAATATGAAGCCTCCTCAGTGCCAGAGAATGAGGAATATCAAGGTGAAAGTTATTGGAAAGGGGTCCAGATTCAGACCCCAAGAGAGGGTTCTTGGACTTGGCACAAGAAAGAATTTGGGGCAAGTTCATAGAGTAAAGTGAAAGCAAGTTTATTAAGAAAGTAAGGGCTGGGTGTCGTGACTCATGCCTGTAATCCCAGCCCTTTGGGAGGCCAAGGCGGGTGAATCACGAGGTCAGGAGTTCGAGACCAGCCTGACCAATGTGGTGAAACCCTGTCTCTACTTAAAAAACACAAAAATTAGTTGGGTGAGTTGGTGCACGCCTGTAGTCCCAGCTACTCAGGAGGCTGAGGCAGAAGAATCGCTTGAATCCAGGAGCCAGAGGTTGCAGTGAGCTGAGATTGCAACACTGCACTCCAGCCTGGGCAACAGAGTGAGACTCCATCTCAAAAAAAAGAAAGAAAGTAAAGGAATAAAAGAATGGCTACTCCATAGGCAGAGCAGCCCCAAGGGCTGCTGTTTGCCCATTTTTATGGTTATTTCTTGATTATATGCCAAACAAGGGGTGGATTATTCATGAATTTTCCTGGAAAAGGGTGGGCAATTCTTGGAACTGAGGGTTCCTCCCCTTTTTAGACCACATAGGGTAACTTCTTGATGTTGCCATGGCATCTGTAAACTGTCGTGGTGCTGGTGGGAGTGTCCTTTAGCATGCTAATGCATTATAATTAGTGTATAACGAGCAGTGAGGACGACCAGAGGTCACTTTCGTTGCCATCTTGGTTTTGGTGGGTTTTGGTCGGATTCTTTCCCATGTGCTGTTTTATCAGCAAGGTCTTTGTAACCTGTATCTTGTGCTGACCTCCTATCTTATCCTGTGACTTAGAATGCCTAACCTCCTGGGAAGGTGGCCCAGTAGGTCTTAGCCTTATTTTACCCAGCCCTTATTCAAGATGGAGTCATTCTGGTTCGAAGGCCTCTGACAAAAGCCCTGGAGAGTCCGGGGTTGTCACACACCTTGTCAGTCAAGCAGAGCCTCCCGACGGATGGAAGAGTCCCAAGCCATTGAATGGCTCCAGAGGATGCTGACGTGGTGTCCTTCAGAGAGCTGGGGCAATGACAAAAGACACATACAACTGTATACTTGCAAGTGGAAAATCCATTGTGACAACAGGCTACATTTGAGTTACCAAATGCACTTGGCCACCTGGCTGGAATTTGACCTCCATGGCACGTCCGGAGAAGTCAGCCGTGGCTCCAGCCTGGGCTGCCAGTGCAAGAAAAGTGGTTCAGCGATCAAATCTTTCAAAATCAATTTAGCTCAGACTCCAAAGTCCTGGCTGGAATTGACAGCAACTTCCTCCCTGGTTTCCTTAACCATCAGATAAAAGTGCTGAGCCGTTTTAAACCCTTTTGAAGCCAAGACTCACCTTCAAGTGAAATTTTAAGGGGTGCCGGCAAAGAGATTTGACTTAATTCCAGACCTTTCCTTCCTGCTGGTCTGAATAATTAGCAGAGTTATCCCAACCTTCTGTATCTGGAGTTTATGTATAGGGCTCTGAAATAGGAAATATTAAAGTTGCCTGTGCCTAGTAGTGGAATAAACAGATTTCTACCCACCTTCTCTGTTCTATGAAATGGGGATGATGATAATGAACTCTGCTGGGTGGGTACGGGCCAATTAGTCCAAATTTGTAAAGCTGAGTCTTGTTACAGCTTTACTGCTTGTGGAGAATGGGCAGCACTTTCCTGTGACTTTGCATGTGAAACTAATTGCCCTGGAAATGTCAGGAATTTGATCTTCCATCAAATCCTCCAGCTCTCAGATCCCTTGACAATCTTGGGCTATTTGCATCTCAAGGTTAAAGGAGGCCGTGCTTTCTGGATGCTAATCAGTTGTGAAAACTTTTGATCTCCTCTTGAAAACTAAAACCTTTTGCAGCCACCCTATTCCAAGCGTGGTGAGAGCTGAGCAGTTGAGGTGCAGACAGGCCGGCTTTATTGGAATGAGCAATGTGTTTAGCAGTTGTGAGTTTTAATTCTATTTTCCTTAGGGCTCTGTGGGATCCTGGAAAATCACTTAATATTTCTGAGTTTCTTTCCCCCCAAAACGTGATCTGAATTTTGTTATATCTCCCCGGGGTTGTGGAAGTTACTGTTATAAAACTCCAATTCATAATAGCTTGTAGATTTAAAAGACAGAAACTTATGAAACATGTTTTTGGGGGCGGGGTGGGAGAATATATGTGCCTACATATATACACGCGTACTATTTTCCTACTGTGATATTTTAGTGATAATAAGTTCTTTGTAGTGATAAAGTCATCCTTCTAAGTCAGGCTACAAGTCAGGCTAAGTCAAATGCTGGCACTGTTAGCATTTTGGACCAGATAATTCTTTGCTGTGAGGGGCCTGCCCTGTGCATTGGAGAATGTTTAGCGGCATTCTTGGCCTCTACCTACTAGATGCCAGTAGCACTCCCAAGTTGTGACAATAAATAATGTCTTCAGAAATTGACACATGTTCCCTGGGTTAGGGTTACCAGATTTAGCAAATAAAAATTCAAGATGCCGGGCCGGGCACGGCGGCTTACACCTGTAATCCCAGCACTTTGGGAGGCCGAGGCAGGCGGATCACGAAGTCAGGAGTTGGAGACAATCCTGGCTAACAAGGTGAAACCCCGTCTCTACTAAAAATACAAAAAATTAGCCGGGCCTAGTGGCGGGCGCCTGTAGTCCCAGCTACTCTGGAGGCTGAGGCAGGAGAATGGCGTGAACCCGAGAGGCGGAGCTTGCAGTGAGCCGAAATCGTGCCACTGCACTCCAGCCTGGGCGACGGAGCGAGATTCCGTCTCAACAACAACAGCAACAACAACAACAAAAAAAAAATTCAAGACGCCTACTTAAATTTGAATTTTAGAGAAATAATGAATAATTTTTTTTTTTTTAAATTTTGAGACAGATCCTCACTCTATCTCCCAGGCTGGAGTGCAGTGACGTGATCTCCGCTCACTGCAACCTCCGCCTCCTGGGTTCAAGCGATTCTCCTGCCTCAGCCTCCCGAGTAGCTGGTATTACAGATGTGCACCACCACGCCCGGCTAATTTTTGTATTTTTAGTGGAGATGGGGTTTCAACAGGTTGGCCAGACTAGTCTCGGACTCCCGGCCTCAAGTTATCTGTCTGCCTCCGCCTCCTGAAGTGCTGGGATTACAGGCATGAGCCACTGCGCCCAGCCTGAATAATCTTTAGTATGTGTGAATGTAACTGGGTATACCACCTATAATTTGGCAACCTACTTGGGGGTGCAAAATCTCCTCACAGTTAAGAGCCACTCCTCTTTTTTTTTTTTTTTTTTTTTTTGAGACGGAGTCTCTCTGTCGCCCAGGCTGGAGTGCAGTGGCGTGATCTCGGCTCACTGCAAGCTCCGCTTCCCGGATTCATGCCATTCTCCTGCCTCAGCCTCCTGAGTAGCTGGGACTACAGGCATCCGCCGCCACGCCCGGCTACTTTTTTATATTTTTGTAGAGACGGGGTTTCACCGTGTTAGCCAGGATGGTCTCGATCTCCTGACCTCGTGATCCACCCGCCTCGGCCTCCCTAAGTGCTGGGATTACAGGCGTGAGACACCGCTCCCGGCCAAGAGCCACTCTTCTATATTTCTATATCTATATCTATCTACCTATATCTATCTCTGTGTGTGTGTGTGTGTGTATATATAATTTTTTTTTTTTTTCCCGTAGAGACGGGGTTTCACCATTTTGGCCAAGCTTGTTTTGAACTCCTGACCTCAAGTGATCTGCCTGCCTTGGTCTCCCAAAGTGCTGGAATTACATGCATGAGCCACTGTGCCTGGCCAGAGCCAGTCTTCTAAATAAAGTTTAGCGTTTATCAGTGAACTCACATCAGCATTCACCGCATCCTTCCCTTATTTCTGCCCCACTTTTATTTCTTTCCTACCTTTGTCCCCTATTTCAGCCTTCAAGATAGAGGATAAATAAATTCCATGTGGGCCTCACTACAAATTGCTATGAGCCTTAGGCATGAGGGGAGGTAGAAGTACATGTTACATATCTATAATACTATGATTAAATGGGAATCGGTTGCAAAATAAGAACAGCTAAGGCGATTGTTTTAGTGCATTTTGTGTTGCAACAGCAGAATACCACTGACTGGATAATTTATAAAGAAATTTCTCCATGGGGTGGCTCACACCTGTAGTCCCAGCACTTTGGGAGGCTGAGGGGGGTGGATCACTTGAGCCCAGGAGTTTGAGACCAACCTGGGCAACATGGCGAAACACCCTCTCTACAAAAAAATACAAAAAATTAGCCGGGCGTAGTGGCGGGCGCCTGTAGTCCCAGCTACTTGGGAGGCTGAGGCAGGAGAATGGCGTGAACCCGGGAGGCGGAGCTTGCAGTGAGCCGAGATCCCGCCACTGCACTCCAGCCTGGGCGACAGAGCGAGACTCCGTCTCAAAAAAAAAAAAAAAAAAAAAATACAAAAATTAGGTGGACATGGTGGTGCATGCCTGTATTCCCAGCTGCTCAGGAGGCTGAGGCGGGCAGATCAGTTGAGCCCAGGAGGTTGAGGCTGCAGTGAGCCATGATTGCCCCACTGCATTATTCCAGCCTGGGTGACAGAAGGAGACCCTGTCTCGGCAAAACAAAAAAACAAAACAAAAAAAATTCTCTCAGTTCTGAAGGCTGGGAAGTCTAATAGCAATGAGGTTCTTCTTGTGGCATCATTCCATGGCATGTGGCAGAAGAGCAAGAGAGGGAGGGAGAGGGGAAGAAGGGGGAGGAAGGGAGGGAGATGATAGGGAGAGAGACATGGGGGGAAGGGGCTAAACTCATCCTTTTATCAGGAAACCACTCCCACAATATCAGCATTAATTCATTAATGAGGGGCTCTCATGATCTAATTACCTCTAAGTTCCCACCTGTCAACACTGCTGCACTAGGCATTTAGTTTCCAAAACATGAGCTTTGAGGGACACATTCAAACCATAGCAGCAATTCAAAATGATGCCTCTTGGGTGGGAATGGTGGCTCACGCCTGTAATCCTAGCACTTTGGGTGGCCAAGGCAGGCAGATGGCTTGAGGTCAAGAGTTTGAGACCAGCCTGGCCAACACTGGTGAAACCCCGTCTCTACAAAAAAATGCAAAAATTAGCTGGGCATGGTGGTGCATGCCTATAATCGCAGCTACTTGGGAGGCTGAGGCATGAGAATCACTTGAACCTGGGAGGCAGAGGTTGCAGTGAGCTGAGAGTGCCTCACTGCACTCTGGCTTGGGTGACAAAAACAAAAAACAACAACAAAAAAACACCTCTCTAAGCAGAATCCTTTCATGAATAGTAGAGGAGCCAATGAGATAGGCCTTGAAGCTTGCTTCCAAGGTCTCCATGGATCCTTTGAAAGTCAAGCCCATAAGTTACCATAGTATTCTTTTTGCCATTTAATAAATGCTTTTTGAACAAGATTGTGTTAACCACGTGCTGCATGACATGAAAGAGGAAAAGGCACAGTTTATGCCTGTGAAGAAGAAGCAGGTTGTACTTCCATAGAGAGACGCTTGCCAATAACAGCTGGCATGGTCCCAGGGCCTAGTCAGGGTGCAGATGATAAGCAAAAAAAGAAATAGGTAGCACGGGCAGGGCAGCTGTCCAGGAAGCCTTTTTTCTTTTTTTTTTTGAGACGGAGTCTCCCTCCGTCTCCCAGGCTGGAGTGCAATGGCGTGATCTCGGCTCACTGCAACCTCTACCTCCCAGGTTCAAACAATTCTCCCCACTCAGCCTCCTGAGTAGCTGGGATTACAGGTGCCCACTATATGCTGGGCTAATTTTTTTTTTTTTAACTTGAGAGATGTGTAAAAGGCTTTATTTGGAGGGGAGCAGGAGTTTAACCAAAGAGGCCAAATCCCATGTCATCGTTTTACTCTTCAGACTCCTCTTTCTCATCTTTCTTCTCCTCTGCTGCAGCAGGGGGTGGAACCAGCTGCAGGGGCTGCAGAGCCTGGGGCAGCAGAGACGGCCACAGCCCCACCAGCAGGTACATTGGCAAGCTTGCTAATACTCTTGGCAATGACGTCTTCAATGTTTTTTCCATTCAGCTCACTAATAACCTTGTTGAGCCGGTCATTGTCCGTCTCGATGCCCACGCTGTCCAGGATCTTCTTGATGTCCTTGTTGCTGGGGGAGGGGTTACCCCCGAGGGCAGCCAGCAATTAGGAGGCGATGTACCGCATTGGGGCGGTGGTGGAGAGGCCTCACGTGTGTGACCTCGGCGGCGTCAGGGAGGAAAAACAATATTTGTATTTTTAGTAGAAACGGGGTTTCACTGTGTTGGCTAGGCTGGTCTCGAACTCCTGACCTCAGGTGATCTTCCCACCTTGGCCTCCCAAAGTGCTGGGATTACAGGTGTGAGCCACCATGCCAGGCCCAAGAAGCCTTTATTTTATTTTTATTATTATTTTTTCTGAGATGGAGCTTCACTCTGTTGCCCTGGCTGGAGTGCAATGGAGCAAACTCGGCTCACTGCAACCTCTGCCTTCCCGGGTTCAAGCGATTCTCCTGCCTCAGCCTCCCGAGTAGCTGGGATTACAGGCACTTGCCACCACACCCGGCTAACTTTTGTATTTTTAGTAGAGATGGAGTTTCACCATGTTGCCCAGACTGGTCTCGAACCCCTGACCTTGTGATCCACCTGCCTCGGCCTCCCAAAGTGCTGGGATTACAGGTGTGAGCCACCGCGCCCGGCAGGAAGCCTTTTTAGAGGAGGCAAGATGGAAGAGTTTAGGGTGGGAGTAAATAAAGCTGGCTGGAGACATGCCATGTGCCTCTGAGAACTAGCAATTTGGTGCTCAGTAGGTTAATAATGTGGTGATACTCTAAATTGATAGTCCTTAGATACTTGTCAATGTTAGTTTAGAGGAGAAGTGGTGCATGCATGGAGAAGGATGGAGGAGGAGGCTCGCTTTTGTCAATCTTTAGTTTCTCTTTTATTATTCCCAATTATTTATTTAATTTTTTAAGAGACAGAGTCTCATTCTGTCACCCAGGCTAGAGTGCATTGGAGCGATCACAGCTTGAGCTATGATTACTGTAAACTCAAGCTCCTGGGATCAAGCAGTCCTCAGCTTCCCAAGTAGCTATGACTACTGGCATGTGCCACTATTTCCAGCTAATTTTTAAAATTTTTTGTAGAGATGGTGTCTCACGATGTTTCTGAGGCTGGTCTCAAACTCCTGGCCTCAAGCGATCCTCCCACCTCAGCCTCTCAAAGTGTTGGGATTACAGGTGTGAGCCACTGCTTCTGGCCCCCAATAATGTATTATTGTTCCACTCACCAAAGAAAAAGTTCATCAGACTAGCTGCTTAGTGACTCTGTGTTGGTACTGGGCCTGCTCCTTGAGGCAACTCTTCTTCCTCACTCCTTCTGCAACAACTTTATTCCATATTTTATTCAATTCCATACAGAGCTTTCCCTGAGACAAGTTCTCCACTTCCTCATGTTTGTCATGTGTTTCAGGGCCCCTTACAGATTGGTACCCCCATCAATTGCCCAACAAGGCCCTTCCTAATCCAGCTTTAACCCTATTAGGATGTTATTGACATATACATTGTGACTAAAATGTTTCTATGTATAATTTACTCTTTGTAAGGGACCTTACCACATATTCTATGAGGGGCCACCTCTGGGGGTGGCGGAAGAGGCAGGACATAGTCATGCCCTGGAAGGAGCGTTAGAGTGGGCAGCAGGAGGCTGGTTTTGAGCTGCGGCTTTACAACTAACTTGCTGCATGATCCCGTGTTAAGTCACAGTCTCAACCTGGCCCTTCATTTCTTCCTCTAACTATGAAATATTGGGCTAGAACCAGGGTGGCAAAACAGGTTTTGTCTTATGTGCTAATCCCAAACTGTTGGTAACAGCTTACTCTACTGATTCATAGAGAAAACCTTTTAGGCCACATCTGGGCTCTGGAAGAAAGAGTGATCAATTAGCAGTTTCTACAATGAGTAAAGAAATGGGGTAGTGATGGTGGTGATAGCATGAGTGCCTTATTTTTCGATTCCCTTGGTTGAATACGTGCTAAGAAATTCCATTCAGAATTCTGTAAACATGATGTGAATATCGGTTAAACATTCCCGGAGAGTTTCTCTACTTAAAATTAGAATTCTGTAGACTTCACTAAATGATACCTAGGTTATTTAGAGCAGGAAAATAGCTATAATTCTTTGCTTCATGAGAATGGCTTTGCTTCTGGCCAGCCTCATTAGGATCTACACATTTGCAGTTTTTCTACATGTGGGGAATTCTTACACTGATAGATTCACACTATCACTAAGTCCTTCTTGTGACCAATAGCACACATTAAACATTTTGATTATAAAATGATATGACCAAAAATAAAGCACAAGGAAACAAAAAGCTGAACACTGTAAACCACATTAAAATGAAAAGTTAAAAGAAAAACCGTAGGCTGGATGAAAATATTTGCAAATATTTACCTAAAAAGTACTTAAAAGATAAAGTACTCCTAAAATCAACAAGAAACATACAAACACTGGCCAGGCACGGTGGCTCACACCTGTAATCCCAGCACTTTGGGAGGCTGAGGCGGGTGAATCACCTGAGGTCGGGAGTTCAAGACCACCCTGACCAACATGGAGAAATCCCATCTCTACTAAAAATACAAAATTAGCCAGGCATGGTGGCACGTGCCTGTAATCCCAGCTACTCAGGAGGCTGAGGCAGGAGAATCGCTTGAACCCGAGAAGTGGAGGTTGCGGTGAGCTGAGATGGTGCCACCGCACTCCAGCCTGGACAACAAGAGCAAGACTCCATCTCAGAAAAAAGAAAAGAAAAGAAAAGAAACGAAACATAGAAACAGCTCTGTAGAAAGAGAGCAAAGAATATGAATAGGCAACTCAAAAAAGAAAAAATGTAAGCCCCATTAGATAGGAAAAATATGAAAGATTAAATCTTTTTAATAAAGAAATGTAAAATGAAGCAAGATAGTATTTCTCTGTATCATATTGTATCAAATTTCTTTTTCTTCTCCTCCTCCTCCCCCTCCTTCATATACTGGCAAATATTTTTCAATGTCGACATAGAAGTAAGGCAGAAAAGGGCATAAATTAGTGCAGCCATTTTTGGGGAAAACTTGGAATCATCTATAAACACTTTAAGTGCATATCCTTTGACCCAGTGTAACCATCTGATGGGTTCTTCCTGCCTGCTGCACAAATAAAGACCATGGCATTGCAGTAAAGAAAGAATTTTATTGATGGGAGGCTGGCCACACCATATGGGAGATGGAGTTATTACTCAAATCAATCTTCCCGAAAACTCCAGGATTGGGGTTTTTAAGGAGAATTTGGTGGGTAAGGGGTCAGAAATTGGGGAGTGCTGATTGGCCGGGTTGGAGATGAAATCATAGGGAGTCAAAGCTGACCTCTTTTGCTGAGTCAGTTCCTAGGTAGGGGCCACAAGACTGGATGAGGCAGTTTATCTATGTGGGTGGTGCCAGCTGATCCACTGAGTGCAGAATAGGCAAAATATCTCAAGCACTGATATTAAGCTTTACAAAAGTGATATTATCCCTGGGAGCGATTTGGGGAGGTTCAGAATCTTGCAACCTTCAGCTGAATGACTCCTAAGCCATAATTTCTAATCTTGTAGCTAATTGTTAGTTATGTGAAGGGTGTCTATTCCTCAGGCAAGAAGCGGTTTGTTTTGGGAAAGAGTTTTATTGTCTTGTTTTAGAGTTAAACTATAAAGTAATTTCCTCTCAAAGTTAGTTCACCCTATGCCCAGGAATGAGCAAAGATAGCTTGGAGGTTAGAAGCAAGATAGATTCAGTTAGGTCAGGTCCCTTTCACCGTGATAATTTTCTCAGTTATAATTTTTGCAAGGGCAGTTTCACTAGCACCTTATGTTTAAATTTTTATCTTAAAAATATTAGTGAAAGTGTGTAAAGATATATATACACACACACACACAAACAACAATCTCTGTCAGATATTTATTGCAATAATTTTATTTTATTTATTAATTATTATTATTTTTTTTGAGATGGAGTCTTGCTCTGTCACCTAGGCTGGAGTGCAGTGGCATGGTCTCAGCTCACTGCAACCTCTGCCTCCTGGGTTCAAGCGATTCTCCTGCCTCAGCCTCCTGTGTAGCTAGGATTACAGGTGCGCGCCACCACGCCTGGCTAATTTTTGTATTTTTAGTAGAGACGGGGTTTCTCCATGTTGGTCAGGCTCGTCTCAAACTCCTGACCTCGTTATCCACCCACTTTGGCCTCCCAAAGTGCTGGGATTACAAGCATGAGCCACCGTGCCTGGCTATTTTTATTATTATTATTTTTTAAGAGAGGGTCTCGCTCTGTTGCCCAGGATGGAATGCAGTGGCATGAATAAGGCTGACTACAGCCTTGACCTCCTGGGCTCAAGGGATCCTCCTGCCTCAGCCTCCCCTGTAGCTGGGACCACAGGTGTGCACCTCCACATCTGGCTAATTTTTCTGTTCTTTGTAGAAACAGGGTCTCACTTTGTTGCCCGGGTTGGTCTCAAATTCCTGGGCTCAAGTGATCCTCTTGCTTCAACCTCCCAAAGTGTTGGGACTACAGGTGTGAGCCACTGTACCTGACCATGGCCCTTTTAAACATTTTAATGTTTAACTTTTTGTTATAAAGAGCAAATATAAAAGTATATTTGAGAAAAAATAAAAATATTTTAAGAAATAATATATATCACAATTTCAGAAAACACTATTAGGGCAAACAGAAACATGTAATAGCTGTACTTTTATAAATCAAATAATTTTTTTGTTGTTGTTTTGAGATGATGTCCTGCTCTGTCACGCAGGCTGGAGTGCAGTGGTACAATCTCGGCTCAGTGCAGCCTTCACCTCCTAGGTTTAAGCGATTCTCCTGCCTCAGCTTCCTGAGTAGCTGGGATTATAGGTGTGTGCCACCACACCCGGCTAATTTTTGTGTTTTTAGTAGAGATGGGGTTTCACCATGTTACCCAGGTTGGTCTTGAACTCCTGACCTCAAGTGATCCACCTGCTTTGTCCTCCCAAAGTGCTGGGATTACAGGTGTAAGCCACCACGCCCGGCCTAAATATAACTTTTTAAATGTTTCATTTATTTAAACTGCAGTGAGCCGAGATCGTGCCATTGCACTCCCGTCTGGGAGTGCAATGACTCTGGTATTGTCAGTCTTTTTAATTGTAGCCATTCTAAGGATCGTTTAATGGTATCTCATTGTGGTTAAATTTGTGCTTCCTTAATTATTATTATTATTTTTAAATTTTGTTTTATTTTCAGTTCTGGGATACATGTGCAGGACGTACAGGTTTGTTAACATAGGTAAATGTGTGCCATGGTGGTTTGCTGCACCTATCGACCCATCACCTAGATGTTAAGCCCCACATGCATTAGCTATTTTTCCTGATGCTGTCCCTCCCCCTTGCCTCAAAAGGCCCCAGTGTGTGTTGTTTCTCTGCCTGTGTCCATGTGTTTTCATTGTTCAGCTCCCACTTATAAGTGAGAACATACAGTGTTAGGCTTTCTGTTCCTGTGTTAATTTGCTGAGGATAATGGCTTCCAGCTCCATCCATGTCCCTGCAAAGGACATGAGCTCGTTCTTTTTTATGGCTGCATAGTATTCCATGGTGTATATATACCACATTTTCTTTGTCCAGTCTATCACTGATGGGCATTTGGGTTGATTCCATGTTCTTTAATTATTAATAATGATGAGGCCAGGCAAGGTGACTCATGCCTGTAATCCCAGCATTTTGGGAAGCTGAGGTGGGTGGATCACTTGAGGTCAGGAGTTCTAGACCACCTTGGCCAACATGGTGAAACCCCATCTCTACTAAAAAAATACAAAAAATTAGCCAGGTGTGGTGGCGTGTGCTGGTAGTCCCAGCTATTTGGGAGGCGGAGGCTTGAGAATTGCCTGAACCTGAGAGGCTGCAGTGAGATAAGATCATCCTACTGCATTCCAGGCAGGGTGACAGAGTGTGAGTCTGTCTCAAAAAAAAAAAAAAAGAGCATCTTTTTGTGTGCTTGTTATCTGTATATCTGTTTTGGTAAAATATCTGTTCAAATATTTTGCTTGCTTTATAATTGTTTTCTTTTTAAAATTTTTATATTTTTAGACAAATTCTAAAAGAGCTGTAACACTGTTTGTTTTCTTATTATTGAGTTATAAGTGTCCTTTATATATTCTAATTAAAATGCTTTGTCAGATACCTATTTGCTGACATCGTCTCCCAGACTGGGTCTTGCCTTTTCATTTTCTTAACAGTGTTTTTTGTAGAGCAATATGTTTTAAATTTTGTTGAAATCCAATTTATTGAATTTATGGGTCTTTTTTTTTTTTGAGGTGGAGTCTCACTCTGTTGCCCAGGCTGGAGTGCAGTGGTGTGATCTCCACTCACTGCAAGCTCTTCCTCCCGGATTCTCGCCATTCTCCTGCCTTAGCCTCACTAGTAGCTGGGACTGCAGGCACCCGCCACCATGCCCGGCTAATTTTTGTATTTTTAGTAGAGACGGGGTTTCACTATGTTAGCCAGGATCATCTCCATCTCCTGACCTTGTGATCCGCCTGCCTCGGCCTCCCAAAGTGCTGGGATTACAGGCGTGAGCCACCGCCCCAGCCGAATTTATGGGTCTTATTCATTTATTTATTAATATTATTTTTAGGCTCATTCTCCCTTTAAATAAGGCTTTCTGGATCTTATTTTTAAAATGTTGGGGCCGGGCACGGTGGCTCACTCCTGTAATCCTAGCCCTTTGGGAGGCCAAGGTGGGTGGATTGCTTGAGCTCAGAAGTTTGAGACTAGCTTGGGCAATATGGTGAAACCCCATCTCTACTAAAATACAAAAAAAATTAGCCGGAGGTGGCCACGTGTGCCTGTAATTCCAGCTACTTGGGAGGTTGAGACAGGAGAATCACTTGAACCTGGGAGGCAGAGGTTGCAGTGAGCTGCCATCGTGCTATTGCACTCCAGCCTGGGTGACAGAGCGAGACTCTGTCTCAAAAAAAAAAGTTGGCCAGGTGCAGTTGCTCATGCCTGTAATTCCAGCATTTTGGGAAGCTGACGTGGGCAGATTGCTTGAGCTAGGGAGTTTGAGACCAATCTGGGCAACATAGGGAGACCCCATCTCTACACAAAAAAAATACAAAAATTAGCTAGGCATTGTGGCGTGTGCCTGTGGGCCCAGCTACTCATGAAGCTGAGGTGAGAGAATTGCTTGAGCCCAGAAGGTCAAGGCTGCTGTGAGCTGTGATCACACTACTGTACTCCAGTCTGGGTGAGAGTGCAGAATCCTGTCTTTAAAAAAAAAAAAAAAAAGTTTACCTCTCCCAAAGTGTATTTGTCAGAGTTTTCCAGGGAGACAGAACCAATAGGATATGTACATAGATAGATAGATAGATAGATAGATAGATAGATAGATAGATGTAGATATAGATGTAGATATATGAGAAGAGATTTATTAAGGGAATTGGATCCATAATTATGGAGCCCAAGAAGTCCCTTGATTGGCCATCTGTAAGCTAGAGACCCTGGGAAACTAGTAGTGTAGCTCAAGTCAAGTCTGAAAGTCTCAACCGGGGTTGAAATAAGTTGTTGGTGTCACTCTCAGTCTGAGACCGAAGGCCTGAGAATCCGTGTGGGGGTAAAAGGTCTGCTGATATAGGTTCCATAGTCCAAAGGCCAGAGAGCCTGGAGTTCTGATGTCCAAGGTCAGGACAGGAAGAGTGCCCCAACTATAGGACAGAGATAAGTGAATTCCCCTTTCTTCTGCCTTTTCTCTTTCTTTTTTTTTTTTTTTTTTTTGAGAGGGAGTTTCGCTCTTGTTGCCCAGGCTGGAGTGCAATGGCGTGATCTCGGCTCACCGCAACCTCTGCCTCCCGGATTCAAGCAAATCTCCTGCCTCAGCCTCCCAAGTAGCTGGGATTACAGGCAGGCGCCACCACGCCTGGCTAATTTTGTATTTTTAGTAGAGACAGGGTTTCTCCATGTTGGTCAGGCTGGTCTCAAACTCCCGACCTCAGGTGACCTGCCTGCCTTGGCCTCCCAAAGTGCTGGGATTACAGGCGTTAGCCACCGTGCCTGGCCTGCCTTTCTGTTCTATCAGAGCCCCAGATGATTGGATGGTGCCCAACCACCCTGAGGTCAAATATTTCCCACTCAGTTGGCAGACTCCTGTGCCAGTGTTCCCTGGGAACACCTTCATAGACACATCCAGAAATAATGCTTTAGCAGCTCTCTAAATATTCCTTAATCCAGTTCATCTGATACCTAAAATTGAAAATCATACAGTCTCCTATTTTTTTTGTTGTTGTTGCATTTTCTTTGAGATGGAGTCTCGCACTGTTGCCTGGGCTGGTGTGCAGTGGCACGATCTCGGCTCACTGCAACCTCTGCCTCCCGGGTTCACATGATTCTCCTGCCTCAGCCTCCCGAGTAGCTGGGACTACAGGCGCACGCCACCATGTCTGGCTAATTTTTGTATTTTTAGTAGAGATGGGGGTTTCACTATGTTGGCCAGGCTGGTCTTGAACTCCTGACTTCATGATCTGCCTGCCTTGGCCTCCTAAAGTGCTGGGATTACAGGCATAAGCCACTGTGCCCTGCCGTTTTTTGGGGTTTATTTGAGATGGAGTTGCGCTCTATTGCCCAGGCTGGAGTGCAGTGGTATAATCTTGTCTCACTGCAACCTCTGCTTCTGGGTTCAAGCAATTCTTCTGCCTGAGCCTCCTGAGTAGCTGGCATTACAGGTGCATGTCACCACTCCCAGCTAATTTTTGTATTTTTAATAGAGACCGGGTTTCACCTCATTGGCCAGGCTGGTCTCGAACTCCTGACCTCAGATGATCCGCATGCCTCGGCCTCCAAAAGTGCTGGAATTACAGGCGTGAGCCACTGCACCTGGCCTGTTTTATTCTAAAAGTTTTATAGTTTTGGTTCTTTATGTTTAATTTTGAGGGTTTTTTTTTTGTATATGGTATAAAAATAAGGGTGAGGTTTATTCTGTTTATGAAATGTTGAAAAGATTATTTTTTTCCCCATTGAATTGCTTTAACATCTTACTATAAATGAACTTAGCAAGTATGTGTGAATCTGCTTTTTGGATTCTTTATTTTGTTCTGCTGATCCAATAGCATGTCTTTTCACCAATATCACATTTTCTTGTTTAAGATAGTTTTATGATAACTCCTGAAGTCAAGTAGTATAAGTTTCCATAATTTGTTCTTCTTTTTCAAAATTATTTTGCATATCCTTCATATTTCTCTATATATTTTAAAATAAACTTGTCATTTTATATAAAGAAACCCACTTGGGGCCAGGCACGGTGGCTCGTGTTTTTAATCCCAGCACTTTGGGAGGTGGAGGCAGGTGGATCACCTGAGGTCAGGAGTTCGAGACCAGCTTGGTCAACATGGCGAAACCCTGTCCCTACTAAAAATATAAAAATTAGCCAGGCGTGGTGGCAGGCACCTGTAACCCCAGCTACTCAGGAGACTGAGACAGGCCAATCGCTTGAACCCAGGAGGCGGAGGTTGCAGTGAGCCGAGATCATGCCACTGCACTCCAGCCTGGGTGACAAAGCAAGACTCTATCTCAAAAAAAAAAAAAAAAAGAAAAAAAAACCTACTTGGATTTTTTAAATGCCTTAGAGACAAGGCATACCAATTTATTTAATGCATATACACAGGCACCTTCAGAATGAAGGTCCACCCCACTTGGATTTTTATATTTTGAGATGGAGTTTCGGTCTTGTTGCCCAGGCTGAAGTGCAATGGCATGATCTCGGCTCACTGCAACCTCCGCCTCCCAGGTTCAAGTGATTCTCCTGCCTCAGCCTCCCAAGTAGTTGGGGTTACAGGCGCACGCCACCACGCCCAGCTAATTTTTGTGGGCCAAGATTGCACCACTGCACTCCAGCCTGGGCGACAGTGTGAGACTCCATCTCAAAGAAAAAAAAAGAAATGTAAATGTATGACTTTGATGAGGGATGAAATGAAATCAGGAATTGCTCAACAGAGCAAAGTTAACGGCCCAGAGGGATTAAACCCATAGCTTTGACCTCAGCATCACAGTATTGAAAACAGGTGCTTCTTAGCTTGATTCAAGTAAAATTTGTTTGGTCAAAATTATATGCACAGTTTTGCATAATACAAAAAGAAAACGTTGATCTCTATTGACCGTGATTAGTGGAACACATCTAAAATTGACTGACCCCGTAAGAGGGCAAATATGTGAGATAATCCCATTATTCCCTTGCATCTCCCTCCTTACCATGGCAGAAACCATTAATGGATCACAGCACTGTTTCTCAAAGAATGTGTATACAGGTACTGTTTTTGTTTCTTTTCTCAGGCACTGTTTTTCGATGAGTGGTGGCCCTGGGTGAACTCAGTCTGCCTTTCTTGAAGTAGAGAGAATTCCTCTATCTGTGATTACGGGGTTGAGATAACTTGCAAAATACTTTTATGCTGAACTGTCAACCTTTGCATTCCGTTTACCTGAGTCTACTGGGCCAAGGATTTTCCATTTGTTTTTGCTACTCCAAGTCTATGGACAACTTTTTAAAAATTTTTTTTTCAGAGACAGAGTTTTACTCCATCACCCTGGAGTACAGTGATGTGATCTTGGCTCACTGCAAGCCCCGCCTCTTGGGTTCAAGCGATTATCCTGCCTCAGCCTCCCTAGTAGCTGGGACTACAGCAGCACGCCACTAGGCTTGGGTAATTTTTGTATTTTTAGTAGACACGGGATTTCGCCATGTTGGCCAGGCTGGTCTCAAACCCCTGACTGACTACAAGTGATCCGCCCGCCTTGGCCTCCCAAAGTGCTGGGATTACAGGAGTGGGCCACTGCGCCCAGCCAACAACTTTTGGATTTGTACAAGAAGAAAGTGTTTTGGTTAAGAAGTCTCCCATATTGATTCTAACTCATCTCAGATTGGGGATTAAATCCAAATCAGTGCAATAGGGGCTTTAAATAGGGTATAATAACTAAGTTGTGAAGGTTTTAAATTCAGGTAGAAACCCTGATCCCACCTCCTATGGTGAAGCCTAAGGCCTTAGGCCTTTTGCTGTCTTGTAGGTGCAGCTGAGAGTGTATCCATTGTACTGTCAGCCCTGATGCTAAACCCACATCAACATAACCTATAGTAAATTTACCCTCAATTCAAAGGGGACACATTCTGAAGTTCTCTGAAAGCCAGTATTTATAATTACAAGAGTGGTTACCACCAAATTAATGTTGATGTGAATTCCTTACTTTTGTCTCTCATTTTCCAGTCCAAATAACTTTATATCATCCATATCAATTATTCAATATTATATTACTTATTCACTATAATAGATGGGACTGAAATTATCCTTCTCGCTTTGTAAAGTCTCCCTTGGTTACATCATTGTACATATGATGTAACCAAAGTTCAAAGTGGCAGTACCTTGTCCAAGGTCACAGTTAAGTCTGCCTCACCAGGTAGAGTTAGGAGTTGAGAAGAAGTCTCCTAATTTAATCTACTCTACTTTTTGCCCAATCTGCTTGTCACCCTTTGAGGTCAGTTCTCCCACCACTAGTTTGCTATTTCAGCTGTTTCTGACCACTGGCCTGATCCAATGCATTAAGGATACTTTTCTTTGTGCTGAGCCATACAGAACTAATTTTTTCTGGTTTTTTTTTTTATTTTTTTTGATTGCTATGATATTTAGAAGGGTGAAAGACAGAGATAGAAGCCCTGGTAGGGAACAGCTGCTTCTATTATTGTTTATAGGATTCATTGAGCTGAAAATTGTGATGTATCTTTGGTTTCTCCTTTGTAATTGCTCTGAGAGAATAGATGCCACAAATTCTGGATAGTTTGGGAGGATAGGGTGCTTGACGGATTCCACTTTAGAGTTGTTGGGTTGAGATAAGGTGACAGGGGTATGTCCTGGTAGAAAAGAGATGCAGATTTGGAACTTAGAAGAAAGATCAACATTAAAGATACAGATTAATAAGGCATCTATATATAGGTGCATGCTTAACAGGGAATAGTAGCTGAGATTGTCAAGTAGAAATGTACACAGAGAGAGACTTACAGCTAGACCTCAGGGATGCTCACATTTTGGGGACTGAGGGAAAATCAGGACGAGCCTGTGGAGGAGGTTGAAAAGAAATGGTGGGGAGAAAACCAGCATCACTGCACTGGGACCCTGCCAGTTCCTGCTTGGCCATCAAAGGTTTGCACCTTCAGCACATAGGATAGTGACAGGCACATAGTTGGTGCTCAAACAACTTTTGTTGAATGACCAAATGTGTGGAATCCAAGAAAGATTTTCTAGGAGGAACCTTAAGGTCAACAGTCTCCAGTGTGGAAACAAGGCTGGAATGATGAGGGAAAATTTCATTGAGAAGGAGATTTTGGATCCGAGGACTAGGAAATCATTAGTGACTTTATAACATGCAGATTACAAAGGCGTCACTACACACTTAGGCCGTAAGAACTTGTGAAATGCAGACAATAAAACTTAATTCCTTGGATTAGCATAAAGATTCAGTGATATAACTAAATTGTGTTAAATACTTGGCCCATCCCCTGGCACAGAGTAAAATGCTCACATTTATTCATTCAATTAATATTTATTGAGTGTTTACTCTGGGCCCAGGTATGGTTGTAATATCTGCAGATAGAACAGTGCCTCAGACAGAGTTTGAGCTTTTGTGAACCTTATATTCAATATCAGGTGGGAAGCGGTAATAACAAACAAAAAATGTGTGATAGTGACAAATGCTATGCAGAAATGAGAGGGTAGTAATCTGATGGTGATGACTTGGCCACTTTAGGTAGGTTGGACAAGAAGAGTTGATATTGACTGTTATTGTTGTAACTATTGTAAGTTCTCCCTCTTTTCTCTTCAATTGCTCACTGCCTTACACACTGTGTCATCATGTCACATCACATTTTTCTGCTCAAAACACTTCCATGCCTTCCTGAGTAACTTTGTAAGTTGTTATCTCCACTCAGCCAGCAGAAAAGTGTGGCTCCCGCTTTAAAAGCTGGCTTACAGCTCTGCGAGGTGCTGTAGAAAAGGCAATCCTTGCCGGAGGCAAAGGCATTTACACCTTCCAGGGAGATACATGATTAGAGAAGGCAGACACAGTGGAGGGGGTCGGTAGGAGGCTAACTGGAACTTTATCTATTAGAAGAGGAAAGGCCTTTGAAAAGTGAATTAATGATATTTATAGCTGCATCAGGTAAGTAGCTGGCGAAAGCTTGCTGATACTGAGGCCAAGGTTGAATTCCCATATGGACCAGCGAATTTCCTGTGGAGAAACTATGCTATTCACTCACTGGCACTGAAACTTAAGCTAACACATAATCTCTCTGAACTTCAGTTCTCCAGTCTAAAATAGAGACATGCATCCCATCTGCTTGCCTCATAGGATTATTATGAGGAACAAATGAGAATGGATAATAAAGTGCTTTTTAAAGTCATAAATTTCAAATATGATCTATTATTATTACTGATTACATTATATTTCAGTGGCCATAAGTACCCTCTTTCCCCACTTCTGCAGTGTATCAGTGTATTTGCTATCTTTCATAGCAGAGATTCAACTGCACCTTGAATGACGCCTTATAAATCAATCGGTAGCCTTTCAATAGGCTCATTATATTAACCCTGAGTCAGAAAGATTCTTTCTTTCTTTCTTCCTTTCTTTTCTTTTCTTTCTTTCTTTTCTTTTCGCCTTTCTTTCTTTTCTTTTCTTTTCTTTCTCTTTCCTTCTTTCCTTCTTTCTTTCTCTTTCTCTTCTTTCTGCCTTCTGTCTTTCTGTCTGTCTTTTCTTTCTGTCTTTCTTTCTCTTTCTTTCTCTCTCTTTCTCTGTCTCTTTCTCTCCTTCCTTCCTTCTGTCAGGCCTCTGAGCCCAAGCCAAGCCATCGCATCCCCTGTGACTTGCACGTATACGCCCAGATGGCCTGAAGTAACTGAAGAATCACAAAATAAGTGAATATGCCCTGCCCCACCTTAACTGATGACATTCCACCACAAAAGAAGTGTAAATGGCCGGTCCTTACCTTAAGTGATGACATTACCTTGTGAAAGTCCTTTCCCTGGCTCGTCCTGGCTCAAAAAGCACCCCCACTGAGCACCTTGCGACCCCCACTCCTGCCCGCCAGAGAACAAACCCCTTTTGACTGTAATTTTCCTTTACCTACCCAAATCCTATAAAACGGCCCCACCCTTATCTCCCTTCGCTGACTCTCTTTTCGGACTCAGCCCGCCTGCACCCAGGTGAAATAAACAGCCATGTTGCTCACACAAAGCCTGTTTGGTGGTCTCTTCACACGGACGTGCATGAAACCTTCCTTCCTTCCTTCCTTCCTTCCTTCCTTCCTTCCTTCCTTCCTTCCTTCCTTCTCTCTCTCTCTGTCTCTTTCTTCCCCTCCTTCCCTCCCTTCCTGCCTTCCTTCTTTTTTATATATTTATTTTTTTCTGAGACAGGGTCTCCGTCTGTCACCCAGGCTGGAGTGCAGTGGCGTGAACACAGCTCACTGAAGCCCCAACTTCCCAGGCTCAAGCTATCCTCCCATCTCAGCTTCCCCGCATAGCTGGGACCACAGGTGTGTGCTAGCACACCTAATTTATATATTTTTTATTTAATTAATTTAATTTTAATTAATTCATTTTTATTTTTTTATTTTATTTATTTATTTTTTAGACAGAGTCTTGCTCTGTCACCCAGTCTGGAGTGCAGTGGCATGGTCTTGGCTCACTGCAACCTCTACCTCCCGGGTTCAAGTGATTCTCCTGCCTCAGCCTCCCGAGTAGCTGAGACTACAGGTGCAGGCCACCACACCCACCTAATTTTTGTATTTTTAGTAGAGACGGGGTTTCACTATGTTGGCCAGGTGGGTCTTGAACTCCTGACCTCGTGATCCACCCGCCTCAGCCTCTCAAAGTGCTGGGATTACAGGTGTGAGCCGCTGCGTCCAGCCTTAATTATTTTTTGAGATGGAGTCTCGCTCTTGTCGCCCAGACTGGAGTGCAATGACGCGATCTTGGCTCACTACAACCTCCGCCTCCCAGGTTGAAGCGATTCTCCTGCCTCAGCCTTCCTAGTAGCTGGGATTACAGGTACCCGCCATCACACCCAGGTAATTTTTGTATTTTTAGTAGAGACAGGTTTCATCATGTTGGCCAGGCTGGTCTCGAACTCCTGACAGGTGATCCACCCTCCTTGGCCTCCCAAAGTACTGGGATTACAGGCGTGAGCCACCGTGTCTGGCCTATTTTCTTTTTAGAGACTGTGTTTTGCCATGTTGGCCAGGCTGATCTTGAATTCTTGACCTTAAGTGATTTGTCCGCTTCAGCCTTTGAAAGTGTTGAGATCACAGGTGTGAGCCACTGTGCCCATCTATTTTCTTTTTTTTTTCTCCTTTTTTTTTTGAGACGGAGTGTTACTCTTTCACCCAGGCTGGAGTTTAGTGGCACCATCTCGACTCAGTGCAACCTCTGTCTCCTGGGTTCAAGCGATTCTCCTGCCTCAGCCTCCTGAGTAGCTGGGATTACAGGCATGCGCGACTATGCCCGTCTAATTTTTGTATTTTTAGTAGAGACGGGGTTTCACTATGTTGGCCAGGCTGGTCTTGAACTCGTGACCTCAGGTGATCCCCCTGCCTCGGCCTCCCAAATTTCTGGGATTACAGGCGTGAGCCACCACACACCAACCTCCTTCCTTTTTTTGTCTGAGATAGGATCTCACTCTGTCTCCCAGGCTGGAGTGCAGTGGCATGATGATCACGGCTCACTGCAGCCTCAGACTGCTGGGCTTTGGATCAACCTGAGGGCAATCCTCCTACCTCAGCCTTCTTAGTAGTTGGGACTAGAGCATGTACCACCATGCCTGGCTAATTTTTGTATTTTTTGTAGAGAGAGGGTTTCTCCATGTCACCCAGGCCGTTCTCAGACTCCTGGTCTCGAGTGATCCTCCCACCTCGGCTTCCCAAAGTTCCGGGATTATAGGCATGAGTCACCACGGCTGGCCAGGAAGATTATTTTCGTAGAATGAATACAATATATATTCTCAAGTGCCATGCTTGAGCCTACTACTGCTAGTTCTGGCTAAATCTTGGTTTTACTTATTTTAAGTATGTCATATTCAGTTGCGGTGTTCCTAATACTCCTTGTGTGAATTTCCTGTGTTCCCCCTGCCCCACCCCCAATGTATAACGAGTCCGAGGCTGAGTTACCTCTGAGTTTTTTCTTTTTGCCTGATCTGTAGAGAACTAGAAATTAGGTTATTTGGCATTGCTGATGACAACTATATGGCACAAGTACCTTCACTCCAATTCTCTGCTTATCATGGCCACTGCTAATTGATGATTGCCCTGTCCTATCAATATTGCTTAACAGTGCTAATATGGTAACCACAGGTCACATGTAGCTACTGAGCATTTGAAATGTGGTTAGTCCAAATTCAGGTATGCTACACAGGTAAAATACATACCAGATTATGAAGACCTGGCACACAAGAAAAGAATGTAAAATATCTCATTAATAATTTTTTGTATTGATTACAACTTGAAATGATAATAGTTTGGATATACTGGGTTAAACCAAATGTTATTAAGATTAATTTTATATATTTATTTCACTTTCAAAAAAGTGATTACTAGAAAATGTAAAATTCTATATGTGGCTTGCATTCGTGGCTCAAGTTGTATTTCTACAGGACAGCACTGCCTTCAAATCCTACTTAAGACAGTTCCCCAGGCAGTCACTACCAACAAACCAGAAACAAAAGCAGTAGTATTTTATGGGAATGGGAGAGAGGTCTACAGAGTTTGAGTTTTCAATCTTAGAATGAAAAAAAAAAAAAAGAACCTTTTGCCGGGCACGGGTGGCTCATGCCTGTAATCCCAGCACTTTGGGAGGCCGAGGCAGGCGGATCACTTGAGGTCAGCGTGGCCAACCTGGCGAAATCCCGTCTCTATTAAAAATAAAAAAATTAGCCAGGTGTGGTGGTGCACGTCTGTAATCCCAGCTACTTGGGAGACTGAGGCAGGAGAATCGCTTGAACCCGGAAGGGGGAGATTGCAGTGAGCGGAGGTTGCACCACTGCACTCCAGCCTGGGCGACAGAGTGAGACTCCGTCCCAAAAAAAAAAAAAAAAAAAAAAGAGAGAAAAAGAACCTTTGAGTTTATCTAGTTAAGTGTTTCCCAAACATATCTGTTCATTAGAAACTTCTGCGATCTTAAATTATAAAATTACAGATTTCCAGGTTCCCACCCTGGGGATTCTAGTTTAATAGATCTGGGACGGAGGCCCCGGATTTTGTATTTTTAGTAAGTAGCCCAGGGGTTTCTGATGTGCGGCCAGGTTTGAGAACTCCTGAGCTAAAACATTTTTACATTTCAAGGATGGGACTTTCCTGGGGTGACATGTTATTATTGGCAGAGCTAGGACTCGAGCACATGTTCCTCCTGGATTATATTTTGTACTACTGCGACCTAAGAGTCTTTGCAGAACTCACCATGGAATGATCATCAAACTGCCTCTCAGCCCGCAGGCACAATGCTCTTCCTTATTTGGAGAAAACTCAGTGTGTCTCAGCAGCCCCCTCTGCTGTCAAAAATCCCTAGCTCAGTCTAGCTGAGCGGGCTTTGGGGAAGCGAGCAGGGAGGAGAGCGAGCCCAGAAGAAAGTAGTGTGAAAAATGCTGCTATGGGGAAACCCGTTTGCAACCTGGAAGTGATTGGAAGAAATCTTGCAATAAGATCCTTAAAGCTGGATGACATGTGGGGGAAATCTACCTGACTGCCTCCTGGTCTGGAGGAGAGAATTTGTTTTGTTTTATTTTGGTTTGTTTTGTTTTGATACAGGGTGTTGCTCTGTCACGAGAGCAGTGGTGTGATCACAGCTCACTGCAGCCTCCAAATCCTGGGCTCCAAGCGATCCTCCCACCTCAGCTTTCCGAGTAGCTGGGACTACACAGGCGCCTGCCACCCTGCTCTGCTAATTTTTAATTTTTTTGGGTAGAGATGGGGGTGAGGGAGATAGGAGTCGGGGGGGATGCTTGCCTTGTTGCCCTGGCTGGTCTCGAACTTGCGAGCTCAAGCAGTCCCCTCTCCTCGATCTCCCAAAATGCTGGGATTACAGGCGTGAGCCACCGTGTTTGGTCTAGAGGAGGGAATTTGAACAAATTATTTCACTTCCCTGGGCCTCAGTTTCCTCATCTGAACAAGGGCCATAATGACACGCTCTGTCCCTTTTCTTCCTCAGAAACTATTTTAATAGTCTAATTAACTAATGGGGATGGTGTTATCAATGTTTGGTCCAAAGACACACAGCTATTTAGAGATAGAGCTGGACTTTGAACTCCTGGTTCCCAGTTGAGATGTATCATACAATTTCTGCTAACCAAGGAGAGATGTGTTCAGCTGCTTCTAGAGGGACAGAGGCAAGAAAAACTTACAAGGGAGGTTGAGGCTGGCTTCATGCCTAAATGAATTAAAGCCAGGTGGCCACTCTCTCATTTATATATTCATTCCTTCACTCATTTATTCAGCTTACTTTTATTGAGCACCTCTTACATGACTGAAACTGTGTAAGTAGTGGTGATATTATGTCAAATTAGACATAGTTCTTCTTATGTCGATGGTTCTTGCTGTGTCTCCCTGAATAGTTCCTTTGCCAGAGATATCCTCAACTAGCTGTCACAGTGCACAAGTACCTTGGCTGGGTGAAACAATGGTAGCTACCAGGTATTGAGAGTTAGCTATGTGCCAGATACGGTGCTAGGCTCTTCCCATGTGCTGTCTTGTTAAACCCTCAAACCAAAGTGCTGGCATTACAGGTGTGAGCCACCATGCCCGGCCAATGCGATACTGTCGTGAAAAGTATTTTCTTTTGGTAAAGGCATTAGGTAGCTTCATGTCCTTAGGTAAAATGCATATTTATCTGTGCATGGACGGTCATCAAAGTGTTATTTACAGTGTAGAAAAATCCTAAAATAGCCAAAATATATTGAAGTAAATTATAGCACAATATACTTGAAGAATATTTAATGAATTGGGAAAATGCCGTGGTTAAAATGCCACTTCATAAAATGGTGATATTGATCTGTTTGATACTAATTTTATAAAACACTCAAATTTGGCTGGGCACGGTGGCTGTAATCCCATCACTTTGGGGGGGCCAAGGCGGACAGATACTTGAGGTCAGGAGTTTGAGACCAGCCTGGCCAACATGGCAAAACCTGGTCTCTATTAAAAATACAAAGATTAGCTGGGCAGGTGGTGGGCACCTGTAAGCCCAGCTACTCGGGAGGCTGAGCAGGAGGATCACTTGAACCTGGGAGGTAGAGGTTGAAGTGAGCCGAGATTTTGCCACTGTACTCCATTCTGGTTACCAGAGTGAGACTCCATCTCCATCTCAAAAAATAAAACAAGGCCGGGCGCGGTGGCTCATGCCTGTAATTCCAGCACTTTGGGAGGCCGAGGTGGGAGGATCATGAGGTCAGGAGATTGAAACCAACCAGGCTAACACGGTGAAAACCCTCTCTACTAAAAATACAAAAAATTAGCCGGGCATGGTGGCAAGAACCTGTAGTCCCAGCTACTTGGGAGGCTGAGGCAGGAGAATGGCGTGAACCCGGGAGGCGTAGCTTGCAGTGGGCTGAGATCACATCACTGCACTCCAGCCTGGGCTACAGAGTAAGACTCTGTCTCAAATAAAAAAAAAAAAAACTTCCCTCCACATTCATAAATATAGAAAAAGGGATGAAAGCAAGTCATTAAAATGTTAAGTTTTTATTATTGGGCAGTTTTTGTTAGGTTTTGGGAGAGTCTTATTTTCTTTGAGCTTTTAAAGATTTCCCTATTTTCTACCTTAAAAAAACACTTTCCCCCCCTCACATTTTAGGACAATTTTCAAACATACAGAACATTTGAAAGAATTTTACAGCAAGGCGAGGTGCTGTGGCTCACGCCTGTAATCCTAGCACTTTGGGAGGCCAAGGTGGGCGGATTACCTGAAATCAGGCGTTCAAGACCAGCTGGCTAACATGGAGAAACCCCGTTTCTACTAAAAACACAAAAGAATAGCCGGGCCTGGTGAGGCATGCCTGTAATCCCAGCTACTCGGGAGGCTAAGGCAGAATTGCTTGAACCAGGGAGGTGGAGGTTGCAGTGAGCCAACATTGTGCCATTGCACCCCAGCTTGGGCAACAAGAGCGAAACTCCATCTCAAAAAAAAAAAAAAAAAGAATTTTACAGCAAATACCCATATACCTACTACGTAGATTATACAATTAACATTCTATGACACTTGCTTTATTACCTGTCTATCCATTCCTCTCTTTCTCCATCTTATTTTTTGATGTATTTCAGAGTAGGTTGTAGACATCATGTAGTTTTCCCTAAATACTTCATCATGCACGTTGTTAAAATTCAATATTGGTTTACTTTCTTTCTTTTGAGGTAAGATTTACTTATGATGAAACACACAAATTTTATGGGCCATTTCATGGGTTCTGACAAATGCATTCACCTGTGCAATCCAAGCTCCTTTTCTTCACTTCCCCTTCCCTTTCCCTCCCCTCCCCTCCTCTCCTCTCCCCTCCCCTCCCCTCCCCTCCCTTCTCTTCTCCTCTCCTCTCCTCTCAGCGTGGGGCTAACCCATAGGCAGTGTGCCAAGAGTAGCTATGTCCTAATTGTTTTCAGCATAGATTAGTTTTTCCTATTATAGAACTTCATGTAAACTTCAGTGTGTAGTTTTTCTGTAAGGCTTCTTTTACTCAACGTAATGTTTCTGAGATTTGCCCATGCTGTTGTGTGTACAAATTATTTGGTCCTTTCTATTGCCGAAGGTGGTAAGAATGTACCACTGTTTGTATTCCCTTTCTCCTATTGATGGACACCTGAGCTATTTCCAGTTTTTGGCTTTATAACAAAGCTGTTAATTATCAATAGTCTTATACATGTCTTTTTGTGGATGTATGTTTTTATTTCTCTTGGATAAATATCTAGCAGTGGCATTTCTGGAATTTCTAGCATAGGGGTATGTTAAGTTTTGTGAGAGACTGCCAAACCTTTTCCGAAGTGGTTGTACCCTTTTATACTGTCACCAATGAGGTAAGCAAATTCCAGTTGCTCCACATCCACACTAATCCCTGATGGTGTCAGTCTTTTTAAAAAAAATGTAGCTTTCTCATGGGTATGTAGTGGCACCTCATTGTGAATCATGTATTATTTTTATAATCAGAACAAAAAGCTTTATAAAAAATAAAACAAATGATGCCAAGGAAAAGAAAGACAGGACTGGAAGTAAATGAAATAGGATTAATGGTTCACTTCTCTTGAATTTCTTTTTTGTTCTACTTTGCTTGTTTCCAAATTGTCCAAACTAAACTTGTATGTCTTTTATGTAGAAGAAAACATATTTGTTTATTTAAAAACGTACCCACAATAGTTAATACATTATTCCGATATAATTCAGTGACATTTTAGTGGCTGGTGACTTTAATGTGACAACTTAAAAAGTGGTGGGTTTTGGGCTGGGTGTGGTGGCTTATGCCTGTAATCCCAGCACTTTGGGAGGCCGAGACGGGCAGATCACCTGAGGTCGGGAGTTCGAGACCAGCCTGACCAACATGGAGAAACCCCATCTCTACGAAAAATACAAAATTAGCTGGGTGTGGTGGCACATACCTGTAATCCCAGCTACTTGGGAGTCTGAGGCAGGAGAATTGCTTGAACCTGGGAAGCGGAGGTTGCGGTGAGCCAAGATTGCACCATTGCACTCCAACCTGGGCAATAAGAGTGAAACTCCATCTCAAAAAAAAAAAAAAAAAAAAAAAAAAAGTAGTGGGTTTTGAGCCTGGGCTGTATTTAGGCCTTACTGGTAAATAGTCTATGAGATTGAGCGAACCACTTTCTTTGGGCTTTGGTTTCTTCCTTTTTTTGTATAAATGGATTGGAATAGATACCAAGTCCTTTGTCAGTTATAATGAAAACGTATGCAAAACAGTAAGCTCTTGAGAAAAAAAGAAATAGGGCAACTAAGCTTTGGTTGGGAACAAAGGCTCACTGCCTAGGGGTTTCAAGCTGAGTAAAAGAGTCATTTGCTGTGGAGCCCATGGATGAGGTCTAGGGCCACAGGAGACTGTGGGGTGTAGTGCGGAGAATGTGAGCTTCAGTCAGATGGTCCTGGGTTCAAATCCAGACAAAACCTTCTTCTCGCTCTTCGATCTTGGACAAGCGGTTTAATCTCTTTGAGTCTCAGTTTCTGCATCTGCTAATTGAAGATAACAGCACCCTTATGTATGCTCTTGACTTGTGTGTGTGTGTGTGTATTTGAAATCAGAAAATGTTTACAGGTATTATCATTTATAGAAGTCCTCCAGACAGTATTTTCTCCAGGAATGTAGTAAGCAAGTGAGAGAGGGACTTGAAGTAGTGGGGAATAAAAAGGGACCAGAGGGAAATTTAGAAATACGAATTATGGGCCGGGCACAGTGGCTCACGCCTGTAATCCCAGCACTTTGGGAGGCCGAGACGGGTGGATCACCAGCTGCGTGTGGTCGTAGGCGCCTGTAATCCCAGCTACTCGGGAGGTTGAGGTAGGAGAATCACTTGAACCTGGTAGGTGGAGGTTGCAGTGAGCCGAGATCGTGCCACTGCACTCCAGCCTGGGAGACAGAGCGAGACTGCATCATATATATATACATATACATACATACATATATATGTATGTATGTATATGAATTGTGAGAGCTTAAAGCAACCCTAGAGATTATCTAGTGAAAACCCTCATTTTGCAGAGGAAAATAATATAAGGTTTAGGATTGATTACCCATGGAGATGGTGGTAGGGCTGATGTGGGGACCAAGGTTTTAAATTTTCCAATCATACTATAAGGCTTCAGTTAATTCACACTTTGACCCTGGCCTGGTGTCAATCAGAGGAAGTGAAATTTTTCCTTGCACATCCCACTAGGACCACTTGGCTTGGGGATTTTTAAATGCTGTAATCAGCAAGTGAACAGACACAAGCTGTCTAGGAGACTTGTCAGTGGGAGATTTAATACTTCTCTTCAATTCTTCAAATTTTGCCAGCTAAAACAATAGGTATAAAAACCATATTGTTGGCTGGGCGTGGTGGCTCACGCCTGTAATCCCAGCACTTTGGGAGACCGAGACAGGTGGAATCACCTGAGGTCAGGAGTTCGAGACCAGCTTGGCCAACATGGTGAAACCCCATCTCTACTAAAAATACAAAAATTAGCCAGCCATGGTGGCGGGCACCTGTAGTCCCAGCTACTCGGGAGGCTGAGACAGGAGAATTGTTTGAACTCGGGAGGCGGAGGTTGCAGTGAGCCAAGATCATGCCACTGCACTCCAGTCTGGGCAACAGAGTGAGACTTGGTCTCAAAAAAAAAAAAAAAAAAAAAAAAAAACCACACACACACACACAAAACCAAAAACCAAAAAAACATGTTGTCTATTGGCTTAGTTTCATCCTGGAGCTGCTCAATGCATTTGACTGTGATTTTTCCCAAGCTCAGGCACCAACTTCACTGGAATGTACAGGCTGCCCACTAAGGAATTTTCTGTGTATTAATTTCATCCATGAGGAGTTTCCTGCATTGTCCTGGGTTGCAGACTGAGACTTACTTTGATAACTATAAGATTTTCTCACTCTCAAAAGATAATGAATATCCCTGCCATATTAATTCACCCTAATCAATTTCTTTCAAGGTTGTTTACCACTAGTAGGGTGGCATTAACTTTTCTGCTTAATTTTAGAAAGAAAGATTTCTTTTCACAAAGCTAAAAATAAAGAGCTTAGACTCTCTCCTTTCAATCCCTCGTTTTTTTGGTCTGTAGAAGAATTTCAGCAATCTCTTCGGTGATTTTACTGTCTGAGGGAAAGAAAAGAAATGAAAGGAAAAATCATGCTCCAGCTTGAATTTTCTTTTGCTCCTGAGGTGAACCACTATAAGAAGTCTTCTGGCCCGGTGTGGTGGTTCACGCCTGTAATCCCAGCACTTTGAAGGCTGAAGCAGGTGGATCACTTGAGGTCAGGAGTTTGAGACCAGTTTGGCCAACATGGTGAAACCCCATCTCTACTGAAAATACAAAAGTTAGCCAGGCATGGTGGCTCACACCTGTAATCCCAGCTCTTCTGGAGGCTGAGGCAGGAGGATTGCTTGAACCCAGGAAGTGGAGGTTGCAGTTAGCTGAGATTGTGTCATTGTACTCCAGCCTGGATGATGAAGTGAGACTGTCTCAAAAACAAAACAAAACAAAAAAAGAAATAAGTCTTGTGTCCCTGCACACCACACACCTGCCCAGACTTTGCAAAGAATGCTCATGAGTCAGTAGGAAGTAAGAATATTGAACTATGCAGGGGAAGGCTATTTTCACAGGAGGATTTTAACTTGGACTCATTCACCTCTTATGAGTAAACCTCTTAGGAAACCTCTAAATTTTCCAGGATGTTTGATCGTAGAGAAGAGTAAAAGGACTCTAGGATGCTATGAAGGGAGACTGTGGATCCTTCCTTTCTTTCTTTCCTTCCTTCCTTCTTTCCTTTCTTTCCTTTTTATTCTTTCTTTTCTTTTCTTTCTTTCTTTCTTCCTTCCTTCCTTCCTTCCTTCCTTCCTTCCTTCCTTCCTTCCTTCCTTTTCTTTCTTTCTTCCTTTCTTCCGAGTTTTGCTTTTGTTGCCCAGGCTGGAGTGCAATGGCACGATCTCGGCTCACTGCAACCTCCACCTCCCGGGTTCAAGCGAGTCTCCTGCCTCACCCTTCCTACTATCTGGGATTACAGGCACCACTACACCCAACTAATTTTTTGTATTTTTAGTAGAGATGGGGTTTCACTATGTTGGCCAGGCTGGTCTTGAACTCCTGAGCTCAGGCGATCCACATGGCTCAGCCTCCCAAAGTTGCTGGGATTACAGGCGTGAGCCATCACACCCAGCTCCCATCTTTATATATCCCTTAGGACCAGGGTAAGCTTCACACTGGAAGGAACAATTTCTACCAAGCTCCTTCAACTGAAGGCATAGAAAACACAGAAGAAACATTGATGCATTCTTGTGCTTTCCAACACAAATTTATTTCATAGAGTCTTTGCTACTATAAAGAAATTCTTTGAAGGCAAAACGTAAGAGAGCTTTGTTCATAGAAAGTCTTTTCTTCCCTTTGCTAAAGGCTCCTTGTTCTTTTGCTATCTCCACTCCCTGTTTGGACTGCTTTGTTTATATGACAAAGTCAATATTGTACTCCACTTACTGACACTCATTATGGTAGGGAAGATTGAGTTGTAACTGGTGGCCCCAAAGGCAATGTGGCAGAATAGAAACTCCCAGAACTTGGTCTGATGCAATCAATTCAGGTTCTGGTTTTGCTAATGACTCCTCAGACCTCAGCATCATCAACCATATCTAAGAAAAAGATTACATTTCATAATGCACATAAGACATTTAACACATGGCCGGTCATAGAGTTAGTTCCCAGTAAATTCTAGCTGTAGTGCACATGAAAGTTTGTTTTACGAAATGTTTTATTCCTTAATAGGTGTGTGTGGTAGGGGAACTGGACTCTCGTAGGAACATGAGAGAGATGGTTGCTGAAAGTGGGGGAGGATGTAGGAAAAACAGTAGAATTTTGAAGACAAATATTGGCTGGTTCTTTTTCTGAGGGCTGACTGCTTAGCTGTGGTCACTGTGTGATGTGATAGAAAGGTAGTGGACTTTGAGGAAGACAGATTTGGGCTCTAGTTTCTATTCCGTTGATTTCAGTTGTGCAACTTTGTGTAAGCTTCTTAATTATATCTCTCTAACAAGCTTGTTGTGAAGATCAAATGAGATAATGTAGAAACAGATTTAGTAGAGGGACCTAAGTTTCCTGTGCCCTTCTCAGTCTCCCACACCTGATATTGTGAGAGTTTGACTGGAACACTGGAAAGGACTCCATTCCCCGTGTGAAACCAACCCCTACAGAAGCAATTAAGGCAGCGTGAAGCGTGAAGAAGTTGGCAGAAGCCTAAGAAACCATAGAGGTGCCATATTTGGTGTTGCTAACATTCCTCACAATTGGATTATTCTATTCACAGATTATTACCAATATTAAATAAATCCCATTGAAGAGAATGGCTGTAATTGGTTCCTAGTTGTTGCTTTGGGATAAAAGTTGACCCATCTATTCTGAGAATGGCCTATTTGAGGCAGTATCTACAATTTGCCCAAAGAAACTGATATATTAGTGAAAATTCACTCTATATCTTGGTTGTAGAGTCTGTGGAAAGCCCACTCAAGCAATCTGGCAGGTTTTTGTTTATGAACCCATGGGGTATTTTGGTACCATGTGAATACCAATTGCATGCACAGGTGTGCACATGCAAGTGTGTGTGTGTGTGTGTGTGTGTGTGTGTGTGTGTGGCGGGGGGAGACAGGGAGAGAGTGTGTGTGAGTTTGAGTTTAAAATCATGATGCACCTGGGCGCAGTGGTTCTCACCTGTAATCCCAGCACTCTGGGAGGCCGAGGCAAGAGGACCACTTGAGCCCAGGAGTTCAAGACCAGCTTGAACAACAAAATGAGACTCCTGTCTCTACAAAAAATTAAAGAATTGGCCGGGCCCAGTGGTGTGTGCCTGTGGTACCAGCTACATGGGGAGGCTGAGGGAGGAGGATCACTTGAGCCCAGGAGGTCAAGGCTGCAGTGAGCCATGATCACACCACTACATTCTAGCCTGGGCAACAGAGCAAGACTTCATAGGAAGTAGTATAGCTTCTATCTTTATTTATTTATTTATTTATTTATTTGATTATTATTATTTTTAAGACAGAGTCTTGCTCTGGTGCCCAGGGTGGAGTTCAGTATCATGCTAAGGGCTCCTGCAGCCTTGAGCCCCTCGGCTCAAGTGATCCTCCCAAATTGGCCTCCCAAGTAGCTGAGACTATAGCTACATCCCACCATGCCTGGCTGATTTTTAAAATTTTTTGTAAAGACAGAGTCTCATCATGTTGCCCAGGCTGGTCTTGAACTCCTGAACTCAAGCGATCCTCCTGCCTTGGCTTCCCAAAGTGCTGGGATTATAGAAGTGAGTCACTGCTCCTGGCCTCACTGAATTATTTAACAGGTGTTAACTGGGTACTGATGATGAGCCAGGTACTGCACTGGGATGATGTTAAACAGATCAGATGGCCTTGTCCTCTCTGATCTTACAGATTTTTCCCTTCTTATTGTGGTAGGCAAAATCAAGGCTCTCCAAAGATGTACATGTCCTAATGCCTGAATCTGTGAAGATGCTACCTCATGTGGCAAAAGGAGAGTTTGAGATATGACTATATTAAGGACCTTGAGATGATGAGAGGATCCTGGATTATCCAGATGAGCCCAGTGTAATCACAAGTGTTCTTATAAAGGAAAGAGGGAGGCAAGGGCCAGAAAAGGAGATGAAGCCAGATGTGGTGGCTCACGCCTGTAATCCCAGCACTTTGGGAGGCCAAGGTGGGTGGATCACCTGAGGTCAAGAGTTCGAGACCAGCCTGGCCAACATAGTGAAACCCTATGTCTACTAAAAATACAAAAATTAGCTGGGTGTGGTGGTGCACGCCTATAGTCCCAGCTACTTGGGAGGCTGAGGCAAGAGAATCTCTTGAACCCCAGAGGTGGTGGTTGCAGTGAGCTGAGATTTTGCCACTGCACTCCAGCCTGGGTGACAGAGCAAGACCCTGTCTCAAAAAAAAAAAAAAAAAAAAAAAAAAAAAAGAAAGAAAGAAAGAAAAAGGAAAAAAGAGAAAAGGAAGAAAAGGAGATGAGACAAGGGGTGCAGAGTGATAGGGAGAGTTGTAAACCAAGGCCAGCCTCTAGAAGCTGGAAAAGACAAGGAATGGATTCTCCCCTAGAGCCTCCAGAAGACTGCAGGTCTCCTGGCCCTTTGCTTTTAGTCCTATCAGACTCATTTGGGACTTTTGGTCTCCAGAACTACAAGAGAATACATTTATGGTGTTTTAAGCCATTAAGCTTCTGGCAATTTGTTACAGCAGCAATAGGAAACTCATACACTTGCCTTTTTGCTTCAGCAGTTTTAAGTTGCAGACCTTTTATATTGTGAGTTTCCAGTGGTTGGTTCAGCAAACAGGAAATGGGAAGTTTTTCCAGATGACAGAATTGTGTTTGCTCCAGAAGCTCTGCCTGTTTTATGTCATTGGGCCTGTGCCTGGACTTTCAATGGATTGTAGGATGTATTTAATTCATCTGTTTTCTCACCTCCTGGCACCATGCTGGGTGCACTAAATGTCTAGCACTTAATCTAGGAGATGTACACTTGGCTCAGGCCCTTTTTGCAAACAAGGCAACTTTCATGGGAAGTGGCTTTTCTATTACTTAGCAAATTTAAATATGTGTAACTACTTTCTCCCTAGTAAAAATGGTTGCTACAAAGTGCTGGTGCTGTATTCACATGTGCCATGTATACATCAATTTTTCTTAGATCCAGAAAAATGGTACAAATGTTGTATGCAGGAATCTTTCTTAGATTAGGAAGAAAATCTGACAATTCTAAACTCTCAATATTTACCTATTCTTGTGCTTGTCTGAAACAGTAATTCTTATCATTTTTGTTGGAAAATTTCCTCTAAAGAATAGAGAATGCTGTTTCCTAATGTTTTGGACTTAATTTTGTGGCCTCTGTCTCTTATCTGCTGGGGAGAGAGAGGTCAAGACTGAGTGGGTAAAGGAGGAAATAGCTACCAGTCTTTGGAACAAAAATCTTGAGCATGAGAAAGGGAGATCCATATTCTCTGCCTTCTTGACCTAAGGCCAGAGAAAAACAGTTTCTTCCATTCATCTGATGTTTAGAGATCCTCATAAAAGTGAATCTCTTGGCCAGGCACAGTGGTTCATGCCTACAATCCCAGCACTTTGGGAGACTGAGGTGGGCGGATCACTTGAGCCCAGGAGTTTGAGATCAGCTTGGCCAACATGGTGAACAACCCCTCCCATCCCCCACTATCTCTGCTAAAAATGCAAAAATTAGCCAGGTGTAGTGGTGCATGCCTGTAATCTCAGCTACTCGGGAGGCAAAGGTTGCAGCAAGCTGAGATTGTGCCACTGCCCTCTAGCCTGGGCAACAGAGTAAGACTCTGTCTCAAAAGAAAAAAAACGTGAGTCTCTCTCTCTTTTTTTTTTTTATTGAGACAGTCTCACACTGCCACCAAGGCTAGAGTGCAGTGGCGCGATCTCGGCTCACTGCAAGCTCCACCTCCTGGGTTCATGTCATTCTCCTGCCTCAGCCTCTCGAGTAGCTGGGATTACAGGCGCCTGCCACCACACCCGGCTAATTTTTTGTATTTTTAGTAGAGACAGGGTTTCACCGTGTTAGCCAGGATGGTCTCGATCTCCTGACCTTGTGATCCGCCCGCCTTGGCCTCCCAAAGTGCTGGGATTACAGGCATGAGCCACCGTGCCCAGCCTGAATCTCTCTTTTTAAAAGGTGCTAGCTGAACATGTTGATTTCATGCTATTTTTGAAATCTAAGGAATAGAAAGTTGAACCTTTTGAAATGGCTTACATGGCCCTTCGGGAACTGGCTGGCTCTTTTCCCTACCTGTCCAGCCTTATCTCTCATTATTCTGCCTCTTAGTCTTCCAGCCATACTGAATTTTTTCTGTTTCTGTAAAATTCTGAGTATCTCAAGCATCTTAGCCCATACCTGACTCAGCCTGAACCATACTTTCTTTTCTCCTTTGTCCCCCTCAGCTTTACCTTCTGACTCCTACACGAACTTCAGCTTAGAGGTCACATCCTTGGGCTAGTTCTCTGTGATACAGCACACTGAACTGTCCCCCTGCAACTCAGCTCTTACAAACTCTATCCCTGGTGCCCTCTTGCTGTCTTTCTCCGCTGCTAGACTCTAAGCGCCAGGAGAGCATTGCACAGAGGCCCGTGTCTTTTTTGTTCATTGCTTTCCCCATCATGGCTGGCACTTCCTTCTAACAGACTGGCACTTTGCCCATAGGCCAAATTTACCTCAGTCAGCCTTTTATACACCACCATTTGTTTTAATTGCACAGTTGTACATGACTGAGCAAACGGCGGACGGGTACCTGTAATCAAACAGTCCGGAGATTTTAAGCACTTTCGTTCATTCTTGGAGCAGTTACTGAGCTTTGGCAATGGGTAATTTAAATTCTGGACAATGAATTTTCAAGCCGCTTCAATGGCTACATTTTGAGAACAGCAGAAAAAACCTGACCCTTTGATAATTAGACTGAATCAGTTTTCATAATTCTACTTTATGTACTAGAATGGTTAGCAAACTTCATTACCAGCAGCCTGATAAGAAAGCTTTTAGCTTCTAATATAGATCTTGTGAGTAATTTCAATTTGCAACCCAACTAAAGCCACTTTGCATGGCAGTGTTTCTTAGACAAGATGATCTTATAGTTTCATCATTATAAATAATTTCAAAGTAGGCGCAGGAAAAAGCATACAATTAGCATCTTGTCTATGTATGTTTGATCCAGAGAAAGGACAGCTGACTGTTGGAGTTGAAAGCAGCCACCATAAACCCCTACAACCTAGCAGCTTGCATTTGCTGAAATTGTAAATTGATATCTTTTCTTTTGCTCTGTATATCTGGAACATTGCCAGAACCCAAACAATGCTTAGCAATTAAGGAAAACTTATCTTTAAGAAATTTCCAGAACAGACATGTGACTTATTATCTGACAAGGGCTCAAAGCATCCTGGGCTTCTCCCTTTTCTAACACTCATAAATTACTTGTCAATGTCTCTTTAACCCACGGTTAAAGCCCGGAAGCTCCATCAGGACGGAGATCATGTCTGTCTTTGCCACTGAATCCCCAGCACACAAAGGAGGCACTTCATAAATATTTGTTGGATGGATAGCTGAATGACACGGATGAATGAAATTCCAAAGTGATATATTGGTATATATGCATTTTTATCTTTGGCAGCTCAACCTAACTCTGTTCTGAGTTAAAACTCTATTGCTTATTTGGAAAATTGCTTTGCATCGGCTTCAGTTACTATGGATACATAATAAACCACCCCAAAACTTATGGCCTAAGACTCAACAACATTTTTTTTTTCCCTCACAGATATGCAGTTTGAACTGGGTTTGGTGGAGAAAGCTCATTTCTGCTCTTCTTTGTGTTGGCCGGGGTAGGTAGGAGGCTGGAGAGTAGAAATATTTGGATGCTGCTCCTAGCCTAGGCTCGGAGCCTTGAATGGCCAGGGACTGGATCAAGCAGGGATCCTCAGACATCTTTCTCGAGCTTTATGTGATGTCGCTAAGTAATCTCTCCTGAATGGTGGCTTCAGGGTAATCAAACTGCTTACGTGATGGCTCAGGGCTCCAGAGGTGTGTGTACTAAGGACAGAGAAAAAGCCACATGGAATTTGCATTTCATTTTCTTTTTCTTTTTGAGACAGAGTCTTGCTTTGCCGCCCAGGCTGAAGTGCAGTGGCGCAATCTTGGCTCACTGCAACCTCCACCTCCCAGGTTCAAGCAGTTCTCCCTGCCTCAGCCTCCTGAGTAGCCAGCATTACAGGTTCCTGCCACTATGCCTGGCTAATTTTTGCATCTTTAGTAGAGATGGAGTTTCGCCATGTTGGCCAGGCTGGTCTCAAACTCCTGAACTCAAATGATCCGCCCACCTCGGCCTCCCAAAGTGCTGGGATTACCAGCGTGAGCCACCGTGCCCGGCCCTTTTTTTTTTTTTTTTTTTTTTTGAGACAAGGTCTCACTCTATTGCCCAAGCTGAGTACAGTGGCACGATCACAGCACACTGCAGCCTCGACTGCCTGGGATCAAGCAATCCTTTCACCTCAGCCTCAGAAGTAGCTGGGACTATAGGTGCACCATCATGCCCAGCACATTTTTTGTAGAGATGGGGTTTCACTATGTTGCTTAGGCTGGTCTTGAACTCTTGGACTCAAGCAATCCCCTTGCCTCAACCTCCCAAAGTGCTGGGATTACAAGCATGAGCCACCATGCCTGGCCTGTATTACTTTTGGTGATAAGCCTCATAAGTTGCACAACATCCTTCCATTGCCTTCTATCTCTTTGAAGAAGTCATTGTGGCCAGCCCATAATCAAGGGGAGGTTGAATTGGACTCCACCTTTTGTGGGAGCAATGTCAATGAATTTGCAAATATGTTTTAGAACCTTCACTCACCCGATCACTGTTCTGGAAATTTGAAATAACCTGTGATCAAAATCAATAAAGTTGCGACTTGAATCCTTATTCTGAATGAGACAGGAACTACTGCAGAGAAGAAAACCTATTAGGTTGGTGCAAAAGTAATTGCAGTTTTTGCCATTACTTTTAAAGGCACAAAACCCAATTACTTTTGCATCAACCTATAGAATATCATTGTCACTTCTTACATACAGGGATGAAGATGAGGGTTTGAGAGAGGATCCTTCTCACAGCAACATAAAGCAAAGAATTACAAGTCCTCAAAAGGGTGGAATTTTGAGCTGCATTTCTGTTCTTTGAATGGGTGCAAGTGGGAATCTTGCGAAAGGGAAGAGACGTAACAGATGATGTCAATATGGACATGAGTCAATACACGATTTGCTTGTATTTCAAGCTTGTGCCCTCATTGCTTCTTCACTCTGTTCTGGCTTGTCCCCTCTGAGGCCAGGTTGGTTAGAAACTTGCCACTGATTCTCCAGTTGCTGTTTTTAGACCTTACTTCCCTAGCTCCTCCCACAATTGTGTAAAGTATCATTTCTATCATAAATTTAATAAACGTTTTATTCCATAATACTGGTAGTGCTTTTGTTATCTGATTGAATTCTGACTAAGAAGAAAACAGCCGGCCAAGTGCAGTGGCTCACGCCTGTAATCCCAGCCCTTTGGGAGGCTGAGGCGGGTGGATCACCTGTGGTCAGGAGTTCAAGACCAGCCTGGGCCACATGGTGAAACCCTGTCTCTACTAAAAATACAAAAATTAGCAGGGTGGGGTGGCGGGTGCCTGTAATCCCAGCTACTTGGGAGGCTGAGGAAAGAGAATTGCTTGAGCCCGGGAGGTGGAGGTTGCAGTGAGCTGAGATCACGCCACTGCACTCCAGCCTGGGGGACAGAGCGAGACTCTGTCTAAAAAAAAAAAAAAAAAAAAAAAGAAAAGAAAAGAAAACAACATCATATTACTTTATAAAAAATTCTTTTTTTGGCATAATGTAGCTTGAATGGTTGTTTGCTATCTGCAATATGAAGCCTCAACTAGGATGGCAGCTATAAGCCATGGGATGATTTAAAACCTAATGGTGCTTCCAGAACACTTTGCAGAGACCACTATTAAAATAACATTCAGCTGGGTGCGGTGGCTCACGCCTGTAATCCCAGCACTTTGGGAGGCCAAGACAGGCAGATCGCCTGAGGTCAGGAGTTCAAGACCAGCCTGGCCAACATGGTGAAACCCTGTCTCTACTAAAAATACAAAAAAATTAGCTGGATGTGGTGGCAGGCTCCTGTAATCCCACCTACTCGGGAGGCTGAGGCAGGAGAATGGCGTGAACCTGGGAGGCGGAGCTTGCAATGAGCCAAGATCGTACCACTGCACTCAGTCTGGGCGACAGCAAGACTCTGTCTCAAAATATATATATATATATATATTTCAGGGCAAAACACTTCAGTTTCTTTCAGGGCCTGCTCTCTGTCATGTGATGCTATACTAGAGTCAGGTTGGAATTGGTGGTATCTTATTACTACAAAGAGTCTGTTCTGTCTCAAAATCTCTGTTTTAATGTTAATGCTGGTCAGTGTTCCCTGAATTCCAAAGGGAGGAGAGCATAGTGAGGCATATTCCATCCTCCACTTCCATCATGGCCCAAACTGGATTTTCAGGTTTACTTTGGAATACTCTTGGCAAAGGGTGGAGCATCCGTCAGTCAGTTGTGGGGCTTAGAATTTTATTTTTGGTTTATACCTGATTGAATGAGTGAGGCTATATTCCAATGTAACTTTATTTACAAACACAGGCTATGGGCAGAATTGGGCCTGTGGGTCTTGGTTTGCTGACCAGTGCTCAGAGGCTAGCAGGCATTCTGTAAACGTGGACCTGAGGGAGGAAAAATGCTGTGCAATGGAAACAATGACTTTCTGGAAGAGCAGAGAGGGTAAATAAGACAAGCAAGTGTGTGAAAGAAATAAGAGCTGACCTGCTTAAAGTCTAATATTATGCAATAGGAAAGATGTCAGAGAAAAAAACAGGAGGAAAGAGGAGAAAATGTTAATATCTAAGAAACTGAGATTTAAGTAAAATTATTTGTGATTTTTTTTTCTTTTCTGTGGTGGGAAATGGAAATGTGTGCTGCAAAAGGTATGATTTGTTTTATGATGGAGGGGTGCAAGCAATATCATGTTTTTACATTATTTTAAAAATAGTAAATCTGGCTCAGGCTTCACTTGCCAAGGTTGACAAGGTAGATGCAGTCATTTGTGTGTTTCCATGGGCCAGGGAGGCAGGGGTTCCCTCTCATTTCCTAGTTTGGTTTGAGATCTCATGGTATTGTAGGAGTTATTAAGACATTATTTTAGGCAGATAGAGAGAAAAAGGGGTCCTTGGGAAGTTTTCGTGTTTTAAAGCATCTCTGGAAATTTTCTTGTAAAGCCCTGGCTCTTCGAGCCAGGCAGGCAACCTTTGATTTGCAAATGCAGGCCATTAGAAACTGGGTCCACCCAAACATGGCGATTTCCCCCCTCTTCTTGTCCTTGCCCCACATGTAGCTGGCAACATGACCGCCCCCACATATCCCCACGTGTGTAGAACATCATGGCACCCTTCATTTGCGTATTAAAAGGCTAGGGTGGAAGGGCCAGCTTTTTCGCGGGCGACGTGAATGACCTGCCTACTCAAACCAATCCCCTGAGACCTATGCAAATTAAACACTGCCTCCTCTAGCCTCTGTATATTTGTGGCAGGTGGGGTTCCCTCTCTTGGCTTTGGAATCCCACTCCCTCTGTCTCTGTACAGGGGAGCTTTTTCCTTCTCCCTTCCTTCTTGCCCCTTCTTGCCCATTAAACTCTCCGCTCCTTAAAACCACTCCACGTGTGTCCATGTTGTTTTATCTAACTCAAGACAAGACAAGAGCCCTGGTGTTCCTCCACTCACGGGAGGCTTATCAATGGCTTACGCAGTCTAGAAAAATGGCAAAGGTTTCTGGCACTCAAGGCGAGATGGTCACTATGGTGTCCAGCTCTGCTATGGGATTGTTGCTAAGGCTTCTGAAGCCACAGCACTTGGGACTCAGGCCTCAGTCACTTCTCCTGGGTGAGGAGGCACCAACTCTCAACCCGAAGCCGGAGGAATCTTACCTCAGGTTGCCCTCAAAGCACCAAAGCATCACCCAGCCAGTCCTCACCACTCTGGAACAACATAGCTACTTGCAAAGTAGTTGTTCCTAGACTGTTTTGCCCAAATCCCTCTGAGCAGCCAGCTGAATATGACCCTATTTAGAAAGGACGTATCTCCACTAAAGGCCTGACCCCTGGGCAAGTCCTTCAGGATGCCAAGTCTGATCTGGGGATATAATCAGGGTGTTCTCCTGGCCCCACTGCTGTCAGCTTTCTTTTTTGACCCTGGAACAAATGCCCCTCAGTGAGAGACAGGCCTAGCTGAATTTCCTAGGCTAAGAATCCCTAAGTCTAGCTGGGAAGGTGACCGCTTCCACCTTTAAACATGGGGCTTGCAACTTAGCTCACACTTGACCAATCAGATAGTAAGGAGAGCTCACTAAAATGCTAATTAGGCAACAACGGGAGGTAAAGAAATAGCCAATCATCTGTTGCCTGAGAGCACAGCGGAAGGGACAATGATCAGGATATAAACCCAGGCATTTGAGCCGGCAACGACAACCCCCTTTGGGTCCCCTCCCTTTGTATGGGAGCTCTGTTTTCACTCTTATTTCACACTATTAAATCTTGCAACTGCACTCTTCTGGTCCGTGTTTTTTATGGCTTGAGCTGAGCTTTCGCTCGCCATCCACAACTGCTTTTTCCACCGTCATAGACCCGCCGCTGACTTCCATCCCTCCGGAACCGGCAGGGTGCCTTCTGTGCTCCTGATCCAGCCAGGCGCCCATTGCTGCTCCCGATTGGGCTAACGGCTTGCCATTGTTCCTGCATGGCTAAGTGCCTGGGTTCATCCTAATCGAGCTGAACAGTAGTCACTGGGTTCCACGGTTCTCTTCTGTGACCCACGGCTTCTAATAGAGCTATAACACTCACCGCATGGCCCAAGATTCCATTCCTTGGAATCCGTGAGGCCAAGAACCCCAGGTCAGAGAACACAAGGCTTGCCACCATCTTGGAAGTGGCCCGCCGCCATTTTGGAAGTGGCCCGCCACCATCTTGGGAACTCTGGGAGCAAGGACCCCCGGTAACATCAGGATGGGGCAAATACTATTGATTCCTTCCTGATAGACAAGAAGAAATAGGCACAAAAATATCAGTAGATTTTCCTGCTACCGTAAATTCTCAATAAATCTTCATGCTACATATGTAAAATACCTTTTGCTATTAAAAGAAACTGATTAGAGGCCTGCGAGTGGTGGCTCACGCCTGTAATCCCAGCACTTTGGGAGGCTGAAGTGGGTGGATCACTTGAGACCAGGATTCTGAGACCAGCCTGGCCAACACCGTGAACCCTGTCTCTACTAAAAATACAAAAATTATCCAGGTGTGGTGGTGCATGTCTGTAATCCCAGCTACTTGGGAGGCTAAGGCATGAGGATCGCTTGAACCTGGGAGGCAGAGGTTACAGTGAGCTGAGATCATGCCACTGCACTCCAGCCTGGGTGACAGAGCGAGACTTTGTCTCCAAAAAGAAACAAACAAACAAAAACCCTCATGAGAATCAAGTGAGATTGTGTATGGGAAAGTTTGCTTTCTTTTTCTTCCTTACTGTCTGTAAAGCATGGATGTCAAAAATACTCAATTTTCTTGATGGAGACTGTTCATAGAAAAATGAGCAGAGAGCAAATGGGTTTTCTTTTCATTTGTTTCAGGATAGGAGGAGTTAAACAGGAAATATTGCTCTCCTGCAGATCTGTGAATTTGCTGACTTTTTTTTTCTTTTGAACTTCTAAATATGGTTAGTTTCTTGAGTCCCTGAAAATGGGCCAGCAGTTTGTTTGTTTGTTTATTTATTTATTTATTTATTTTTTGAGACGGAGTCTCGCTCTGTCTCCCAGGCTGGAGTGCAGTGGCATGATCTGGGCTCACTGCAACCTCCACCTCCCAGGTTCAAGCAATTATCCTGCCTCAGCCTCCTGCATAGTTGGGATTACAAGCGCACACCACCACACCTGGCTAATTTTTGTATTTTTAATAGAGATGGGTGTCAGGCCTCCGAGCCCAAGCTAGCCATCATATCCCCTGTGACCTGCACGTATACATCCATATGGCCTGAAGTAACTGAAGAGTCACAAAAGAAGTGAAAATGGCCGATTCCTGCCTTAACTGATGACGTTACCTTGTGAAATTCCTTCTCCTGGCTCAGAAGCTCCCCCACTGAGCACCTTGTGACCCCTGCCCCTGCCCGCCAGAGAACAACCCCCTTTGACTGTAATTTTCCACTACCTACCCAAATCCTATAAAATGGCCCCACCCCATCTCCCTTCACTGACTCTGTTTTCGGACTCAGCCTGCCTGCACCCAGGTGAAATAAACAGCCTTGTTGCTCACACAAAGCCTGTTTGGTGTTCTCTTCACACGGACGCACGTGACAATGGGGTTTCACCATGTTGGCTACGCTGGTCTCTAACTCCTGACCTTGTGATCTGCCTACCTCGTCCTCCCAAAGTGCTGGGATTACAGTGGGGTGAGCCACTGCGCCCGGACTGGGCCAGGTGTTTGTAAAGAAATCAAGATAATGTTTCTAAGTTCTGATGATCTCCTCCAAAATGGGGGCAGAGAAGATTCAGGAGCTAGGCTGAAGTGGTGGCTCGTGCCTGTAATCCCAACAATTTGGGAGGCTGAGGTGAAAGGATCACTTGAGCCCAGAAGTTTGAGACCAGCCTGGGCAACATGATATGACCTGGCCTCTATTAAAAATGAAAAATTAGCAAGGTGTGATGGTTGCACCTGTGATCCCAGCTACTCGGGAGGCTGAGGCAGGAGGACTGCTTGAGCTCAAGAGGTTGAAGCTACAGTGAGTTGTGATTGTACCACTGCACCCTAGCCCAGGTAACAGAGGGAGATCCTGTCTCAAAAAAATAAAAACAAACAAAACAAAAAGCAATTCCAGGAGCTGCCAAGTTGACACCATAGTTGTGTGATTCCTTGACCTGTCTCTTCCTTAAAATACTGTTCATAAGGTATAGCCTAGAAGAGCCTGGAAGGTAGGGCCTAACAGAGTGGAGATTACATGACTGGACCAGACCCCCGCTACAATCTGCATGTTCTGCAAAGGTGGGGATGCAAAATAGGATTGTGTTTAAGAGCATAGGTGAAAGGGGAAGTTTCCTTCTAGGTCTTCCCTTTATTAACTGTGTGAACTCTGTGCCAGAGACTCACTGTCCATAAGCTTCAGGTTCCTGTCCCTAAAATGGAGGTAATGGGAGCATCCTACCTCCTGTGATTGAGTGTAGTGTGGAGCAGTGGTGAAGCATGGATGTGGAGCTGAACTGACTGATTCCCACGCACTGCTGGCTGTTTTTTTTTGAGACAGAGTCTCACTCTGTCACTCATGCTGGAGTGCAATGGCGCGATCTCGGCTCACTGCAACTTCCACCTCCTGGGTTCAAGCAATTCTTCTGCCTCAGCCTCCTGAGTAGCTGGGACTACAGGTGTGCGCCACCACGCCCAGCTAATTTTTGTATTTTTAGTAGAGACGGGTTTTACCATATTGGCCAGGCTGGTCTCGAACTCCTGACCATGTGATCTGCCTGCCTGGGCCTCCCAAAGTGCTGGGATTACAGGCGTGAGCCACTGCACCAGCCCTACTGCTGGCTTGATTGCCTATGAGTTCTGTGTGAGCTTGATCAAGTTTTTTACCTCTGTAGGCCCCAGTTTCCCCATACGGAGAATGGAGGTAACAACAAGACCTAGCTCTTAGTGTTGCTATTTTTTTTTTTTTTTTTTTCTTGAGGTGGAATCTCACTCTGTCACCCAGGCTGGAATGCAATGGTGCAATCTTGGTTCTCTGCAACCTCCACTTCCCGGGTTCAAGTGATTCTCCTGCCTCAGCTTCCCCAGTAGCTGGGATTACAGGTGTCTGCCACCATACCTAGCTAATTTTTTTTTCTTATTTTTAGTAGAGACGGGGTTTCACCATATTGGCCAGGTTGGTCTCGAACTCCTGACCTCAAAGGATCCGTCTGCCTCGGCCTCCCAAAGTGCTGGGATTATAGGCGTGAGCCACCGTGCCCAGCCAATAATTTAATAAATTAATAGAGGTAAATGAGGACAGTGCCAGGGACCTAGTAGAGCTCAGTAAATGTTAGTTCTTCCTGCTGTTATTAGAAGCAGAACAGAAATTGGAGGAACCAATGTCAAAAGGCCTTAGTAGGCCTCTAGTGATACCCAGCATCCTGGTGAATAGAAAGGAAATGCAAGGTACAAGACAATCTTACAAGGCATGACTTCTTTGCCTGGAAAAGTCCCTTGAACAGACATCTATACTCCACTTACAGATGGGTGCTGGGAATCTAATCATTAGAGAACAAATTCATCAGTTTAAGACAATATGTCGGCCAGGCACGGTGGCTTATGCCTGTAATCCCAGCACTTTGGGAGGCCGAGGTGGGCGGATCACGAGGTCAGGAGATCGAGACCATCCTGGCTAACACGGTGAAACCCCATCTCTACTAAAAATACGAAAAATTAGCCGGGCGTGGTGGCGGGCGCCTGTAGTCCTAGCTACCCGGGAGACTGAGGCAGGAGAATGGCGTGAACCCGGGAGGCAGAGCTTGCAGTGAGCCGAGATCGCGCCACTGCACTCCAGCCTGGGCGACAGGGAGAGACTCCGTCTCAAAAACAACAACAAAAACAACAACAACAACAACAACAAAAAAGACAATATGTTTTGGTTATCTATTGCTACCTGAAAACTACCCCCCACATTTAGTGACTTAAAATAACAACCCTTTGTTTTTCACAGTTCTTTGGATTGACTGGGCAGTTCTGCTTCACATGGTGTGGGTGGGGACTGCAGTCACCTGGGGGGCTCAATTGGATGGGACATTCAAGAGGGCTCACTTACAAGGCAGACAGTCTGCGCTGGCTGTTGGCTGGGAGCTCAGCTGGAGCTGCCAAACAGGCACTTCTGTTCTCCTCTCCATACCCGATCCATGTGGCTTTGGTTGCTCACAGCATGTGTCTGGATTCCAAGAGGTAGCTAGCTGCCAGTTCTCTTAAAAGCTGGTCTCAAAAGTCCCAGAATGTCACTTTGGCTGCATTCTATTGTTCAGCAAGCCACGGGGCCAGCTCAAATGTAAAGAAAGGAAAAATAAGCTCCATCTCTTGATGTGAGGAGCAGTATGTAAGGACAGGAAGGGGCCTCTTTGGAGACTAGCTACCTGTATTATTTATCTATTGCTGTGTAATAAATTACCCCCAAATGTAGCCAGTTAAAACAATAAAACAATGAACATTTATGATCTCACATGGTTTCTGAGGGTCAGGAATCTGGGAATGGTTAGCCGAGTGGTTCTGATTTCAGAGTCTCTTAGGATGCTGCAGTCAAGCTGTCAGCCAGTGCTGCAGTTTCTGAAGGAGCTGGAGTATTCGCTTCTAATCTCACTCATGAGGCTGTTGGCAGGAGCTTCAGCTGCTTGCCACATGTTTTTTCTCCATAGGGCTGTTCATGACATGGCTTTCCCCAGTGGGAATGGTTACCTAAGAAAAGAGAAAGAGAGGGAGAAAGACAAAGAGAGAGAGACAAAGAGAGGGAGAAAGAGAGACAAAGCTCTTAAGATGAAAGCCAAAATATTTTTATAACCTAATCTTGGAAGTGATGTATTATCACTTCTGCTATATGCTATTGGTAATACAAATCAAACCAAGTATAATGTGGGAGGAATCAGATCAAACCAAGTATAACGTGGGAGGGAGCTGCAAAAGCATATAGCTTGGGGATCATTGGAAGTCATTTTAGAGGCCACTTACTACACTGCTACACAGTGGTGCTATGCATAAGAAGCTTCCCAGGCTGGGCTTAGTGGCTCACTCTTGTAACTCCAGCACTTTGGGAGGCCAAGGCGGGAGGATCACTTGAGCTCATGAGTTCACGACCAGCTTGGGCAACGTGGCAAAATCCCCTCCCTACAAAAAATACAAAAATTAGCTGGGTGTTGTGGTTCTAGCTACTTGGGTGGCTGAGGTAGGAGGATTGCTTGAGCCCAGGAGGTCAAGGCTACAGTGAACCCTGAGCATACAACTGCACTCCAGTCGGGGCAACACAGCAAGACCCTGTCTCAAAAAAAAAAAAGTGCAGATTTCTTGGCTGAGATTCCAATGTGGACCATACTTTGGGAAACCTTGGCCATACCGAGGCTTTAGTCTTATTGACAGTCTGATGCCCAAAGCGCTGCTATTGTTTGCTGTGAGCACACATTTACTTCAGTGAGTAGAAATGGGTTTCTCTTCTACCTCCCAGTAGGTTTTGATGCCTACTGAGCATGAAGGCTACAGCCCTCTGGATTGTTTCGAGAAGATGCCACTGACAGTATAGATTTGGGGTTTTGGGTTCTTCACATATTTTTGATTTTTCCTAAACTGCAAATCCAAGTGATTGATTAGGTTACATGTTCTCAAATGTAAGAGTCCATATCAGTGGCTACCTACAGGCAGGTGCACATCATCATATGCACATATATTCAATGATGTCACTGCCATTGGATTTCATGAACATCCCCAGTAAGACACTAAGTTCTTTCTGGTTTGACTCATCACCGTGAGAAATGCCTCTAAAATGTATTTTGATTCATCCCTCCCTTCTCACCCTCCCTCTTTCCTTCCCTCCCTTCCTTCCCTTCTTCCCTTTTTTCCAACAAAATACCTGCATAGGCGTCACCTTTTGGGCTGTCTGCTTAACTCACAATGATTCTCCCTTCTTTTCTGCTCCCCTTCCCAGTGTTCCCAAGAATTGTGTTTGAACCACATATGCCTGGCCACCTGAACATTGCAAATGGGATCACTGTGGACACTCGACTCAGGCTGGGCAATTCCATTTCCTCCCTGGAATTTGGAATTGGGACTGAAGGGGAGACAACAAGAGATTGATCTTTTAGCATCACTGGACTTGCCCCATGTAGGTGCTAAAATTGTGGTGAAACTCAAGTCTCTCCACCACCACCCTGTTCCTTTTGTTGTGTTGTCTATAGTTTAAAGAGTAAAGCAGATGTTAGGAAGAATTGGTTATAGAAGATGGGAGTGTGGCCGGGCGTGGTGGCTCATGCCTGTAATCCTAGCACTTTGGGAGGCCAAGGCTGGTGGATTGCCTGAGCTCAGGAGTTTGAGACCACCCTGGGCAACATGGTGAAACCCCGTCTCTACTAAAATACAAAAAATTAGCCAGATGTGGCAGCGTGCTCCTGTAATCCCAGCTACTCGGGAGGCTGAGGCAGGAGAATTGCTAGAACCTAGGAGATGGAGGTTGCATTGAGCCGAGATGGCGCCACTGCACTCTAGCTTGGGTGACAGAGCGAGACTCTGTCTCTAAAAAGAAAAAAAAAGAAAGAAAGAAGATGGGAGTGTGATTTAGGTTCCAGATGGCTTCCATGTTTTTTACCAGTCTTTCCCTGAAGCTTGGCTTGGATTCCATGAGATTCCCATATAGGCTTATAATAATATGCCTCCCTCCCTGTCTTTGAATTTAAGTTAGCTCGCATAGGTCTCTGTTACTTAACTACTAGTACAATCCATACATACCGCACTGTGGCTGTATCTTTTTTTTTTTTTTCTGTCTGAGACGGAGTTTTGCTCTTGTTGCCCAGGCTGGAGTGCAATGGTGCGATCTCGGCTCACTGCAACCTCTACCTCCCAGGTTCAAGTAATTTTCCTACCTCAGCCTCCCGAGTAGCTGAGATTACAGGTATGAACCACCACACCTGGCTAATTTTTTGTATTTTTAGTAGAGACGGCGTTTCTCCATGGTGGTCAGGCTGGTCTTGAACTTCTGACCTCAGGTGATCCACCCACCTCGGCCTCCCAAAGTGCTGGGATTATGGGTGTGAGCCACCGTGCCCTGCTGCACCATGGTTCTATCTTAACCTGATGAGTTTGGGTGCCAGAAGAGAAGACGCTTGCTGAAGCTGCATGTAGAATAGACGCATGCACATAGGGTGATGAGAGTGCTGAGTAGGGATTTCTACTCCACCTGGGAGTGCTGGCAAAGGTTTTGCAGAGCAGGTGATATTTGAGCTGGGGTTTGAAGGCTTCTAGGAGTTTACTAGAAAAAATAAGCGTATGAGTCTGTTGTGGCTAGGCTGGTGTGTAAAAGCATGAGAGAGCAATCGTAAAAACCAGAGATATAATTCGATGTCAGAAAAGTCCAGGGTTTCTCATTCCATGCTATAAATAATAGGACATATTTTCAAGACAGAAATGAAGATAATCTAAAAGCATAATTTGGAAACGATCGGTCTGGAATACCTCTTCATTACAGATTCATTTGCTATGTACTGTGATAGCGCTGACCCTTGTAAATGCATTTGAAATTCAAATGACTCTCACATATACCTTCCATGAGTTTGGCATATACTTTAGAGGAAGCTATTGGAAACGATCAATAATCTTTCATTCTGGTTGCAATATTTCTGTGGCATGTAAATAGCATTAAAAAAAGACTTCCACCGTCACATTTGATTCAGGCATATGTAAATTAGAAACAAAAACAATTTGAAGTTAATTTAATGGTAGTGGGAGATTCATTATTTACTGTTCTTTTGCTATACACTGTGTAGTAAGGTAGATTTCTATATTGTTATTATTTTCCCTCATATTCTCTTTGTCTTTCACAGTCATGGTTTAATGTTATTCCTGGGATCCTGCTCTCTCATTTTCATTTTTTCTCTCATTTGCTTTTTTTTTCCTTATATAGTTATGATCATATTTGAAATTTAATTCTTTTCTTCATTTGTTTGTTTTTGCATGCTGTAACTAAACATCTCTCATTTTCTTTCACATGGGCATAGTTAGCTGTGAATTATTCATGGATTTGCAACCAGACTACTGGGTCACATGGACCCTCAGTTTTCCACCTTCTTTTTCCATTTGCTGCTCACTGACATATCCATTGGTAATTACCCAAGGAGGAAAAAGAACTGGAATAGTTAAAAGTTGGTGATTTTTGAGCAAATTTGATGAAAGGTTAGTGAGAAAAGGATTTGAAACTCCTGGCTATAAGAAGAAGTTTGATCATCAATGGAGTTGATTTATTTGGGAATACTGACTTTCCTGGATTAGACTACTAGGTTGCGGAGGGAAAGGCTAACAGGATTCTAAAGACAAACCCAGTTTTGGGTAAAACTTGTTTTTTGCCCATACCTAAAAGAATTTTGGACCCTAGGGTTCTTTTCTGAAGTTTTAGCAAGCTGTAAGGAAAAAGTTTTCTTTTAAGAAGATGGGTCTGGCTGGGTGTAGTGGCGCATGCCTGCAGTCCTAGGTATGTGGGAGGTGGAGGGAAGAAGATTGCTTGAGCCTGGGAGTTCAAGGCTGCAGTGAACTATGATTGTGCCACTGCACTCTAGCCTGGGCAACAGAGTGTGACCCTGTCTCTAAAGGAAGAAGAAGAAAAGAAGAGGGAAGAAGAAGAAGGAAGAAGAAGAAGAAGAGGACGAGGAGGAGGAGAAGGGAAAAGGAGGAGGAGGAGGAGGAAGAAGAAGAACAACAGCAGTCTAATGAGGAACCCTAGACCACACATCATGGGATAGCTTGCTTCTCATTTGGGAGAGCAGGACAGCCAGAGTTCCCACTCTCTTTATTGAAAGTTGGAGGTAGGTAGTATGACTTTCAGGTCATGGATGTGTGTCTCCACTTTGCCACACAGCTGGCGTTATCACATAGCTAGTGTTGGATCACTAGCTATGTGATAACAACAAAAGCAATACAAATAATAAAAACAATACTGGTGACTTCTTATGCTATTGTTATATGGTAGACATTTTACTTATATTTTTATACTTTGTTCTTGCAAAAAGACTTAGGAGATAGGGAGATTATTATGTCTAGTTTCTATATAGGAAACCTGAGTCAGAGAGATTAGTGTGCCAAGATTACCTGGTGAGTAATGGGCAGAAGGCTAACTATGGAGCCTTTGTTTTTAACTACTATATTATACTTCTATTGGGGCTCAGAAAGTGATACTTCAAAGTATGGCACTTTGGCATGCTGAGCACTTTAAATTAAAGGATTAAAAATAAAAATATCCTGGAGGGTTGCATCATTCCTGGAGGTACTGCAATACCAAGTCAGTGTGTGGAGTGGATGGAGCAAGCTCCTACTCTATCTCCCTGCTCCAAAAATCCATTTAATATATTGCCCTTGGATAGAGGACATATCAAATATTAAACTGATAAGAACAGATACTACACTTGATCTTAGCCAAAATATCTAGAAGCAATAAATTAAAGGATGTCAGAAGGCCTCAGAAGCAATCTCAGAACCAAGGTCTCTTAGATTTTCTGCCTTGCTGTCTCTTACCCTTCATTCTGTCTTGAAGCAAGTCATAGAAACCAGAATTCCTCTTCCCCAAGGTGGGTCATAGAAACTAGAACTTCTCTTTTCCAAAGCCAGCCATAAAAACTAGAATAATTACTGTAACCTTTCTTTACTGTTCTGGCTAGGAGCTGGACATAAAGAAATTCTCTGTCTTATCCTTGTGCAATATTAGGTCAGAAGACTGTCATTCCAGAGGGGTCCTGCCTCATCCATACCTAGGAGGAAGAAATGCTACAACAGAGAGGGCAAGAAGAAACTGCATAGGCCTTGCTGGGCTTCCCCACGCAGCCTATTAGCATTGGGTCATACTCTTTTAGTCCAATCATATTTCTACACAGCTGTCCATTTTTCATCCAATCAAAGCACAAAAATGGACAGCTCGCCAGGCACGGTGGCTCAGGCCTGTAATTCGAGCACTTTGGGAGGCCAAGGTGGGTGGATCACCTGAGGTCAAGAGTTTGAGACCAGCCTGGCCAACATGGTGAAACCCCATCTCTACTAAAAATACAAAAATTAGCCAGATGTGGTGGCAGGCACCTGTAATCTCAGCTACTCAGGAGGCTGAGGCAGGAAAATTCTTGAACCTGGGAGATGGAGGTTGCAGTGAGCTGAGATTGCGCCACTGCACTCCAGCCTGGGCAACAAGAGTGAAACTCTGTCTCAAAACAAAAACAAAAACAAAACAAAAACAAACCAGACAACTTTCCCTATATCTTTGGATGTTCATTCTGAAGGCTCCTGTGTCACATAAAACTTTGATTAAATAAATTTGTTATGCTTTTCTCCTGTTAACCTGTCTTTGTTATAGGAGTGTCAGCCGTGACCCTTATGATGGGGGAGGAAAAATATCACATCTTTCTGTCCCTACGCTTTTCTCCCAGCACTCAATTGCCTAGTCTTTCTTTTTACAAAACGAAGACTCATGATTGTTCTGACACCCTGCTTCTGTTTGAGAGGATCAAATGAGGTTGTGAAGGGGAAAATGTCTTGAAGACTATAAGGTAGCAGAAAAATATAAGCAATTATTAAGATGGACATGCTGGAAGAAAGAGAGCCAGAGAGAAGGCTTCCTGGAGTGAGAATTAGACTTTGACCTTCAACAAAAGGGCTGCCCTGCATGTGCTGACAGCCCAAGCTGGGAACCTGGGTCCTTCTTCCACAGCTGTCAGAATGGCAGGGGCAGGGGACAGGCGCCAGGCCTGGGCATCCAGGCGTGAGTGGCAAGGCACTCTTCACTAGAGTCTCTGGGCAGATTCACTCAGAGCTTGACCTTTTGAATGTAAAACACTTGTCAGGTTGCCAAGTGCCAGCCAGTCAGGGAATGGATTCAGCCAGGAGAATAATCTTTCTGTGGCTTTCTCAGGGATGCTTGCCCTCTGACTGTGGCCTACAGGGTCTCTTTTGGAGAGAAATGGCTTCTACCAAACTCAGGGTATACCTGGAAACTGGAAACTCTCCACTGTCTGGTCTCTCTCTCTCTCTCTCTCTCTCTCTCTATGTATGTATGTGTGTGTGTGTGTGTGTATATATATATATATATATTTTTTTTTGAGACGGAGTCTCGCTCTGTCGCCCAGGCTGGTGTGCAGTGGCATGATCTCAGTTCACTGCAAGCTCTGCCTCTCGGGTTCACACCATTCTTATGCCTCGGCCTCCTGAGTAGCTGGGACTACAGGCACCCGCCACAACGCCCGGCTAATTTTTTGTATTTTTAGTAGAGACGGGGTTTTACCATGTTAGCCAGGATGGTCTTGATCTTCTGACCTCGTGATCCACCTGCCTCAGCCTCCCAAAGTGCTGGGATTACGGGCGTGAGCCCTGTGCCTGGCGTATTTTTTTTTTTTTTTTTTTTTTTTTTTAAGAGACAGGGTCTTGCTCCGTCACCCAGGCTGCAGGACAGTGGCATAACCCTAGCTCACTGCAGCCTTGAGCTCATGGGCTCAAGCAATCCACCTGCCTCGGCCTCCCAAAGCATTGGAGTGACAGGCACATACCACTGCACCCAGCCTCTCAATTTTTAAAAACCTTGTCTCTATTTTATAAATGTGATGCTTTCTATAATTTGTATTAAAAGACATAGTTATATATGTTTTTCATTGACTATAAAATTTTGTGGTTTATCTGAATAAATATTGTCAAATGATATTCCTTACCTTTCCCTCCCCGACCCCAATTCTAGAAAAATCTCTCTGGGTAGGACCAGGGGACAAGGAATGCTTGTTCTCTTGGGAGTCATTAATATCAATACTGTGGTTATAGAAGTGTCTTAGTTGTTGCATTTGGACAAAAGAGTTCTGTGAAAAATAAAATAGGGGACTGTTCTATAAACTTGTTATTATTATTATTATTATTTTATTTTTAGTAGAGCAAGGTCTCACTATGTTGCCCAGACTGGTCTTGAACTCCTGAGCTCAAGCAGTTTGCCTGCCTCCATCTCCCAAAATGTTGGGATTACAGGTGTGAGCCACTGCCTCTGGCCTATAAACTTGTTATTGATGGAAAGTTTTCCTTTAGGAGCCAAGCCACAGAGGCTAACATAAGTTAGTGATTTTCAATTGTACAGCCACTGATTATTACCTAGACTATGAATTCACATCATGGTTGCTTAAAGGTTTACAATTCAATTGTAAAGTGGCTATAAATGCCTCCCATCTTGGATTACATTCCCTTTTGCCTCCTGACTTTGCTCCTTCTTCTATCAAGTGCTTTGGGAGGCTGAAGTGGGAGGATCAAGTGATGAAGGTGGCCCACACCTGTAATACCAGCACTCTGGGAGGCTGAGGCAGGCGGATCACTCGAGGCCAGAAGTTCCAGACCAGCCTGGCCAACGTGGTTAAACCCCATTCATCTCTACTAAAAATAAAGAAATTAGCTGGATGTGGTGATGCATGCCTGTAGTCCCAGCTACTTAGGAGGCTGAGGTATGAGAATCATTTAGAACCTGGGAGGCAGAGGTTGCAGTGAGCTGAGATCGCGCCACTGCACTCCAGCCTGGGAAACACAGCAACACTCTGTTTCAAGAGAGAGAGAGAAAAAAAAGATGAAGTTTAGTTTATTTATCTACTTCTTGAATCTTGAATCTGGGCTTGGACATATGACCTGCTTTGGTCAAAGGAACATTAATGGGAGTGAAGCCACCCTAAACTCTCCGGTCCCAGCCAAGCTTCCAACCGACAGCACAGATTTGCCAAGCTGATCCAGACCAGAAGAACTGCCCAGCAGACCCATAGTATCAAGAGACTTTGGCCAGGCGTGGTGGCTCATGCCTGTAATCTCAGTACTTTGGGAGGCTGAGGCAGGAGGATCACTGCAGGTCAGGAGTTTGAGACCAGCCTGGCCAACATGGTGAAACCCCATCTCTACTAAAAATACAAAAATTAGCTGGGTATGGTGGTGCATGCTTGTAATCCCAGCTACTCGGGAGGCTGAGGCAGGAGAATCTCTTGAGCCTGGGAGGCAGAGGTTGCAGTGAGCTGAGATCCTGCCATTGCACTCCAGCCTGGATGACAAGAGCAAAACTCCATCAAAAAAAAAAGAGAGAGAGAGAGAGAGACATAATAGACATAATGTGTTTGCTGCTTTAAGCCACTAGGTTTTGCAGTATTTTATTATATAACAAAGCAAACTGATTTAAATTCTAATTTTAAAAAATTTTCAACTCAAATTCTTAGTCTACTAGAAGGGTTGGGAAGCTAAGGCCATTGTGCTGGCTCTCTGTTTTTGTAAATAAAATTTCACTGAAACGTGGTTAATCTCTTATGTATTTTCTTTCACTACTTTTGAACAATGATTGAGTAGTTGCAAGAGAGGTTGTATGGACCTCAAAGACAAAAATATCTGCTATCTGTCCCTTTAAGAAAAAGTGTGGTTATCCCTACAGAGAATTGTTGGTGCATTTGTAATTGTATAGGAGTTCTTTTTTTTTTTTTTTTTTTTTTTTTGAGACAGAGTCTGAGTTCAAGTGATTCTCCCACTCTGGCCTCTCAAATTGCTAGGATTACAGGTGTGAGCCACTGCGCCCAGCCAAAACCTTGCTTATATTTTTTATTTAAAAGTTTTGTTTTTGTAATCTCAGCACTTTGGGAGGCCTAGGCGGGCAGATCACGAGGTCAGGAGATTGAGACCATCCTGGCTAACATGGTGAAACCCCGTCTCTACTAAAAATACAAAAAATTAGCCGGGCGTGGTGGCGGGCGCCTGTAGTCCCAGCTACTCGGGAGGCTGAGGCAGGAGAATGGCATGAACCTGGGAGGCAGAGCATGCAGTAAGCTGAGATTGCACCACTGCACTCCAGTCTGGGTGACAGAGCGAGACTCCGTCTCAAAAAAAAAAAAAAAAAAAGTTTTGTTTTGACATTTATGTCCTTATTACATCTGAAGTTGATTTTTGGATATAGTGTGAGGCAGGAATCTAATTTCTCCTTTTCCAAATGGATTACATTTTTAAAAGGTGCTTCATTTCTTGAAGTTATTCCTTTCCCCAGTGATGTGACATGCCACCTCTGTTGTGCATCAACATTATGAAATGTGTGGGTTTGTTTTGAAGCTTCCATTCCATTTCATTCCCTTCCATTCCACTCCCTTCATCCCATTTGTCAATTTATCTGACCTTGCACCAATATGATTATATTTCTACAGGTTTTTAATAATTATAAAGTATTACTATAGGTAATTACTATAGGCTTACAATACTGAGTTACTAATTACTATAGGTTTATAATACTTAATAAAGTCATAATTACTATAGGTTTAGTATACTTCCTCATAGTTTGTGTGGCAAGTCCTCTGCCCTGCTCTTCTTTGGAGGATCCTAGTTATTCTTTGTCCTTTCCTCTTCCATATACATTTTGGAATCATCTTATCAACTTCCATGTAACACCCTGCTGAAGTATTGTATTGAATCTGTAGATAAATTTGGAGAGAATGCATATCTACAATTTTGTCTTTCTACCCATGGACGTGGTATATTTCTCCTTCTAGTTAGATTTTAATATCCTAATAAAGTTTTATACTTTCCTCTGTAGTTCTGACATATCTTTAGTTTTTTTTTCTATGTAGAAAAAAAGTATTTTCTTAACTATTGTAAATGGATTTTTAAAAAATTATATTTTATAATTGTTTGTTTCTGGTATATGGAAATACAACATAAAAATATTGATTCTATTGATAAGTTTATCTTATATTTCCCTACCTAGCCCTGGAGTCCACCATTCTCCAAAGAGCCTTGATAGAATGGAGGCTTCTCAAAAAATGAAAAGTAGAACTTCCATATGATCCAGCAATTCCACCTCTGGATATACATCCAAAAAGAAAGGAAATCAGTATATCAAGGACATATTTGCACTCCTATGTTTATTGCAGCACTATTGACAATAGCCAAACTGTGGAATCAACCAAAGTGGCCATCAGTGAATAAATGGATAAAGAGAATGTGGTATATATACACAATGGAATATTATTCAGCCATAAAAAGAATTAAATCCTGTTATTTGCAACAACGTGGATGAAACTGAAGAGCATTATGTTGAGTGAAATAAGCCAAGCACAGAGAGATTGCATGTTCTGATTCATACGCAGGAACTAAAAAAGTGGATCCCATGAAGATAGAAAGTAGATTGGTGGTTACTAGAGGCTGAGAAGGGGAGGTGGGGTGGGGATGGATGAAAGGGAAAAAATAATATAAATGAATTTATTACCACTGAACTGCACACTTAAAGATGGTAAAAATGGTAAATTATTATTATTATCTTTTTTTTTTTTTGAGACAGAGTCTCGCTCTGTTTCTCAGGCTGGAGTGCAGTGGCGCCATCTTGGCTCACTGCAAGCTCTGCCTCCCAGGTTCATGCCATTCTCCTGCCTCAGCCTACCGAGTAGCTGGGACTACAGGCGCCCGCCACCACGCCTGGCTAATTTTTTGTATTTTTAGTAGAGATGGGGTTTCACCGTGTTAGCCGGGATGGTCTCGATCTCCTGACCTCGTGATCCGCCCGCCTCGGCCTGCCAAAGTGCTGGGATTACAGGCATCAGCCACCGCACCCAGCCAAAATGGTAAATTATATATGTATATTTTATCAATAAAAAAATTAAAAATGTGAAAAAAATCCTATAACCAGGCTTCTTTCTAAACTTTAATTCTCATAATTTGTCTATTCTATTGAGTTTTCTTTTTAAACAATCATTTAATATACAATTGAGTATGGATTTATTTTTTCTTCCGATTCCTAAAACTCCAATTTCTTTCTTACATCTATATTGGCTCAGACCTTCACAATGTGAATAGTAGTGGTATTAGTGCGATCTTGTCCCATTCCTGATTTTAAAAGGAATAATTTTAGCATTTCCCCATTTAGAATAATGTTTGCTCTAGATTAATTATAGATACTTCTGTTCTTCTTGGTATGTTCTCATCATTCTTTGAGCCCTTCCTTTCTTTCTGAAACAAAAAATGTTTCAAGTTTATCTTATATTTCCCTACCTAGCCCTGGAATCCACCATTTCTCCAAAGAGCCTTGATTTTCTTAAGTGGAGAATGGTATGTAGGAACCAAGATCTGGGCACTAGGAGTACTCACTGATACTGGTATGTCATGCTCCTAGGCCATCTTAGTGGTTTGAATGGACACATACACACATATATATTTCTCTTTATATTAAAAACCATGAGTCCACACCAATATCTCCAATTCCAATCCAACATCAGATTTATTTTTGTCCTCCTCTTTTCCATATTTGTAACTTCCTCCAGTGAGAAACCTGGTTCCCATTATCTTAGATGTGTTCAATTATTTGCCCAGTTCTCCCTGTATGTAATCAAAGTCTTATAGCGTAGGTCAGAAGCACATGAGGGAGAGAGGAAGGAGAAGGAACAGGGAAGGGAAACAGGAAGGAGGGAAGAGAAGTGTGTGTTTTTTTTTTAAATCTTTATTTTACAGAACCATCTTCCCTCCCCTACAAATATGGAAGAAAAAAGATGCAGGGCATGGGACGGGAGAAGTGCCCCAGAAACAGGCCAATTTAATCTCTGCAGCCTGGGGTGGAGTTGAGTGGCTGGTGGCCAGTTGGCTCTTCCTCTTGTCTCCTACATGGCTCCTGACAGCTTTTTAAACCTTAATCTCCTTCGTTGTTAAAGAAAACCAGAGCTGGACAGTAGTTCAAGTGGTAAAAACAGATTTTGTTCAGTATTATTGCAATAGGGAAAAAGAGCCTTCAGGATAGAATTGGGTTGAATTCCAAATACAGCAGGGGCAAGTGGGAATTTATAGCCAAGGAACAGGGTAGGCGGGTCAGTGGATGGAAAATTACTAAGAGAAAACATCAGTGATAAGGGAGATTCTGACTCTACTGACCTAACCAGGCTTCTTGCTGCAGACAGACCAGGGTGATCAGACATCAGGGGGATGGTGGAGGATGAGAAAACAGGTTAGATACCAGGGGTGATTAGACATGCAGGATGGGGGAATTCTATCTAAACCAACTCAGCAGGATTCTGGCTAAAACTGGGCAATGTAGAGATGGACACGGTAGTCCAAAAGTCAGGCCTAGGTGAGAAAGAGTCCAGGGGAGCCTGAGTAAAGTTTCATCGAGAGGATCTTTGTCATGAGTTTGGAGGCAATACTTTTGAAGGCCAGGGAGGTGCCAGGCATGCATTTCCATTGAACTCTGAGAGACTGCTGTGGGAGTTTTCACACCTCCACCTTCCGCTGCACAAAGCCCTCCTGGCCTGGCACACCATGCATGCACAGCAGCACCATTTCTTGCTCAGCTCGCCCTGGCAGCTGTTTGTGTTGAGCACCTTGCCAAATTCCCATGTTATCTCATTGGGCTCCATGGAGCCTGAGATCTTCATACTACATATAAAGTGTAGCAAGTATAGGTCGGCCTCTTTAGGTTTGAATATCTCCACTCGGTTTTTTAAGGTTCCTTTTGGCAAACCTGAAACAAAGATGCCTCTGTATAAACTTGAAGGAGAACTTGCTGTTTGTGGAGAGGGCTCCAGGCTGCATGGGGGACTGGCAGGCACATTGGCTATGCCCCTGGCTTCTGCCCTATCTCCGGAACCTCTTGAGGATCTGCCTTGCTCCTCTGAATACTCTTAGTGCAGCAATTTTTAAGGACTGAATTGTGTCCCCCATGTCCCCAACATTAATATGTCAAACCCTAATCCCCAATGTGACTGTATTTGGAGATAAGGCCTTTAAAGAGGTGATTTAAAGTTAAGGCCTTTAAAGTTTAACTTAAAGTTAAGGCCTTTAAAGTTTTTTTTTTTTTTTTTTTTGAGACAGAGTCTCGCTCTATTGCCCAGGCTGGAGTGCAGTGGCACGATCTCGGCTCACTCCGCCTCCCAGGTTCAAGTGATCCTCCTGCCTCAGCCCCCCTAATAGTTGGAATTACAGGCATGTGCCAACAAGCCCAGCTAATTTTTGTATTTTTAGTAGAGATGGGGTTTCGCCATGTTGGCCAGGCTAGTCTTGAACTCCTGGCCTCAGGTGATCCACCTGCCTTGGCCTCCCAGAGTGCTGGGATTACAGGCATGAGCCACCGTGCCCAGCCAGGCCTTTAAAGTTTAAATGAGGGCATAAGGATGGGGTCCCAATCAAACAGGACTGGCTTCCTTATAAAAAGAGGAAGAGACACCAGGGATGCATGGGCACAGAGAAAAGACCATGTGAGGACACAGTGAGAAGACTCTGCAAGACAAGGAGGGTGGCCTCAGAAGAACCTAACCCTGTTGGCACCTTGATCTTGGACTTCCAGCCTCCAGAACTATGAGAAAATAATTGTTGTTTAAGCTTTCAGTTTGTGGTATTATGGCAGCCCTTGCACACTAATACAACAATTAAAGGTGGGAATGGTAGGCTCCCTGAAACTCATGCTTGGGGCTGGCAGAGATCCTGTGCTGTACCTTGTAGGATGGGAAAGTGTTGGCCAGATCAGCCAAAGGCTGGGGATGCAAAGGGATGGTGCAGACCTCCAGCTTGGACCTCTTGTAGCCCAAGAGCAGATCGAAAGGCATCACCTCATTGTACCTCTGGCCTGTTGCAAGTCTTTTTTTTTTTTTCTCTTGAGCATCCGAAGTCCTTTATTTGAACATAATTGCTGTTTGCCAAATAGAAGACACAGAAAGCAGACAGTGAAAACAGAGCCCAGTGACCAGAGCCAGCCCCTTGGCTGGGGACCCTCCCCTACTACCTGGTGGACCAGCTGGCAACCTCTGCCCCTCCCCGGACCCTGGGCCTTTGGCATAATGCTGATGAGGGGCTGCAGGCAGTGAAGCCCCTTGATTCAAAGCAGAGATTTGAATGGGTGCTGGAGAATGGGACAGTGGAGAGGCCAGGGAGGGCTGGGCAGGCCTCCCAGCCCGGCCAAGCAGCACAAGTGGAGGAAGCCAGGAGCGGGCAAGATGGCATCTATCTGTTTTCTGAAAAGGGGCACGTAGGGGCCTGCAAGCAGGTGGCGATGGCAGCTGGGGCGGGTCACACGCCGACATCCTTCTCATTGCCCGTCTTGGGAACAGCTTCCAGCAGCGGGTCCCCGGGACCCGCCTCCTCTCCCACCTTGGCCTGGCTGGCCTTAGAGTTGGGGACCCAGAGGCCAGAGTCAAAGCAGCGCTGCATGTGGTACTTCGCGTTGGTGGGGTCCGTCTTGCTGATGGCATCTTGCAGCATCTGCACGTCTTTCACATGGAAGCACTTCTGGAGTTCCTCGGGGAGGGACTCGTAGACCTCGATGGGGTCCAGGCCGCCAGGGCCAAGCTGCTTCTGGCGCTCCTCCTCCTCGTACTCCTTCATGGCCTTCTTGATGGGCAGCTTGGCACGGCCCTGCACATGCTCTTTGAGGGTTTCCAGCTCGTCGTTGAAGCCCTCCACGTACTGGCGATCGGCTGTCCTAATCTCAGTGAAGAACTGCCGGAAGCAGGCCCGGGGGTCCACCTTCAGGCTCTTGGCCAGCTCCAGGATAAACTGCATGACGATTGTCTGGGGGACCACCTGCTCCATGAGTGCACATTTCTCCACCACCTCTAGATCAATGCACCAGATGACCAAGTAATTGGCTGTCTCCTCGCACACCAGGTGGACGTTGTCCGACAGGTACTCTTGGCTGTCATCCCAGTGGCGAGCATGCCAAAGTGCTTGGTCTGTTTCTCGCACTTTTCCACGAAGGTCTTGTGTTTCTGCTCCCTCACCTCCTCTGAGTCCTCCTCCGTCTTCTCCGGCTTGGTGTTGACCATGCTCTTGCTGAAGCCATCTTTGCTAAGCGTGTCCACGTTCCAGGGCATGCTCTTCTCCTTCTTGTGCATCTCCTCCAGCTTCTGCTCCCAGCTCCGATCCTCGCGCAGCTGCTGCGCCTCGGCCTGCAGCTGCTCCAGCTCTGCCTTGCCGCCCTCAGCCACCTTCAGCTCCTTCAGTTTCCTCTGGCACTTGGCCACCTTGTGCTTGCGCTTGTGGCAGCCCCTGTCCAGTTCCTCTTCTCCTTCTGGGACTGCTCCATGCGCTCCCCCTGGGCCTGGTGCTGCCAGTGGAAGAGGCTGGCCGTGTCGATGTTGGCATGCGTCTCGTCTTCATCATCAGACACCTCTATGTGGTTCCACATGCTGTAGTCCACCATCTTGCCTTGGCGGCCCAGCCCGCTCTGGCTTGGGTGGCAGCGGCAGCAGCGCTGGAGACTCCCAAGGCAAGTCTTAAATCTCTTCATGTGTGGAACCTACTGACACCATCAACTCTGTCTGTTGCCAGGTGAGGGGGAAGGTCCTTGTAGTCATAAAATGGCTCCACACAGGGTTTAGTTCATCTTTATGAGGGATATGGAATACATTTATCCATGGAGCATTCATTATTTGCTCCAAAGTGTCTCTCTTGCTGGAATTGAGAATGAGAAATTTCTTAAGCAGGTTTTCACCTTCCATGAACAAGTAGAAGTGAATGTGATACATTCTACTCTGTACTTCATCCTACAGCTCCTTGAAATTCTGTCCATCAAAGGCAGGGATCCATTGACCAGTGTATAGAAGCTGACTCCTGAGATCCATGGTGGGTCCATCATACTTTTGACCATGAAGAGTTCCAGGGCAGCAAAAGGGATAACCGGAAGATAACCACCTTGTTGACGAAAGCGAATTTGTTGCCGATGCCAAAGTCTGCAATCTTGATGTTCATGTCAGCATCCAAGGGCAGGTTTTCTGCCATATATATATGTATATGTGTGTGTGTGTGTGTGTGTGTATATGTATATGTATGTATATATGTATGTATGTATATATGTATATATGTATGTATGTATGTATATATATGTATATGTGTATATATGTATATATATGTGTGTATATATGTATATGTGTATATATGTATATATGTATATATATGTATTTTTTTTTTTGAGACAGAGTTTCACTCTTGTTGCCCAGGCTGGGGTGCAATGGCACAATCTCTGCTCACTGCAACCTCCATCTCCCGGGTTCAAGCGATTCTTCTGCCTCAGCCTCCTGAGTAGCTGGGATTACAGGCATGCGCCACCATGCCCGGCTAATTTTATATTTTTAGTAGAGATGGGGTTTCTCCATGTTGGTCAGGCTGGTCTTGAACTCCCGACCTCAGGTGATCCACCCACCTTGGCCTCCCAAAGTGCTGGGATTACAGGCATGAGCCACCGCTCCCGGGCTATATACTGTTTGGAGACGGAGTCTTGCTTTTGTCACCCAGGCTGGAGTGCAGTGGCATGATCTTGGCTCACTGCAACCTCCGCCTCCTGGGTTCAAGCAATTCTGCTGCCTCAGCCTCCCGAGCAGTGGGTATTACAGGCGACTGCCACCACGCCTGACTAATTTTTGTGTTTTTAGTAGAGACAGGGTTTCACCATGTTGGCCAGGCTGGTCTTGAACTCCTTACGAGAACTGCCCGTCTTGGCCTCCCAAAGTGCTGGGATCACAGGTGTGAGCCACTGTGCCCAACCATCTGCTTTTGAATCTCTATGGACAACAAACTTCTGGTGACAGTAATGTACAGCAGACACTATCTGGCGGAATTTGACTTGGTCATTTTGTTACCAAGCAAAAGGGGCTCACTGCCCAATGCGCTACAAGCCAATGCAATGACTCCAGGTTTTGAGGAAAAGCAAAGCTTTTTATTACAGGTTGACCAATAAGGAGATAGGAGTCCAGCTCAAATCTGTCTGCTTGTGCTGGCTTTAAGGCAATATTATTAGAAAAGGTTTGGGGGTGAATTCTGAGATTAGCAGGTGGTTGGTGGAAGGAAAGGGGAGGTCTGGGAAGTCCTCCAGCATACGCAGCTATCTCTTCATGCTTCCTCGTGGGTCGCATGTGCAAATTTGGGAGGAGTTAGTATGAAACATCTGGTGGAGATCCAGACTGCGATGTAAGCAACCTTGTTTTACACAGATTCCATTTGGCCATATTGGTTCCAACCAATTTCAGTCAATTTTTAAATCTCATAAGCAGAAGGAATTTCAGCAATTCAGCAAGTTATTTCTTATCTGCCATCCTGTAAACTCAAGAATTTCTGTTAGTCACTGGTTTCTTGAACTCTTTGGGGCACAGTTTCACTCTTTTTCTTTCATACTTCCATGAGGCAGGAGGACTCTTCTCCAGCGGTGTAGTCCGTGACAAGGAATCTTGTTCTCAGTCTCAACCCCTTCAAATAATTTCACCATGATGGGATGATTCTAAGCCTTCATGCTTTTTACTTCGCAGGATTGTCTCTGGAAGCTAGAGGAATTCTGTTGAGTCTGGTCAATGATCCCCCATGGCTACATATTTCCCAGTAAGGATGTGCCAGGCCAACTTTGACAGGCAAAGGTACCCTTGATGATGGTGTTGAGGAGCTGGTGTTTGCTAACATGGGTGTTCTCAGCCGAGATGGACAAGAGGCCCTGCCATACATTGGACTTACTGCTGGGCTTGAAGGCAGAGTGCCCCATGGTCAGCTGAAAACTGAGAAAAGCTAGAGAGAAGCTTGGTCTAGATCATGTCAAAAGAAAAATCACTCCCAAAGACCACCTGACCAACTGATCTTTATAATGGGATCAAAACACAGTGCTAAACTAAAAATAAACAAAAATCAAATACTAACAAAAATTTTTTTAAATGAGGAAAGGAAGGGCTGGGTGCCATGGCTCACGCTTGTAATCCCAGCACTTTGGGAGGTCAATGTGGGCAGATCACGAGGTCAGGAGATTGAGACCATCTTGGTAACACAGTGAAACCCCATCTCTACTAAAAATACAAAAATTAGCTGGGCGTGCTGGCAGGCGCCTGTAGTCCCAGCTACTCGGGAGGCTGAGGCAGGAGAATGGCGTGAACCTGGGAGGTGGAAGTTGCGGTGAGCTGAGATTGTGCCACTGCACTCCAGCCTGGGCAACAGAGTGAGACTCTGTCTCAAAAAAAACCCAAAAAAATAATAATGAGAGAAAGGAAATGAATAAAAAAGAACAAGAGAAAGATAAAAAAAAAAAACAGTCTGGGTGCGGTGGCTGACACCTGTAATCCCAGCACTTTGGGAGGCCGGGGTGGGAAGATTACTTGAGCTCAGGAGTTTGAGACCAGCCTGGGCAACATAGTGAGACCCCATCTCTATTTATAAAAAAAAAAAAAAAAAAGAAAGAAAAAAAGAAAGAAAAAAGTGAGAAAAAGAAAAAAGGATAAGGAAAAAGAAAACAATGAGAAAAATAAAAGTAAAGAAGACCAAGAAAAAGGGAAAAATGAGAAAACTAAAAAAAGAGAAAGAATACAAATGGGAAAATGAGAAAAAGAATAAAAAAAGAGAGAGAGCGAAAGTTAATAACAAATGAAAAAGACAGAAAGCCTACAATGCCAAAAAGAAAACAAGTAAATTTTGGGCAAAATCCCTTAGGTCATTGAAAACCAGCCTCCTGAGCTAGAAAGCCCGGAAACCTAAGCCCAACCAGGGACTTATATACGTGCCTGGAATTCTAGAACAGTGGCTTCCTAGGACGTCATAGCAAGAAAGGGACCTATCATGGCTGATGATAATCCACAGTGGTTTCCTCATTTTTTGGTCTCAAGAAAGCCTTACTGTTAAAAAAATTTTGAGAACCCTAAATAGCAACAGCTTTTCCTTTATGTAGGTTATAGATATTGCTATTTGCCTTATTAGAAATTAAAACCGATACGATGCTTCAGTGGCTTTTTCATTTCTAGCTCGAAAAGCTTTTGGCTTATTATGTTTTTAAATGTCCAAATATGTGGCGATTTTTAATTTATCTTTTTATTAGTTTTTAAATTTTATTCATATTTTAGTTTGTATCTATAATAAAAGGACCCTGTGTAAACAAAAATAACTAAAATATCATTCTAAAAACAATAATTCCTCAATATTAACATCTTTTCAGTGTTAAAAATTTTAATTGTCCCACATATTTTGAATTAAAAAAATTTTGTTTTATTAAAAATTTTGTTTTTGTTTATTTATTTATTTATTTTTGAGATAGGGTCTCATTCTGTCACCCAGGCTGGAGTGCAGTGGTGTGATCTCGGCTCACTGCAACCTCCGCCTCTCGGGTTCAAGCAATCCTTCCACCTCAGTCTCCTGAGTAGCTGGGACTACAGGTGTGTATTTTTTAGTAGAGATGGGGTTTCACCATGTTGGCCAGGCTGGTCTCGAACTCCTGGCCTCAGGTGATCCACCTGCCTCGGCCTCCCAAAGTGCTGGGATTACAGGTGTGAGCCACTGCGCCTGGTCATTTTGAAATTTTTTGTTTTTCAGATTGTCTATTCGAACAGGAACCAAATAAGGTCCATATATTGTGATTGATTATGTCCTTTAAAAGGCTTTAAAAATCTATCAGTTTTCACTCTAATCTCCTTTATAATCTATCTTTGAGAAATCCAGATTGTCAGCATCCTCCTCTTTGCAGTTTGCTGATTGTATTCGTGGTATAGATTAACCAGTTTCTCTGTATTTTCTGTACATTGATGGTTGAATCTTGAGGTTTGATCAGATTTAGATGTGAATTTATTTTGGTAAGACTTCTTCACAGGTGGTGTTCTGCTCTTTTATTAGGAGCCACATGATGTCTGATGAGCTCTCTTCTTGTGATGTTAGCAGACTTTCATTCTAATTTCCTAGATCTATTAAATCATGATCGGTAACATGATGGTTAATTTTAGGTGCCACCTTGACTGGGCTAAGGGATGCCCCAATAGCTGGTACATATTATTTCTGCATGTATCTGTGTGAGCATTTCTGGAAGAGATTAGCATTTGAACTAGTAGATTGAGTGTTTTAGTCTGTTTGTGCTGCTACAACAAAATACCTGAGACTGGGTAATTTTTTATTTTTATTTTTGTATTTATTTATTTATTTATTTGTTTTTGAGAGAGAGTTTTGCTCTTGTTGCTCAAGCTGGAGTGCAATGGTGCGATCTGAGCTCACCACAACCTACGCCTCACCTCCCTGGTTCAAGTGATTCTCCTGCCTCAGCCTCCCAAGTAGCTGGGATTACAGTTGCGTGCCACCATGCTGGACTAATTTTTGTATTTTTAGTAGAGATGGGGTTTCACCATGTTGGCCAGGCTGGTCTTGAACTCCTGACCTCAAGGGATTGCCTGCCTTGGCCTCCCAAAGTGCTGGGATTACAGGTGTGAGCCACCGCACCTGGCCTATTTTTTTTTTTTTTTTAATAGAGATGGCGGCAGGGGGGGGTCTCATTACATTGCCCAGGCTGGTCTCGAACTCCAGGGCTCAAGCAATCCTCCCACCTTGGCCTCCCAAAGTGCTGGGATGTAATCCCAGGCAGAGGCTGTCGCACCTGGCCAAAATACCTGAGACTGGGTAATTTATAAAGAACAGACATTTATTTCTCATAGTTCTGGAGGATGGAAAGTTGAAGACCAAGGCTCTGGCAGTTGAGGATGTTTGGTGAGGCTGCGTCCTCTAGACAGGTGGAATGCTGTGTCCTTGCATGGCAAAAAAGCTAACGAGCAAGCTAAAGACCTAGACAAATGCCATAAAAAGCCTTTTTTCATAAGGGCCTTTATTTCTTTCACATGAGAGCAGCCCTCGTGGTGTAATCACCTGTTAGAGGCCCGTCTTTTAATACTATTACCTTGACAACCCCTGGATTTTGGAGGGGTTGTCACATTCAGACCATAGCACTGAGTAAAGAAGATCCCCCTCCCTCATGTGGGTGGGCAATATCCTATCCGGTGAGGGCCTGAATAGAACAAAAAGGCAGGGGAATTGTGAATTCAATCTATCTGCTTGATTTGGGACATCCAGTGCTCTTGCTCTGCGACATTGGAGCTCCTTGTTCTTAAGCCTTTAAACTCAGGCAGGGATTTTCACCATCAGATCTCCTACTTCCTGTTTTTGGACCTTGGCACTCAGACTGGAGCTTATACCATTGGCTTTCTGGCTCCCAGGCCTTCAGGCTTGAACTAGAACTATACTGCTTGCTTCCCTGGGCCTCCAGTTTGCAGATGGCAATTTATAGAACTTCTCAGCCTTCATAATCATGTGAGCTAATCCCTCATAATAAATCTCTTTCTATAGATCTACATATATCCTATTTGCTTTGTTTCTCTGGAGAACCCTGACTAATACAAATAGCAAAATAAGGCCAGGTGCTGTGGCTCATGCCTGTAATCCTAGCACTTTGGGAGGCCGAGGCGGGCAGATTGCCTGAGGTCAGGAGTTTGAGACCAGCCTGGGCAACACGGTGAAACCCTATCTCTACTAAGAATACAAAAATTAGCTGGGCATGGAGGCATGCGCCTGTAGTCCCAGCTACTTGGGAGGTTGAGGCAGGAGAATTGCTTGACCCCAAGAGGCAGAGCTTGCAGTGAACCGAGATCGTGCCACTGCACTCTAGCCTGGGCGACAGAGCAAGACTCCATCTCCAAAAAAAAAAAAAAAAAAAAAAAAAAAAAGGCAAATTAATAAATCTATCATCCCTTCTTTAATTATTGGCTGGAATACTTTAACAAAGAGAAATGTGTCATCTATTGTTATAAACTTCTAACTCACTTGGGATGAGAGATGACTTTATGATTCCTGTTCTTGCAATAAAAGGTATTTTGAAAGATTCCAAATTAAGCCAAAGAAATAAATTGCTAAGAGAGGAATTTTGGCATCAGAAACATCACTTTAAATGTTTGAGGTCCTGAGAATATTTGAGGTCTTGTTATGGCTGAAATAATATAAAGTAAATAATCTACAGTGCTACCCACAGCCCTCAACAATGTGCCCAACCCGCAATACACATTCAGTACATATTAGCCATTATTAACATCATATAATCTAACCATCGCATTTTAGATGTGGAAAATTGGGGGTTATTCATTTGTTTGTTCATTCAACAAATGTTTACTGAGCCCTTATTAAACTCTCTGAGGAGGCACAGTTCTAGGGGCTGGGGAAACCACAAAACCAAGTCTCTGAGTTTGTTGTGCTTTGTTGTGGGTTGTGGGAAATCTAAGAGGGTGATAAATGATATGAAGGAAATAAACAGGGTGATGTGTTAGTCCTACTGGGTGGGGCATTACTTTAGGTGGGGCGCTAACATTGGGAGAAAGGAGCCCGATAGGTAGAGGTGTAGAAAGAGGACTTTCCACGCAGGGGATACTGCAAGTGCAAAGGCTCCGAGGTGGGAATAAGCTGGACATGTTCCAGGAGCAGAAAGGCAATCAGTGCGGTTGAGTCTGAATGAGCAGGCAGAAGGGTGGTAGAAGGTCCATGTAGAGAGACAGGTGGAAGCAGAGATGAGAATCCTGTTTTTCTGGTGGCTTCTGTGTTGGTACATTTTGTATATAACTTTGTACGATTCGGGGGCCCACTTTGTACGATTTGCAGCTACAAAATACAGTGTTTTCAAAATCACTTTCCTCATCCTGCCTGTTTAGACCTGTGCCTTTTGAGAGCCAGTTCTGAAGCAGACAGCAGTTCCGTGCTGCACCCAGGTTTTCTTTCTGGCGGCTTGCAGCTCCTGGTGTTTTCAGGGACCGCTGGTGAGAGCTGCTGATTTGGAGTTGAAGAGCCAGCCCCAGGGCCGTTCCATGTCGTGCTCTGCCCTGACCTCTGGTGGAATCGGCCTGTTAAGACATAGACCAAGTGGGAATGTGGAAGTCCTTGCCTCCTTCTTCCATTTGGCTGGGAGTATGCGATGTATTATGAAGGCCTCCAGCACCTCAGGTCCTCTTCAGATTTTCAGGACCTTTGGAGGGACAGGATTTCAGACACTGCCATGGGATGGCCCAATGACTTTTGACCATCCAACACCTCTTGGCCTCAGGGATTGGCTCAGAAAGGGCACATGACCCAGTCTGGGCAAGTCAGGTCTTCCCTAAGCATTGGTACAGGGACCTTAGGAGACAGAGCATCTTTTTACCTGGGATTTGGAGTTATAATGTCCTTTTATACTTGGACTGCCAGTCTCCATCTCTTTGGCCACACGAAGGGAGGCTTCCTGAGAATTTAAATCAATACTGAGGAGGAAGGTGGGGTCTGGAGATGTGATGGGAACCATCATTTAAGCTCCTGCTTCGGTTTGGGCTTAGACTGAGCCAATAAATAACTTTTTCTCTTAAGCTGGTTTCAGTTAGGTTTCTGTTGCTTGCAACTGGAAATCTCCTAATTGCTATGTCAATCAGTGCTAGCCATCACTATTAGTAGTGGTACTGATCAAAAGTAAGTTTGAGGTAGATACACAATGGCACTCTATGGCAGAATCCACATTTGTCACTATATAGTGATCTGTTTTTCTGTTTCTAAATGTTGGTCTCTCTCATTCCATAAAGGCAGAAACCATATTTGTTTTGCTCATCAGTCTAGCTCACTGTCTAGTTGAGTAAGTCTTCAATAAATACTTGTGGAATGAATAAATAGTTGCATGGCAATGTTTACTGATGTGAGAAGGTAACTTACATTCTCTAATACTATTGTAGCCATCTAGGGGAATGTGCTTATTCTTTAGCTAGTCATGCTGAAGGGTTTATGGGCAAAGTTGGATGATATCTGCCGCAACTTAGTTGGTTCAGGAAAAAAAAGTATTATCTGTATGTGTATATCAATGACACAACCACAATGTGAAAGTTTAAGAGCTTTTAGCACTCACTACAACCCCATGCACCCATCACTCAGATTCAATAATGATCTGATGAGCCATCTTGTTTCATTTCTACTCCTACTACCTTCCTGTCTCTATAGACTTATTTTGGAATTATTTACTTTGAAGTAATTTCAAGCTTGCAAAAAAATTGCAAGTATAGTTTGGAGAATACCCAAATACTCTTTGTTTAAATTCACTATTTTTAAAAATCTTATCATGCTCCCTCATGTGCAATGTTTGTGTATATATATCTGTATGTGTTTACAGATATATGTGCATGTAGACATAAAATCGTTAATTTTTGGACCATCTGACAGTAGGCTGCATGGCTAAGGCCTCTTTACTTCATGTATATGTATATGTGTGTTAAGAGACAGAGTACAAATACAGCAAAATGTTAACCATTATTGAAATTAAGTGGTGGCTATAGAGGTATTCATTGTACTATTCTTTCAATTTCTATGTATTTAAAAATTATCAAAATAAAAAATAGGAAAAGAAAAAATATTACCATTGTCTTGATGTGCAGTCGTGATCACCCTGCTTTTAAGAAATTTCCAATCATGGCTGGGCATGGTGGCTCACGCCTGTAATCTCAGCACTTCGGGAGGCCAAGGCGGGCAGATCACTTGAGGTCAGGAGTTAAAGACCAGCCTGGCCAACATGGTAAAACCCCGTCTCTACTAAAGATACAAAAATTAGCTGGGTGTGGTGGTGTGCGCCTATAATCCCAGCTATTCAGGAGGCTGAGGGAGAAGAATTGCTTGAACCCAGGAGGTAGAGGTTGCAGTGAGTCGAGATCACGCCACTGCACTCCAGCCTGGGGGACAGAGTGAGACTCCATCTTAAGAGAAAAAAAAGAAATTTCCGATCCCCGAATTTCCTATAATTCGGGGAAATTACGGAAAAACTATTTGCATTATAAAGAAATGTTCATGTTCTGGGAAAAATATCTCCTCAAGTCTTCTTCAAATAATAGCAATTAAAATGATCCAATGAAGGCATACAGTTCAGCTGTAGAGGAAATGAAATTAGCCCAAGAGAACAAATCTTTTCTTTCCCTTCTCCCTTCCTTTCTTCCTTCATCTTTCCCTAGTTTGCTAAAATTTTTTAAAAAGCTCTTGTTTTCAGATTATAAAGTCACGGTAAAAAAAAGTTCAGACAATAATGAAAGGGGTAAAGAAGACATTAAAATTATCCACGACGTTACATTCTAAAAATAATAGTGAAAACAGCACAAAACACTGTTCTAAACACATTCATACTTTACTAATACCCCAAGGAAGTAGTTTCTACTATCATTCATATTTTACAGGTGGGGAAGTTGAGGCACAAAGGGGTTGAGTAAATTTCCTAAGATGAAAGTCCAGCTCCACCTAAGATTTGTAAGAGCTTGAATTCGAACTCAGGCAATCTGACTCTAAAACCTGTGCTCTTCACCACTATCCGACCCCACCTTGCTGAGAAAAAGGCACTTCGAACCCTTTGGTAAATATTCTTTTGTACAGATGTGCACTCTTGCTCACATACACACAAGTGCACACATATACAATCACGCACGTGATCATATGCATATACCCAGACATGTGCACATACATGTCACTAACACACATATGAGCACATCCACATTTTACAAAACAATCATTTTATTTATGGCAGTTGACATGGTTAGGCTTTGTGTCCCTACCGAAATCTCATCTTGAATTGTAATCCCCATAATCTCCACCTGTCAAGGTTGGGAGCAGGTGGAGGTAATTGAATCTTGGGGGCGGTTCCCCTATGCTGTTCTCGTGATAGTGAGTGAGTTCTTAGGAGATCTGATGGTTTTATAAGCGTCTGGCGTTTCCCCTGCTTGCATTCACTCTGTCCTGCCGCCCAGTGAGGAAGGTTCCAGCTTCTCCTTTGCCCTCCGCCATGACTGTAAGTTTCCCGAGGCTTCCCCAGCAATGTGGAACTGTGAGTCAATCAAACCTTCTTCCTTTATAAATTACCCGGTCTCAGATATTTCGTCATGGCAGTGTGAGAACAGACTAATACAGTGCTTCATGACTCATGTTTTACATACAAAAGTAGGCAGGAGAGTTTAACGAACCCCTGTTTTGAGTGAAACAATGAACTTTACTGTCTACAGCACCTGAGAGGCCCAGAAAGGAGAGGACCAGCAAGGGGACTACTGACTTGGGTTCCTTTGTGGCGGCCTTGCTATCCAGGCTCAGATTGCAGGCACGGCTTCCATGATGCAACCACAGTGTGAGTGTTTAGTTTTTAGCACTCACTACAACCACATGTGCCAGTCACTCAGATTCAATAATAATTTGATGACTCATCTTGTTTCATCTCTACTTCCAGTACTTTTTCCTCTCTATAGATTTTTTGGAATTATTTACTTTGAAATAGCTTCATACTTGCAGGAGTATTACTAGTATAGAAAATACCCAGCTGGGCCGGGTGTGGTGGCTCACGCCTGTAATTCCAGCACTTTGGGAGGCCGAAACCGGAAGGCGGAGGTTGCAGTGATCTGAGGTTGTGCCACTGCACTCTAGCCTGGGCAATGAGAGCAAAACTCTGTCTCAAAAAAAAAAAAAAAAAAAAAAAAAAAAAAGAAAGAAAATACCCAGCTGGGCGTGGTGGCTCACACGTGTAATCCCAGCACTTTGGGAGGCCTAGGCGGGTGGATCACCTGAGGTCAGGAGTTCGAGACCAGCCTGGACAACATGGTGAAACCCCGTCTCCACTAAAAATACAAAAAATTAGCTGGGTGTGGTGGTGGACACCTGTAATCCCAGTTACTTGGGAGGCTGAGGCAGGAGAATCACTTGAGTCTAGGAGGTGGAGGTTGCAGTGAGCCAAGATCTCACTACTGCACTCCAGCCTGGGTGACAGAGGGAGACTCCATCTTAAAAGAAAATACCAAATGCCCTTTATCCAAATTCACTAATTTTTAACCTCTTGCCATATATGCTTTATAATTCTCTCTCTCTGATTTGCTCTATATATGTATATATATATCTGTATGTGTATATACTTGTGTGTATATGTGTATATATATATATAAAATCATTAATTTTTGGGTCATCTGACAGTAGGCTGCGTGGCTAAGGCAGCTTTACTTCATACTTCAATGTCCGTTTCCTGAGAACAAAGATATTTTCTTACATAGCCGTAGTAACTAAATGGAGGAAAGTTAATTGATAGCAATACTTAACATCTATGGTCCGTATTCCAGTTTTGTCAATTGTCCCAATAATGTCCCTTATAATATTTTTTTAACGCCTAGTCCAGGATCTAGTCCAAGATCATGCATAACATTTGGCTGTCATGTCTTGTTGGTCTCCTTTCATTGGAACTGTTCTTTAGCCTTTCTTTGCCTTTGATGACATTGACATTTTGGAAGAATAAAGGCTATTTATCTTACAGAATGTTCTTCAACTTGGGTTTATCTTAAGTTTTCTCTTGGCTATGTTCAGGTTAGGTCTTCCTGGCCAGAATGCTACTGGTCCAGGACGTTGTGTCTGTCCCCAGAAATCACATCTGTGGGTACACAATGTCCATTGATGATGGTAATTTTCATCACTGGGTCAAGGTATTGTCCAGTTTCCCTGTGGTATGACATGCTTTTAAACATTTAATAACATATGCTATTTTTTTAAAGCAAGAAAAGCAAGACCTACAGCATTATTTTTCGTTATGGTGGTATTGCTACCACCATTATCACCATCATCACATCACCATCATGCAAGACTTCTATGTTGGGTGCTGTGTACCTGCTTTACCTGCTTTACTACAAAATCACAACTGCTCTGTGAATAAGAGGAACATGTGGCTGAGTGTGATTAAGTAACTTGCCAAAGGCTGAATAGAGCTCAAACCTGGCTGGCTGGCTGTGATTGTTTTTTATGCAGTTCTCTAACTTTATATGTTTTGCTTTTTTCTCAGTGTTAACTTTTTATAAACAATGCTGCGATGAATATCCCAGAAAACATGTGTTTATGAGTTGTCAAAATCCCAGCCCTTAGGCCTCTAGACTCCATCTCTTCCTGAAATATTAATGAGATAGATATTCTTAGGTAAACAGAAATATATATGCTCGGCAGTAGGTCATCTTATAAAGCCACGCTGGCTGAGAATTGGAAGGGAGTCATCAGGTTGATCATTCTATCCTGGGCAAGAAACTTCTCTACCGATGACTTAACAACAGAAATAGTTACCATAGTAATAACACCCCTCGAATACCTCCCTATATGTGAAGCACTTTTCCTTTGTGATTTTATTAATCTTTACAATAACTCTGTGAGGTAGATATTATCACCCCACATTCAGATGACAGGAAACACCTGGTGGCATCCCTGACAGATCGACGTAGTCACTGCTACCAAGTATCTATGAATGGAGAACTCTCCGCTTTGCAAAGTAGACCGAACCACTTATTCATCACTTTAATTGCTTGCTTCTGTAAGTAAGAATTCACTTAAAATCGTTATAAAATTCATGGAATTTACTAACTCATTTTTGCATGAGAGAGCTTGCAATGTTTCAATACTAACAATGGACACGGCTGCCATATGTTGAGCATTTCTAAGAGGCCAGCATTTTTTCTTGGTGCAATTTTTGCTGGTATAACATCATTTCTGCACAATGACCTTGTTGGGGGTGCTATTATTATCTCCATCTTATATATGATGTGACTGAGGCCTGTCACTATTAAGTAGAGAGGCCAAGATAGTCCCATGTCACTGCAGGTACTTACCTGGTGACTTTAGAAACTGACCTCCCTAGAAAGGTGCCCAAGGGGCTGGGCGCAGTGGCTCATGCCTGTAATCCCAGCACTTTGAGAGACTGAGGTGAGAGGATCACCTGAGGTCAGGAGTTTGAGACCAGTCTAGCCAACATGGTGAAATCCCATCTCTACTAAAAATATGAAAAATTAGCCAGGCGTAGTGGGGGGCACCTGTAATCCCAGCTGCCCAGGAGGCTGAGGCAGGAGAGTCACTGGAACCAGGAGGCAGAGACTGCAGTGAGCTGAGATCGTGCCACTGCACTCAAGCCTGGGTGACAGAGCAAGGCTCTGTCTCAAAAAAAAAAAAAAAAAAAAAGAAAGATGCCCAAGGACAGAAGGTCAGTGAGGACACTATAGAAAATGATCAACTCAGAAAGACAGAAAGCAGCTGGCCAAGTTCCTTTCCAAAGGTTTTCAGAGTTTCATAGTGTGTATGTGTGGGTTGGAACAAGCAAAATTTAGATTAAAATCTAGCAAACATTAAGGATCATATAAACAAATGTATCTATTGGCATCTATTGATGTTATAGAGGCTTACTGTTAAAACCTAACAGTGGAAACTTTGCTGTGTGCAAGTTTACTTTGGAATTTATTCTACATACACCTCTATTATGGGTTGAATTGTGTGCCACTGGCCAAATGTATTTAAGTCCTAATTCGCAGAACCTATGAATGTGACCCAATTTGGAAATAGGATCTTTGCAGATGTAGTCAAGTCAAGAAGAGGTAGGGTGGGCCCTAAGCTAATATGACTGGTGTCTTTTTAAGAAAAGGAAAATGCCACGTGAAGACAGAGACACAAAGGGAGAATGACATGTGACAACAGAGACAATACCAAGGACGGCTGGCCACCAGCAGAAGCTAGGAAGAGGCCAGAAAGGATTTTATGTAAAATCTCAGAGAGAGTAAGGCCCTGCTACCATTTTGATTTCAGATTTCTATCATCCACAACTGTAGGAGAATAAATTTGAGTTATTTTAAGCCCCCTGGTTTGTTACTGCATCTCTAGGAAACTAATACAACCTCTTGTTCACTTCTAGGAGTTTGAGAATTTTCAGCTGGGAGCGGTGGCTCATGCCTGTAATCTCAGCACTTTGGGAGGCCAAGGTGGGTGGATCACCTGAGGTCAGAAGTTCGAGACCAGCCTGGCCAACATGGTGAAACCCTGTTTCTACTAAAAATACAAAAATTAGCCGGGCATGGTGGTGGGCACCTGTAATCCCAGCTACTTGGGAAGCTGAGGCATGAGAACGGCTTGAACCTGGGAGGCAGGGGTTGCAGTCAGCCAAGATCGTGCCACTGCACTCCAGCCTGGGCAACAGAGCTAAACTCAGTCTCCAAAAAAAAAAAAAAAAAAAAAGGAGTTTGAGAATTTTCCTCAAGATTGGCAGCTTATTCAATTGTACAGACAAGACATTTTGGTTGTGTCTGTTCCCTTTGAGGTTTTCAAGCTTCAGTGTGTATAAGGGATTTATATGTAGAACTGTATGTATGTATTCTCTAGGTGGTTTCGAGGCATTTTTTGTTGTTCATTTTGGCTGTATACAATTTTCTTTCTTTTTTATTTTTTTAATTGAGAAAGTCTTGCTCTTTCACCAGGAATACAGTGGCACTATCCCAGCTCACTGCAGCTTCTGCCTCCCGGGTTCAAGTGATTCTCCTGCCTCAGCCTCCTGAGTAGCTGGGATTGCAGGCATGCACCACCAGGTCTGGCTAATTTTTGTACTTTTAGTAGAGATGGGGTTTCACCATATTGGCCAGGGTGGTCTCCAACTCTTGACCTCAAGTGATCTGTCTGCTTTGGCCTCCCAAAGTGCAGGGCTTATAGGTATGAGCCACTGTGCCCGGCCAATTTTCTTATTTAATCATTTAGAACATAACCCCTAATTTTCTTTGTATCGTGTTCTCTTTACTTTCTGTTCTGTGGACAGTTTTTCTTGGAATATTTTGCCTAGAGGCCTTGTCAACTTGTTCTTCTTTGACTATGTTACAGTAGATTTGTGTCTCTCTTTACATGTGGCACCGTTGGGACTGTTATCTCCCTTTTCCCAGGCATGGACTCTACTTCTGTCAATGAAATCTAACTTTGCTTTTTTTGTTGTCGTTAAAGCAGCCACACAGTTATTTAACTGAAACCCCCACATCCTTTTTTAAAAAAGTGTATAGTTCTTAAACCAGGTTTACCTTATTCAATACCTTTGTTAAAACCTAAATATAGGATGTCTCATTGCTCCTGTTAAATTCTACTTTGTTTTCGCTCCATCTCTGACTCTTTTTTTCTCCTCCATCTTGTTGAAATAGTCTTGCTCCTGTGAGGGCAATTTCATACTATGTATATGATCTCCAAGTATCATAAGTAATTTTGACTTTTAAAAATGTTCATTAAGGGCTGGGTGTTGTGGCTTAGGCTGTAATCCTGACACCGTGGGAGGCCAAGGCAGCAGGATTAGTTGAGTCCAGGAATTTGAGACCAGCCTGGGCAACATGGCAAGACCTCATTTCTACAAAAAAAATGTAAAAATTAGCTGGGCTTGGTGGCATGCATCTGTAGTTCCAGCTAATCTGGAGGCTGCATTCTTAAATATGTGGAAGTTCCTCTCATCCTCCAAGTTCATAATTCACAAATGCCCCCAAGTGCAACATTTTTTGGCCTTCTCACAGCCATCACTGACTGACCTTATAAGCTTTTTGCGAAAATCTGGTTGGTGAGCACTGAGTGCTTTTGAAGTTCTGTTCATAATCTGGAAGTACATACTTCCCCTTAGTTATTAAATAACCAAAAAAATTCACATTTAATAGGCGTTTTAATAGGAGATAGCCCACATCGATCCCATTAAACAGACCTGTTGGGCTCGTTTGTCATTAACTGGCACCCACATCAGACAGAGTGGGTCTCAAGGGGAGAAATGGAGGAAGTCGTCTTTCTTGCTGGTCCCTACACCAGCCGGGGTCCAACACTTTAGTCCCTAAGCAGCCTCTGAAAAGGGACCCTGTGGATATGCAGATGATAATTTTACATGGTCAATGTTGGTTTTTCCTCACATCAGTAGCTATCCACAGCAGTTCTCTGGGGACCTTTTCAAAAGCCAGTTTGAACATTTGTTCCTTAAAACACAGATTTTTATTAATAATGAGAACACGTTAAAATTGCCAAGTTGTTGATGGGAAAGCCCTCAGCAGCCTTTTAATAAACTCAAGTGAGTATAATATACATCTACAAAATAGAATTAGAGCTTTAAATTTTTAAAAATTGATTTTAGATGTAAGAATTCAGTCTCATTGACATGTAAAAATAAAAAAGCATGCAAAATGTTCAAAGTATTCTCTTTCAAAGTATCTTAAATGTGGCACATATACACCATGGAATACTATGCAGCCATAAAAAATGATGAGTTCATGTCCTTTGTAGGGACATGGATGAAATTGGAAACCATCATTCTCAGTAAACTATCGCAAGAACAAAAAACCAAACACCGCATATTCTCACTCATAGGTGGGAATTGAACAATGAGATCACATGGACACAGGAAGGGGAATATCACACTCTGGGGACTGTGGTGGGGTGGGGGGAGGGGAGAGGGATAGCATTGGGAGATATACCTAATGCTAGATGACGAGTTAGTGGGTGCAGCACACCAGCATGGCACATGTATACATATGTAACTAACCTGCACAATGTGCACATGTACCCTAAAACTTAAAGTATAATTAAAAAAAAAAAGAAATTTTTCTCCCAAGACAAAAAAAAAAATTTTTTTTTAAAAAACAAATGTTTTAAATATGCATGTCTTTTATTAGTTTTAAATACATAATTGACAAAGATTTTATATATTTAAGGTGTACAGTATAATTTGATAAACATCGTGTAATGATTATAACCATCAAATTAATTACATACCTATTACCACCCATGCTGTACATTAAATCCTCAACTTGTTTTATCTTATAACTTTAAATTTGTACTCTTTGACCAACATCTCCTCATTTCTCTCATTCCCCAGCCCTGGTCACCACCATTGTATTCTTTGTGTCTGTGAGTTTGACCTTTTTAGATTCTACATGTAAGTGAGATCATCCAGTATTTGTCTTTCTGCTGTGTTTGACTTATTGCACTTAGCACAATCTCCTCCAGGTTTATTTGTGTTGTCACAAATGACAGGATTTCCTTATTTTTTTGTGGCTGAATAATATTCCATTGCATATATATTATATACATATTATATATGTATATATGTGTGTATGTGTATATATGTTTGTATAGGTGTATATATACATATGTATATGTGTGTATATATGTATATACATACACACAATGAAATATTTTATATATCACATTTTCTTCATTCATCTGTTGATAGACACTTAGATTGGAGGTGCAGATATCTCTTTGAGATACCGATTTCATTTCCTTTGGATATATAACAAAAAGTGGGATTGCTGAATCATATGGCATGTCTATTTATAAAATTTTGAGGAACTTCTGTACTGTTTTCTGTAATGGCTGTCCCCATTTACATTCCCATCAACTATGTACAGAAATTCTCTGTTTCCACACCCTTGCCTTATTATCTCTTGCCTTTTTGATAATAGCCATTATCAAATCCTAACAGGTGTAAGGTGATAGTTCATTGTGTTTTTGATTTGCATTTCCCTGATGATTAGTGATGGTGAGCACCTTTTCATATACTTGTCGGCCATTTGTATGTCTTCTTTGGAAAAATGTCTGCTCAGAATCTTGCCCATTTTAAAATCAGGTTATTTGGCGTTGTTATTTTTTTTTTTTTTTTTTGCTGTTGAGTCGTATGAGGTCCTTATATATTTTGGATCTTAACCCCTTATCAGATATATGATTTGCAAATACTTTCTCCCATTCCATAGGTTGCCACAGAAGCACCCACTCTTCTGGGTGCTTCTCATTTCATTGATTGTTTCCTTTGCTGTGCAGAAGCTTTTTAGTGTGATGTAGTGCTGCTTGTTCATTGTTGCTTGCTCACCTGTGCTTTTGGTGTTATATCCAAATAATTGTTGCCAAGACTAAATGTCAAAGAGCTTTTGCCGTTTGCTGTTTTTCTTTTAGGAGTTTTACAGTTTCAGATTTTTACATTTAAGTTTTTAATCTATTTTGAATTAATTTTTGCATATGGTATAAAATAAGGGTCCAATTTTATTTTTTTGCATGTAGATATCCAGTTTTCCTGACACCATTTATTGAAGAGATTTTCCTGTCCCCATTGTGCAATCTTGGCATACTTTTCAAAGATCAGTTGACCATGTATGCATAGATTTATTTCTGGGCTATCTATTCTGTTTCATTGGTTTATGTGTCTGTTGTTTTATGCCAGTAACATACTGTTTTGACTACTGCAGTTTTGTAATATAGTTGAAATCAGGAAGTGTGATGCTTCCAGCTTTGCTTTTTGTCAAGATTGTTTTGGCTATTCAGGGTCTGTTGTGATTTTATACAAATTTTATGATTGTTTTTTTCTTTTTCTTTTTTTTTTTTTTTGAGATGGAGTTTCACTCTTGTTGCCCAGGCTGGAGTGCAATGGTGTGATCTCGGCTCACTGCAACCTCTGCCTCCTGGGTTCAAACGATTCTCCTGCCTCAGCCTCCCTAGTAGCTGGGATTACAGGTATGTGCCACCACCCCTGGCTAATTTTGTATTTTTAGTAGAGATGGGGTTTCTCCATGTTGGTCAGGCTGGTCTTGAACTCCCGACCTCAGGTGATCCACCCGCCTCAGCCTCCCTAAGTTCTGGGATTACAGGTGCAAGCCACCACGCCCAGCCTGTTTTTTCTATTTCTATGAAAAATGCCGTTGGAATTTTGATAGCAATTGTGTTGAATCTGTAGATTACTTTGGAAAGAATGGACATTTTAACAATATTAATGCTTCTAATCACAAAAGGTGATATATCTCTCAATTTATTTGTATTCTACAATTACTATGCCAAGAGTTGAAGGGTCAAAGGAAAAAGTGTGATATAGAAAGCTACTTCAGGAAGCTATCCAATAGAAAAACTTCTGTGTAATCATAGTATACACTTAAAAGATGTCCATCAAGACCTTTCATGTAATGGTAGAAAATTAGAACCCTTGGTATGCAACAAGATGAGAAAATTAGCATCCTAATGTCTTTTTGAAGGGGGATCATTAAATATGTTTGGTAGATTCATACAATGTGATAGTAGAATGTCATTAAAAGAAAAGAGGTAGATCTTCAAGAAGACCTTGAGAAAAAACATGCTCTAATGTGAAGAACACATGCTTCTGAACAATCTCTCTTTCATCGTTGTGTCTCAAGCTTCTGCTGAGATATTCATCTATCCAGTTTATCACTCTCCTTGTGATGACTTTTCCTGAGCTGTTTGTATTAATTTTGTCCCTAAAAGACGTTTTGTCAATAGTGCTGTTTGCTAAATATGTCCAGTTCTCACTCTTCTGGGTGCACGGTAGGATTTGGCCCTGTTATTATTACATGAAGCTAATACAGAAAGGCTGGGCTCCTGGCTAAACCCCACCCTCAAGCCTGGCACCTCAGCGCTAAGTGAAAACAGCTGACCCTGATACAGAGGGGCTGGGCTCCAGGCTAAACTCCACCTTCAAGCCTGGAACCTCAGCCCTAAGTGAAGACAGCTGACTCCATTTTTCCACCCAAATGATTGCCTGTTTGGTCTGCTACACCCCTATTCTGTGCACATAAAAAGACTTCAGCTGGCAGAGTAACAAAAAGAGGCTGATGCAAGTGATCAGGATACATGCTGCTGAGCATTGAAGACTATGGATAGACGTGGCTAACTTCAGACAGTGCAGCTTCAGGTAAAGATCACCTTCTTCCCACAGCATCTCCTTTCTAATTCCCCATCCCGCTGAGAATCACTTTTATTGCCCAGTAAAATCCTCCGCATACACTGCCCTTCAAAGAGTTCATGTGACCTGATTCTTCCTGGAAACCGAATAAGAACTCGGCTGTCAAAAAGGGCAGGTGCAGGAGGCTGTCACCCTGACCCTTCACTGAGCTGTTAACACTTAGCCATCCATGGACTAAACATTTAGTTGCTGGTGACACCCTCAAGAGCTCTTCCTCTCTGCAAAGTAAGTGGCAATGTTCAAGATGGCAGCTACTCCATCAGCTTGGGTCTCTGAGGGATTACAAGGAACAGAGTTCTACCACCCACTCATGATGTACATGTAACATGGGTATGAAATACGCTTTTGTTGTTTTAAGCCACTGAAATTTTGGTATTATATTGCAACATAACAGCCTATTCTGACTGACAATGTCTATGGTACATTCCATTATGATGTCCATTTATTCCTTTTTTTTTACGAAATCTTCCTCTATTGCCCAGCCTGGAGTACAGTGGTATGATCTTGGCTCACAGCAACCTCCACCTCCCGGGTTCAAGTGATTCTCTTGCCTCAGTCTCCCGAGTAGCTGGGATTACAGGCGCCCACCACCATGCCTGGCTAATTTTTGTATTTTTAGTAGAGGCGTCATTTCACCATGTTGGCCAGGCCAGTCTCAAACTCCTAACCTCAGGTGATCTGCCCACCTTGGCCTCTCAAAGTGTTGGGATTACAGGCATGAACCACCGCACCCGGGCCCATTTATTCCTTTTGCAAGGCCTGTTCAGATTTGCTGGCTCCCTTTATTGGTCTCTTAATTTCTATGTCTCTTTTGAAGGCATGAGAAAATTCATCTGTCCTTTCATACTACCCTTTATGCCTTCTATAGTCTATAGCTCACATGCATTGGTAGCATGCAAAATACTGCAAAACTACTGTCTCCCAGGATTCCAAGCATAAAGTAGGGCATAGATGTTATTTATTCCCAAATTCCCAGACTTATCTGGTGTGTATGTGTCTCTATAATTTCTTCACTTTTGGACTACAGTGGGAGGGACTGAATGCAGTGTTGCTTCCCAGAGATGGGGAATCTAAGGCCTATAAAATTCAAGTGCCTCCCCCAAGTTATACATCAATAAGTTATGGAACTGGGACTCAAACTCTTCGAAAGCTTCCATATTTCTTGCATCCCTTCAAACTCTTTGCCCTGCCCCAGCACAGAGAAGTTTTTCTCCTCTCTTTGTGTCAATGAAAAGGTAGCCAAGCAATACACCCCTCCCCAAACACTTGTTTATGTCAGGATCTTTGCTTTTGGAAGGTTAAAGCTGAACTTTATTTCTCATAGTGTTTCTTCTGTGACCATCCTTCCCTTCAAGAGTAAAGGTTAAGGTCTTGTTTGAACAGAAGAGTAAAAAAGGGGAAAACATCAACCTTCTGATACAGAGAAACAGAAATAAAATGAAACAGTCCACTGATTAATTCTTCAACATTTTATCTTGCCATAAAATGGACAAATAAAATGATTCGTCCTGCTTGGCTGGGTCTTGGCTCTCTTCCTATCTCATTGGTTGTTCCTTCTCAACCTCTTCCAGTCATTCCTCTCCACAACCTCTTCTTGGAGGGCCTCAGGCTATCTTTGGCTCTCTTATCAATCTCTACTTCTGCTCTAGGGATTCTTGTTCAATCTCATGGCCTTAAAGTACCTTCATATGCCATCAACTCCCAAGTTTATATCTCCTGCTCAGGACCTCACCTCTGAAGTCTTCTATTTGGCATCCTCATCTGGCTGTCTAATAGACCTCTCAAACCCAATGTGTACAAAACAAACTGTTGATCTTCCTCCCATAAACTTGCTACACTTACATATTCCCCAATGTTTCAGTTGCTTAGCTGTAAACATTGGTATCATTCTCGATTTCTTTCTTTATGCCATACCCTACATTCAAAACATCAACAAATCTTGATGACACTATCTTAAAAACCTATCCAGAATCTGACTACTTCTCACCCCTTCCACTTCAACCTCCCTGGTCCAAGCTGTTGTCATTTCTTGCTTACGTTATTGCAAAAATCTACCAATTGATCTCTCTGCTTCCAGTCTTGCTTACCCCGAAGAGCCTATTCTCAAACAGCAGCTAGAGTTGTCCTGTTGAAACATATAAGTTAGATTGTGTCACATTTCTGCTCAAAATTCCCCATTGATATCCCATCTGACTCAGTAGAAGCTCAAGTTTTTACAACAGCTTACACGGCCTTACCTAATCCACACTCCTGTTTCCTGGCTGACCTTCTTTCCTTCTCCTCTTCTGTTCTATCATTCTGCTGTAGACACACAAGCTTCCTCTCTGTTCCTCAAAATGCCAGTCACACCTGGAATGCTCTTCTCTCAGAAATCTGCAAGGCTTACTCCTTCTTTTCTGCTAAGTCTTTGCTGAAATGAGACCTACCTTGAACTTTCCACTTAAAATTGCAAACCCTTCCCGATTGCCTTCATTACTCCTATCTGTTATTTTCCATAGCACTCATCACCATCTAACATACCACATGATTCATTATTATATTTATTGTTTACTATTGGTCTCCCCAGAGTAGAATGTAAGCTCCATGAAAACAGATAATTTTGTCTTTTTTGTTCATTGTTGTTTCCATAGCACCTAGAATCCTGCCTACACATAGAAGATGGTCAATAATGATTGTAGGGTGATAAATGAATCAAAATTATCTAGGCTTGTTCTTCCCTGATACTTTTACTATTATTATTAAAATATTTTCCTTTTTTTTTTTTTTTTTAAATTGAGACAGAGTCTCACTCTGTCATCCAGGCTGGAATGCAGTAGTGTGATCTTGGCTCTCTGCCTCCCAGGTTCAAGTGAGTCTCCAGCCTCAGACTCTAGAGTAGCTGGAATTATAGGCATCTGCCACCACACCTGGCTGATTTTTGTATTTTTAGTAGAAATGGAGTTTTGCCATGTTGGCTAGGCTGGTCTCGAACTCCTGGCTTCAAGCGATCCACCCACTTCAGCCTCTCAAAGTGCTGGGATTACAGGCATGAGCCACTGCACCCGGCCAGCCTTCCTTCTTTTCTTAATGTTCTCCGCTGGGTTCATTCTATCTGAACTCTATTAGAACTGGTCTTCCATCCTTAGGAGACTTCTGTTTTCTCATATCCCAATGAGCTAGAGCTGTGCTTCTCAAACTTCAATGTACCCACATATTACCCGCATGTTTGTTAAAACGCAAATTCTGATTCGGTAGGTCTGGGTGAGGCCCGAAATTCTGCATTTCTAACAAGTGACACCATCACTGCTGCTCTGTGGGCCACACTTTGAGTAGCAAGGAGGAGTCTGTTTAAAATCTGTCTTAGCACTTTTCCTGCTGTTTTCTGGAAGCCTGGCTTGAATAGGGAGGGCTCTCGCCACCAGCCATATCCATTGCATTAAACGTTGGTATAATTCTCTATTGTCTTTTCCCTCCAATTTTATATTTGACTTATGTTTTTGGTTCTTCTCCCTGTTGCTTCTCTGGCTGTCAGGAGCTGGGGTTGTGCCACTGAAAAAGGGTTGCACGTGTAATTCATTATGATAATGAAATCTTTCATCATTGTGCAATTAAGAATGGGCATGTCTGGTTTTTACTCTGGGACAACAGCATGGAAGGAACTATTTAAATTAGTGAAAAAATATTAACAGTGAAAAATATAAGTAACACAGGGTTGCTGGTGAGCAAAATCCCATTGTGTGTGGCACATGTGTGTCTGTGCATGTTATGCCTGACAATGACAAATGTAGCAATTGTTCCCAGTGTTGATTTGCTGGCTGTCACCCATGCTGATTTCTGTCTGCTAGTGAGGTGGGTGTGGAAGGAGGAGTAATGAGAACCATTATGCTCTTCAAAGATCCCTTTCTCTATAGTGCTGAGAAAGGTCTTGGAGGCCTGGCAGGGATAGTAGATAAACATAGTAGCTAGGGACCTTGAGTTGATCATCAAAGCTCCCATTAGTGCAAGGGGTGGAACTTTCCTTAATAGAAATTACTGCAAATGGATATAGGAGTCATGGGGGTAATTGACTAACCAAGGCATAAGCATGTTTGCAGAAAGGAAAAGCCACAAAACAGTATGCCTTTGCCCATTAGCCCCAAAATAAAAGTGAGTGGCAATTGCTGGCAATCGATCTTGGACCAAGAGTAGAGCTCTTCAGGATGTCAAATTGCATGGAAATTATAACAAGGATGCTAATGTTTATTGAATCTGGTGGACTGTGTCGTTTATGAGTTGGGTGATTTTCCAAGAAATTGTAGTTTACTTATCTTCAGCTTTCTGTGGTTGAACCGTCTTGGTGATACACCTTGGGGGAAGCTGTCTTCTGGAGCTCCTTTGAGAATGCTCTGCTATTCTTTTTACTGCTGGATTTGAAACTTGACTCAGCTTGATGGCCTGGAATTTTACAACGTAAACAATAGTGCTACCCAGTCATGTCTCAACAGCCTTCTGATGGAGAAGTAGATGGAATGTTCTTTCAGGAAATCAACTTCATGAAGCTCAGCTCTATGCTCAAATGTGGTTCCCAGCCCCTTGGGTTGTGTCTGACTCTCAGTGGAGAGCCAGGTACTCTGATTCTTGTCTTCATTGGTTGAGGTGACTTTGATAAAGTTCTCTATCCTTGCTGAACCGGAGTCATGTCTCTCCTGAAGATGGGAAAACTATACTTAGTATGTTCCGCTAGCTTTGAGGATTAGGCATCATCATTTTTGGAAATCAGGGGCTTGGGGTTTGAACACAAAGCATTGATTTGGTATCGCCTCATGAAAACAACATATTTTGAACATCTAGACCTTTTTTGCCACCATTAAAAAATCCCATCCCTAGACCAACAACCCTGCATTAAGCAGCAGGCTTTGTGCACTGGACCCTGTACAGCTCAAGCTCTTTAAATATTTACAGTTGGAACCCAGATGTGGCAGGCCTCCTGGGGCTGGCTGGTGCTCAGACCGTTCCCTAAGGTCTTTGGGGCATGAACAAGAATGGAATTTTACTGAAGATTTCAAGAGAAAACAGGGAATATGGTTGGCATCATAGACCACACAATAGAAAGCTAATAAAGCTCTGTCCTCTGCCAGCCACCTGTCTCTTAATCCAAACAGCCTCTCAGGACTCTCCTGTCCAGGCTATTCAGCTTGTGTCTGTAACTTATATGCCCCATTCAGCTAAACCAAGCCCTGGAATTAGTCTTAGAGTGATCATCAAATGCCTCTTGGAAATCTCCTCCCCATCGAAGCTTCTGATTTATTCACCAAGTTAACTTTATTGAGGGTGGGTGAGTTCACCTACTAAGTAAAGATTTCCTCTATGTTGTTATATACCCTGTCCATTTCTATAGAGGACTGTGAACCTTTTTAAGCACTCCAGGTCTACGTGAAAACAAAACTGAATTGCATAGCCTAATACAAGGCATCCTTCATTTCGTTACTGATCATCCTGTTGCCTTCTGGTCTCTCCCTCAAGAGAGTCCTTCAGTCACCCCCTGAAGTAGGGAAAAATGGTTTTGTGTTCACCTCACCTTTCTTTAACCTGTCGGTAGCCCCCTTCCTGTTCCCCTGTTGAGCCACAACAGCTAGCCTTGTTCTTCCTGGAAGAAGTCACTCAGATTCTCTCCCTCTCCAGGATTTCTTCACCCCCACCCCCAGCCTTGCTGTGACACTTGAAAGGTGATAATGAATGACAATGATGTAATGTGTCACTGCTGCAAGGCTATTTGCATTCAAATAAGGACTCTGGCAGTTGCATGATCTGAACCCAAAAGAGTGACTCCTTCTTAGGGATAATTGCAGTCTTTGGGGCAGGCCAACGAAGCCAGGGTTTGGCCTAACTAACATTGTCTATGGATGCCCTTGCACCTCGGTGAGGGCTAGATGCACTGCGTGAGATGGGTGGATGAGGGAGAAGTGAAAAAACACATTTGACATTACAATATGATTCTATGTTAAATGGCTTGTATGAACTGCTCTGCAATCACAGGGTACAAATATCATCACATCTCTTTGACTACCGTGTCCGCTGCTATATCCTTAATGTTTTAAATAGTGCCTGGCACATAGTGAATGCTCAATAATTATTTGGGAATTGGATGCATGGATGGATAGATAGATGATTTAGTTTTCCAACAGATTGCTTAATCTCTTCCTCACAAACGGACTCCAAATATAGTTCTCTTGAGACTTCCAGTCCTGAAAATGTCTATGAATTCCAGGATATTTTCTTAATCTCAAAAGAACTGGTTGGGGCAGCCAGTCTTCTTTTGATACCAGGGGAATCTGGGGAGAAATCCCTATGCTGTCTCGGCTGTTTCTTTCTTGCTGCCAGAGGGTGTCGCTGGTGAAGCTGAATTCTGCACGGTCCCATAGGCTCGTTCATCTGAGAGGAGCCTTCAGTGGTTCTCCAGGGAGGACATTCCACTTCTTGTGGGCTAGACTGGGCCATGCGTACTGAGAGCTCTGGCTGCCAAGACATCAGATTTGATCCTCTCCTTGAGTTCAGGTGCACAGCCACATCCCAGGGCACAGGCCAACCCTAGGAGGCTGGTGCAAGACTAGTCTTAGCTTCCTGCACTCACAAACCCAGAATGCTTGACCCTCTTTCTGGAGATCATTCTCCCAAGGAAGCCTATTTCAGGGGTTCAAGGAGCATTTTCAACCCCTCCCCTTGGCGTGACATGGCTAGAAACTTCTTTTACTAAATAGAATCAGTAGTGGTAACAGTAGTAGTGGTAGTGATGCCAATTATGTTATGTGAGGCACCATACAAGAATGTAATCCTTACAATGATCCCATGATATAGATATTCTCATTATCCCCACTATAGAGATGAAGAAATCTGAGCACAAAGAAGTTATTTGCCCAGGGTTTCCACTGTACTAAAGAATGTCATAAAGATTAAGATACAGGCTGCATACTTTCAGAGTGTGTGCACCTAAATACTCCATAATGATTTTCACAGCAAGCCTATGAGATAGTATTAATGGTTCCATTTAACAGATGAGGAAACTGAGGCTTAGACACTCTCAGATGATTTGAAGCACTGTAGAAAACAGGATTCTGCTCTTGGACAACATAGAAGGATCATGTGGTTTATTCATACCTTTGGTAGCAAGGTACCCAGAGGCTATGGCCCTGAGATTCCTGCCCTTAGATGTGTCCCCGGTGTTTATTAATTGATCTTACAATAATGCATGGATGCAGATGCCCCCATTTGAGACCCTTCCTCTGAACCTTGCCTTAGAAGTATCACTAGGTAGAAAAGATCCCACTAAAACCCCCATAAAACAATAACAAAAACATCTGTCCAACCCTACTAAGGTCAGACATGAATATATCAGACCTTACAACACCTTGAGAGAAAAGGCTGTACCAAGATTTGAGGTCCAGCCTGTACCTTAATTCGAAATTGAATTTTCCCTCCTATACCTATAATTTTAATTTAATTTAAAACTGAGCTAAGTCTTTGGGGGCAAAGTGAGACAATTTCTTTCTCTGAAAGAGAAAAGGCATTTAGGAGAAAAGCTTTTTTTTTTTTAATTAAAATTTAAACTTTAGATTCAGGGGGTATATACACAGGTTCATTATAGGGGTAGATTGCATAATGCTGAGGTTTGGACTTCTATTGATCCCATCACCCAGATAGTGAACAGAGCACCCAATAGGAAGTTTTTCAGCCCTTGCCCCTCTCCCTCCCTCCCTCCTTTTGGAGTCCCCATTGTCTGTTGTTCCCATCTTTGTTTGCATGTACTCAAGGTTTAGCTCCCACTTATAAGTGAGAACATGTGATATTTGACTTTTGTTTCTGCATTAATTCACTTGGAATAATGGCCTCCAGCTGCACCCATGTTACTGTGAAGGACATGATTTTGTTCTTTTTTATGGCCAAGTAGTATTCTGTGGTGTATATGTACTACTTTATCCAATCCACCATTGATAGACACCCAGGTTGGCTTCGTGTCTTTGCTATTGTAGATAGTGCTGCTATGAACATATGAATGCATGTGTCTTTTTCTTTGTTTTGTTTGCAGAAAGGATCTTGTTTTGTCACCCAGACTGGAGTGCAATGGTGAGATCATAACTTGCTGCAGACTTGATCTCTTGGGCTCAAGTGATCCCCCTGCTTCAGCCTCCCTAGTAGCTGGGACTACAGGCATGTACCACCACGCCTGACTATTTCTTTAATTTTTATTTTTAGTAGAGATGAGGTCTCACTAAGTTGCCCAGGCTGGTCTTGAACTCCTGAACTCAAGTGATCCTCTTGCCTAGGCATCCCAAAGCATTGGGATTATAAGCATGAGCCACTACGCCCAGCCTCGTGTCTTTTTGGTAGAACAATTTATTTTTCTTTGGGTATATACCCACTGATGGGGTTGCTGGGTTGAATGGTTATTCTATTTTTAGTTCTTTGAGAAATAGGAGAAAAGTCTTGGAGGGCACCTTCAAAGCTTTGCTTCTAAAGGGCCCATGAGCTAATCCTAAACAGCAAAAGTGTGTGTGGCACTTCTCAGCCTTTATAAAAATAAGATCCCTCTTTGGGAAGCATAAGAAAAAATCCTACCACCAGTTCTCACCCAGTGATGCTGTATGCTGGGAATCTTATCCCTTTTAAGAGGAGATTCATTTTTTCTGCATCTTCGGAAACCAAGAAGATTGAGTTAAGTTTTACTGTCAGAAATTTATCTTGGCAAAGCAGATTTGCTTTCATTTTCTAAATAAAGTGTATTAACCAGTCAGAGAGATTAATTTAATGCTAGTGATTAAACTTGGATTTTTTTTTAAAGAAGAACCCCTGTAAGATTGTAAAGAATAACATAGAGTTTTGCTTAATGCTTGGCACATTGTAAGCATTTGATAAGTATTAGGTGGTACTATTCTTGTTATTGCTGCTATTATCATTATTAGCAGTGGAGGTTCTTGGCTGGCAATCCAATCCTAGCTGCAGATCTGTACTGTGAAAAAGAAATGGAGTTTAGTAATAATGCATATAAAGTGCTTTGTATAGTCTCTGGCACAAGGTAAGCATTTAGTAAACTCAAAGCAAATTTCTAAAGTGTAAATTTATTAGGGTAGGTTAAGTTGCTGTAAAAGAGACCCAAACTTAGTGACTCAAATAAAAGTAAATTTATTTCTCACTTACATTACAAGACCACATTGATATAGTTTGGATGTTTTGTCCCTTCCAAATCTTACATGAAATGTGATCTCCAATGTTGGAGGTAGGGCCTGGTGGGAGGTGTTTGAGTCATGGAGTGGATCCCTCATAATTGGTTTGGTGCCATCTCCAAGGTAATAAGTGAGTTCTCGCTCTGAATTCACACTAGATTTTGTTGTTTAAAGAGCCTGACACCTCCTGTCTGCTCACGCTCTCTCTCTCTCTCACTCTCTCGTGTGCGTGCTCTCTCCCTCCATCCCTCGCTATGTGATACACCTGTTCCGCCTTTGCCTTCCACCATGATTAGAAGCTTCCTGAAGTCTCACCAGGAGCAGATGCTGGAGCCATGCTTGTACAGCCTGCAGAACCAGGCTTTTCTTTATAAATTGCTTAGTCTCAGGTATTCCTTTATAGCGATGCAAAATGGACTAACCTCTTTTCTTTATAAATTGCTTAGTCTCAGGTATTCCTTTATAGTGATGCAAAATGGACTAACATACATGTGAATGTTCCAAGTGTTAGAGGAAACTTTTCAGACAATTTGGTTGTGAGCATGTACTAAAGTTTTATTATGATCATGTGTAGAAGGGAAATGGACCTGAGAAGTCCACCTCCGCAATTCACTTTTGGCAGGGACATTTTATAGGAAAAGAGGATGGTTAGATAATCATTGTTAGACTAGACACAGAAAGAAAAGAAAGTCTGGTTAAAGGTCACTAGGCTCTTGATTGACAGTTGGCCACTGAGTGTGTGGGTAATTGGGCATGTAGGTAATTGGTTTTCCAGAGCAAACCTTAATCCTATTAAAGTTCACAGAAAATTGCTTAAGCATTTTATCAGGAATGTTAACGTCTTAGAAGGTTGTGAAGCAAAAAGATTTTTCTCTCCCAGGTCAAATTTGCAACAATTTTTATTATGTTTTATTATGTTGCAAACCTGACCTGCCCTGGATCACTCTGCCCCATTCAGTAATTCAGGACCCTGGTTGATGGCAGTGCTGCCATTTTAAGTATTGGCTTTAACATCCTTCTCATCACTGTCAGCAGCCCGTGAGAAGGGGAAAAAGAACAGATCCAGCAACAGAGATTTCTTCTTAAGCAAGTGAGCCAGAAGTTATACTTCTATTCGTACATCACGGAGAGCTTAGTTATGTGGCCAAGAAGGTGCACAGAGGGATGAGAAATGCAATTCCTGACTGGTCACCCAAGTTCTAGCTGCAGAGCTTTTACTATATGTGAGAAATGGAGTTGGAAACAGCCAGTGGTCTCTGCCATAGCAAGGGTGTGTGCAGCCTTTTTGTTCCCGATGCCCTCCTGTAGCAGGAATTGGCAAACTGGCCTGCAGGCCAAATCGTATTCACAACCTGTTTTGTAAATAAAGTTTCATTAAAACCCAGACATGCTTATTCATATATTCTCGGTAGCTGATTTCATGCTACAATGACAGAATTGAGTAGCTGAGATAGAGAGCCCATGGCCTGCAAAGCCTGAAATATTTACTATTTGGTCCTTCGTAGAAAAAGTTCACCAACCCCTGTTCTAGAGAGGGTTCTGAACTGCCCACAAAAGTAGAATTGCTGGGTCAAAGGGTATGTGCATTTATAATTTTAGTAGATAGTGTCCTTCATACTTGCACCAGTAGTGTGTAAGATTGCCTGTTCTCCAGCATCTTCAACAACACAGAGAGTGGGCCAGGTGTGGTGGCTCACGCCTGTAATCCCAGCACTTTGGGAGGCTGAGGCAGGAGGATTGTTTGAGGCCAGGAGTTTGAAACCAGCTTGAGCAACATAGTGAGATCCCCCTCTATGAAAAATTGAAAAAATTTAGCTGGGTGTGGTGGTACGCTCCTGTACTCCTAGCTATATAGGAAGCTGAGGCTGGAGGATCACTTGAGCCCAGGAGTTTGAGGCTGCAGTGAGCCATGATTGTGCCACTGCACTCCAGTCTGGACAAGAGAGCAATACCCCTATCTCTAAAAACAAACAAGCAAGCAAACAACAGTGATTCTAAACTTTTCCATGTGGTCAATTTGATAGATGAAAAATGGAACTTCATTATAGTTTTAATTGTACTTATCATTAGTAAGGTTAAGCATTTCATATTATGACTGAAACTAATCATGCTTTAAGAGCATTTTTACTTTTTTTCTGTGGATTGTCTGCTTGTATCCTTTGCACATTTATTAGCAAATATTAAGTTGTTGATTTTGCATAAAATTTCTAGTTCTTTATGTGCTAGGGAATTAAGCCACTGTGATATTAATTGCACAAAACTACGTCTTTTTTTGGCCATGTATTCTTTTGACTTATGGAGGTTTTTGGTGTGCAAAAATGTTTTATTTTTGTGCAGTCAAACTTAAGTCTTTTCTTCCCTGACTTCTGATTTACATGTCATGCTTAGAGGGCCTTCCTCATTCCAAGATCATACAAACATTTCTTCTATTTTTTCTAATAATTTTGTGGTTTTCATTTTTTACATTTAAATATTTACTCCATCTGTAATTTATTTTGTTTTAAGTTTAGAGGAATGGATTCAATTTTTTTTCTCCATATGGCTACCCATTGTGTGAATGCATTTCTTTAATAACATATTAAATTTTGGTATGCTTTGGGGGTCTATTACTGGATTATTCCATTGACATTTCTATTTATGGGGCAGTATTATGTTGCTTTAATTAATGTAGCTTTATATTATATTTTAATATTTGGCAAGGCTAATTTTCCCTCATTGTTTTTTTTAAGTATAATTTTTCTGGCTAGTTTTACTTACTTATTTTTCCATAAGAAAATAGCTAAAAAATACTGCTGATAATTTTTATTTGGAGTGCATTAAATTTATATATTAACTTGGCGGAATGTTTGTGATGTTGATGTTGAGTTCTTAAGCATGGATGGAATCTACCTTTCCATTTGAAGAGCTTATTTTGTTTTAAAATTACCTTTTTAGTTGTTGACTGCATTTCTCTGACTGTGAGAAATTTCTGAGGCTGGACCACCTAATTAATTTCTTTCTTTTTTTTTTTTTTTTTGAGATGGAGTCTCGCTCTGTCACCCAGGCTGGAGTGCAGTGGTGCTATCTCAGCTCACTGCAAGCTCTGCCTCCCGGGTTCACACCATTCTCCTGCCTCAGCCTCTCGAGTAGCTGGGATTACAGGCGCCTGCCACCACGCCCGGCTAATTTTTTGTATTTTTAGTAGAGATGGGGTTTCACCGTGTTAGCCAGGATGGTCTCGATCTCCTGATCTCGTGATCTGCCTGCCTCGGCCTCCCAAAGTGCTGGGATTACAGGCGTGAGCCACCGCGCCCAGCATTTATTTATTTATTTATTTATTTTATTTATTTTTTTTGAGATGGATTTTTGCTCTTGTCACCCAAGTTGGAGTGCAGTGGTGCAATCTTGGTTCACTGCAACTTCCACCTCTTGGGTTCAAGCGATTCTCCTGCCTCAGCCTCCGAGGTAGCTGGGATTACACGCATGCACCACCACTTCTGGCTAATTCTGTATTTTTAGTAGAGGTGGAGTTTCATCATGTTGGCCAGGCTGGTCTTGAACTCTTGACCTCAAGTGATCAGCTCACCTCAGCCTCCCAAAGTGTTGTGATTGCAGGTGTGAGCCACCGTGCCTGGCCAATTCATTTCTTAAGCTGTTTTAAGAAAGTTACTGTTAAGTTACTGTTTTAATTGCTGAGATGTGACCTAGTCCACAAGTTCAGAAAATCTGGGAGCTAACCACTTGCTTGTCCAATTTGATCACTAGAGCAAACACATCTTATGGTAGGAAATGATAAATGTGTGGATTTTTACTGCCTTGCTATCTGTGTGTTTTCAGGTGATTGCATCACAGAACAGGGGCCAGGGAAGCATGACACAGTGGGAGGAGAATGAGATCTGGAGCACAGATCTGGAAAAAGTATTGGTTCAATCTCTGAACTATGGAAAATTCTTTCCATAGGTTGAGTTTTCAGGAAGCACCCTGTGAGCTGGATTTGTAAATCTCCGAGGCACAGGCAGTAGTGTGAAGTGAGCCGAGGAAGGGAGGAGGGCCGTTACAGCAAGTGCCATGGAACAGCTTATTTCTGTGAGAAAGTGGCTCAGTTGCTCTCTGGATCTCTGGGAGAAAGTGCAGAACGAGCCTCATAGTTGCCCCCCCTAAGGGCCAAAGCCTCTGGAGTATTTACCAACTCCCATTTGTCATTGAGGACTGCACCTGGTGCCATCAACCCCCAGGAACCTCTAGCTTGCCTTGAGCATGAGTGCAGCTATGATTGGCAAAAGCCTCAGGCAGAGAGTTGAAGACTCTCCCAGTTGGAAGTCATCATCTGCATGGAACAGTGAAGAAGAGGCTGTCTTAAAAGAAATGTAAATTTCTGCATCCTAAGCCACCAGCTACCAGTCTCTGCTGGAGGAGGATTAAGACAGTTAATTTTTGGTTATTTTATACAGTCTACACTGCTTTCTTAGGAAGTTCTGCCTTCACACTCACCTGAGTGGGTATGTCTATGTTCCACGCCTTAAAACTCTGTCTTCCGATTTTTTTTTTTTTTTTTTTTTTTTTTTTTTTTTTTTAAGACAGGGTCTCACTCCACCTAGGCTGCAGTGCAGCGGCGTAATCACGGGTCACTGCAGCCACAACTTCCCCAGGCTCAGGCTATCCTGCTGCCTCAGCCTCTTGAGTAGCTGGAACTACAGGCGTGTGCCACCATGTCTGGCTAGTTTTTGTATTTTTTGTAGAGATGGGGGTCTCGCCATGTTGCCTAGGCTGGTCTCGAATTCCTGGGCTCAAGCAGCCTACAGCCTCCCAAAGTGCTGGGATTACAGGCATGAAGTATCATACCCAGCCTTCTCTTCCCATTCTTATTCCCACCACATTGATTCTGTACTTGTCTCAAAGTTGGCATTGTCTATGGGCTTGTCAATAACCCACGACTTGTTACTAGAATTTGTCTCAATTCAAACAAGCAGGGCAGGCCAGGTTCCTTTTTTGCGATATGGAACTGAAAAATAAGGATCCCATTACCAGTTAGCTGTAGGAGCTAGAATTAAAATGTTAACATATGAAGAGAGGAACACATGAATGATGCAGAAATAATGAGGAAGGTTATTGTTAGAGGAATATAAAGAACAAAAAAGAGAGGGTTAAGAGGCCCAGCCCTAGATGTGCCTTGTTTCTTGCCTTTCTTGAGTGTGGTTGTTCAAATTTTTCTGCTTTCCCATGAGGCCTTCCTGCCTTCCTGCCTTCTTGCCTTCCTGCCTGCCTTGCCTGCCTTGCCTGCCTTCCCCTTCGCCTTTCCCTTCACCTTCCCCTTCCTTCTTTCATTTTGGGACAGGGTCTCCCTCTGTCACCCAGGCTGGAGTGCAGTGATGTGATCATAACTCATTGCAGCCTCGACCTCCTGGGCTCAAGCGATCCTCCTGTCTCAGCCTCCCTAGCAGCTGGAACTACAGGCATGCGCCACCAAGGCTAGCTAATTTTTTTCTTATTTTTTTGCAGAGATAAGGTTTTGTCACGTTGCCCAGGCTGATCTCAAACTCCTGGGCTCAAGTGATCCACCTGCCTCGGCCTCCCAGAGTGCTGGAATTATAGGTGTGAGCCACTGTGCCGGGTCCCATGAGGCATTTTTTTTTTTCTTACAACCACCTCCACCCTTTACTTGAGTTAATATGAGTGAGTTACTGCCATTTGTCTTGGTGGAAAACACATTGTCAGAGAAGTGGGGGATAGTTCTCTAAGAGTGACTCATGTCCCTCTTCCATTTCTGCTATCCCATCTCCCTCTGCCATGTCTGAGGGCAGCAAATCTGCCAGTCTCCTCCCTACAACTGTTTGTTTGTTTTTATTTTTTGAGATGGAGTCTCGCTCTGTCACCCAGGCTGGAGTGCAATGGTGTGATCTTGGCTCACTGCAACCTCTGCCTCCCGGGTTCAAGCGATTCTCCCGCCTCAGCCTCCTGAATAGCTGGGATTACAGGCACCCGCCATCATGCCCGGCTAATTAACTGTTATATTATAACTACTATGAAAACGTCCAAGGAAATAAGATCCTGAGAAAATGCTAGTCATTAAGTGGAACAGGCTTGTCCTTCCCAGAACAGGCAGTGATAACATCATACAGCTCACTCTATAAGGAAGCTGAATTTTCACCCTCTCAAGAAAAGAGGAAACCTGATTAAATCCTTTATAGTCATAAGCCCTTGTTCTTTATAAATCAGTTGTGACAGTAAGGAGGTTAGAGGGAGGAAGTTTTAGAAAATTTCCTTTAATGAAACTTGATGGAATCCCCTCACCTGGGTTTTTACTGACTTGAGCTGCATTGAGGAACACAGTGTCACCTACCATCCACAGAAGAGGGATAGTGATCAAGTAAAAACAGACAAAATGAGTCAGGAGGCCTAACTCGATCCATTCACACTAAACACAGTATGACCCACAATCAGGCCACATTAAATATATGTTCCAGCAACACCTCTACAGATACTTACTGAACGTCTTTCATGTCCAGGCTCTGCGCCAGGTGTCAACAACACAGAAGTGAGTAAGGCAGACGTGTTCCTGCGCTGAGAGAATGCGAGTCCTTGGGGGAAGATGGACACTGATTCATAAGCATCTCGAGTGTTACTGGAGGGAAGGGCATGAGAGCAGGTCAGGGAAGGCCTCCTCAAGAAACTTTTTTTAAAAGCTGAGATGAAGAATGAGCAGGGGCAAGAGGCTTTAGGAATAAGGTTACTATGTAGAGGAAAAGGGCAGTCTCCTATTGGGTTTCATGTGATGATTCCTTTGTGCAGCTAATGCCCCACCTCTAACCTCCCACGGTGCTCTCCGTTCTCAACAGCAGGTCACCCATTTTTGGAGTAGTGGGTAGTTTTTGATCACCTGTTTGTTCTTTGCAACAGATGCTGTTGGTGCCTGCATACCTCCCCTTAGCCCTCCATAGAGAACTTCTGCAGACAGCTTCCTTCCAGGCCCAGGGCCATCCTGCATCTGCCTGCATGGGTTTGCCATCTGCAGAGACTAAGGGGGCCAAGTGGGGGTAGGCCAGAGGTATAGGAGAGTTGGCAGCCCTTGTGGATTCTCTATTGATGTGGGACAAGAGTTGGAGGATAAATACCCCAGCTTCCTCACCCTCCAGTGGGACAATTCTCGGGTGTGTTTTTGAAGCCTCTCAGAAGATCCCAAATGGGGCAGAGGACCCAGCTACCTTAGTAAGATGTCTTTAATTGGCTCTCCTCCCTTCCTGCCTGCTTTCTGCTTCACTTCCTCACAGTGCTTCCTGGAATCACCTTCATAAACATGTCCTGAAATCCTCACCTCAGCATCTGCTTTGGAGGGGGAGCCACCCTGAGACAGTCTTCAAGCTCTGTATGTGGCTTTCAAGCTGATTGTCATTATTGTGTCTTTTGCTTGGGATTCCTGGAGCAGAAAGGAAGGGGTGGGGGGATGAGAACTTACCTTTTCAGATACCCTGTTCATCTCATAATCATAAGGCTGGGGGTTTGTGTGTGTGTGTGTGTATGTGTGTGTGTGTCTGTCTGTTTGATTAAAAGTAGATCCTCATTAGCTATTGGAAAGTAGTGTGCCAAGAAGGGAAGAGGGATCACCAGTGTGAATGTTGCTGAGAGAAGAAGGAAGATAAAGATTACGGAATAGCCAGGCACAGTGGCTCACACCTGTAATCCCAGCACTTTGGGAAGCTGAGGCAGGCAGATCACCTGAGGTTGGGAGTTCAAGACCAGCCTGACCAACATGGAGAAACCCCATCTCTACTAAAAATACAAAATTTGTGGGGTGTGGTGGCACATGCCTGTAATCCCAGCCACTTGGGAGGCTGAGGCAGGAGAATCACTTAAACCCAGGAGGTGGAGGTTGCAGTGAGCCGAGATTGCACCATTGCACTCCAGCCTGGGTAACAAGAGTGAAACTCCATCTCAAAAAAAAAAAAAAAAAAAAAAGAAAGAAAAAGGAAAAAAAAAAGATTACGGAATGATCTTTGGATTTAGTGAGGAGATCTTTGGTTGCACTCATATGGGCTACTTTCATGGAATGTTGGTGCCAAACACATTGGAATGAATTAGTGATTATCTCTGATTGTTTTTCAGCCTTCCTCCTTCTTACACAAACGCAAAGTCACTGAAAGCAAATTTATCTAGTTTGGTTTTTTAGTAAGTGGAGATTGAAACCAAAGATCAATATCATTTGACAGATGGTGGCCATGAACCAGTATTGAAACATCTGCCCAGTTCCAACTATCCTCTGATTCCCATCTTCTTACCATCACCTCCTGGCAGCGGGCTAGGATGCAATGTTAACTTTTAAAAACATATTTTTGCATGGGAAATAACGGGAAGGGATAATGTACTTGATTTTCTTTTCATACTGCCTAATTGTCTTCAAGTAACATCAAAACTTGGAATTCTAGCTTAGAAAGTAGAAAACAAAAAAAAAAGGAGAGATCCTCTTTAGGAGGCTGTTAAGGACATCTATCTCAGCGATTCTAAGCGAAACTTCTCCAGAAGTCTTAGCCTGAAAAGTAAAGAACAAGGCAGATAAACCCAAGGGGATGAGCCCTGACCTGAGAGTCTAGGGACCTGAGATCGGGTGCTATAATAGAGTCACTCCCTGTGTGACCTGGGGCAGGAGACTCTTCCTTTATGGGCCTTGGTTTCCTCATCTATGAAGTGGCGAGGTTGAACTAAGTGGACTTTGGCATCAAGATTCTAGGGTAATCTATTTCATCAATTGATGAATCTGTTGATGAATCAACTTCATTGGCTGCAAGCTCTTCTTTCAAGGTCCCGCTCAGGATCTGTCAGGTGGGGGAGGAAATGGAAAGTGGGGTGGGCTCTTACTCATTCACAGATAGTCCTGGGAGCCTACTGTGTGCCAGGGTCTGTTCTAGGCATTGAGGGTGGAGAGGTGAACAAGAGAGTCTCAGCTACCCACCCTAATTCAACCAAAGAAGGGCTTCAATGAAGAGAGGGTTTGGAGGGTTTTTTTTTTTTTTTTTAAATAAAACAGTAGAAAATAAGTCTTCCTCTCACGTCATTATAGTTGGCATTTTATTGACACTTGAGTGCTGGTATTTATTTATTTTTAAAATTAGATTAACCATTTACTCTTTAGCAGGAAACAGAGCCTTGTTGAAAAATAACACTCAAGATAGGGGCATTATGGTGGGAAAAATCTCGGTACTTTGGGTGCTGTCCTGGAGAGTGAGATGGGTTGGGTAATTACGGCAGAAGGCTCAGGGCAGTATAAAGATGTGTGTGCCTTATTCTGGGCAGGAAGAGGGGTCTGTTCACAGGTAGAGGAAGGCTCCTTATCTTGGGCCTCCCAGTTTTGCCAATGGCTGGCCCTAAAGTTACCAGTCAGGTCACAAGGCTGTTTTCTATAAATGGGGATGGAGGTGGGGAGGGGGTGAAAATAGAAATGATTTATTGTCCTAAAGCAACAGATCTGGGCATAGGCCCAGTGCTACTGAAAGGGTCCTTTTCATGATGCGTGGGCAACTCTCTTGGCTTCCTAAGTCATCAGAGAGGCGATTGGAATGACTTTTAAACATGGACCCTGTCAAATGATGCAAAAGTCCCATGATTTACAACCCCCCAAAGTTTATCTTGCTCTGGGAAAAAAGAAGACCTTGGAACTAAAGCTTTACGTTTAGATGCCAATAAAAACATCTTAAAATAACGCCCTCTTCTCCCTCCTGCTCCATAATGAGAAATGGAGAGATTTAGCAAGAGGTGGGGGCTGTGGGTAGGACTATCGCAATCATCAGTGATTGAGCTTCAAGGTCCAAGGACTTTGTTGTGGTCACTGGAAATCTAATGATTTATAATTAACTCCAACAAGAAAAACCAAATGCCATGCACTTTCCTAACAGAGCTACAAAAATAACCACATTCACAGTGTTTGCAAAATTGGAAACAAATGTCCTAAAGAACATAAGAGCTCCATGCCGTCCTACCCAAGCTTTGGAGGAAGAAAAATACTGGCACTCCATCATGACCACAAATGATGAGCCAATATCATCTGTCATGGGAAATTCATCTAGGCAAAATCCGATTGCACCATTAGCCCTCAATGACTCTGAGAAATAGCCATACTGAAATGCCTCAAATTAAAAGCAGCCAAGGTCTGGAATTAACATCCTCTCCTCTTCTAGTTGCTGAGTTTTGTTTCTTTATCCCTTCTTTGTAAATGGAAGAGCTGGAAGGGGGAAAAGAAATACCTACTTGCGCCTTATTCCTGACACAGGTCAGAGACCCATGTGGTTCTTAAGAGTGGGTATGAACAAAGGTAATGACCATGAAATGTATTGGGGGGCTCTGAGGTGGCATAGAAAAGCATGGTGACCTTAGTTCACTGCTGAAGGATGATGAGGATGCTGGTGATTTGGCAATGAGATTAATAACTTGAGTTAAAAAACTTTTTTAAGGATATTTATATTCCACCCCATGAATAACCTTAGTTCTTGTGCTGATGTGGAATATGAAAGGTTTGATTATGAAAGTTTATTCAGGAAAAATTATCTGTAGGACAACTTTGATGCTATTGAAGATGAAAGCCATGCAGGAAAGGACAGAGTTAATATTCTAAAACAATAATGAACTAAATCCAGGTAACATCATAAACACTTTAAAAGCATCTCCTTTAATTTGCACAGCCCCATAAGACAATCTTTACTATCATTCAGATTTTACAGATGAGAAAATAAAGTCTCTGCAAACTTCAAAAACTTGCTGAATTTCAGTTAGTGAGAAGCAGAACTGGGATAAGGACCCGAGATTATCTGACTCCAAAGCATCTGCTCTAAACTATTTCTTAGGTGGGTTTCTATGCATTTTCCCTGTAAAGGCAATGTTTTCCAAACTGTGATTCACCAGCTCAGGGGGGCCATAGGAAAATTTTGAATGACCTTGCCATTATTTTTCTAAATCTGTATGTAAAGTTGAAAACAAAGCCTTTTCAACTCTCACATCTCATAATCCTACCTATGATTCTAAGAATTAAGTAATGTGCCTTCCCTCAGGGGACCCAAGACCGTAATGTTAGCTGAGGGAGAAGGAATGTAGATGAGTGAACTTTCAAACTGACTAACTTAAAGGTAGCAGCAATCAGATGTGAAAACTTGAAAAGTGCCCGAGAATCAACTGTATGGACCTTGTCAGTCTATGTAAACTTTGCACAATGAATATGCGAATTTCTTACATATTCTCATGCTTATATACTTCTAACAGACCTGGATATGGCCTCCTGGGAAAATGCTGGCCTAAGCCTTTCTGCAAAAGTCACCTATGAGACCAAGAATTTCCACTGTTTCTGTCCAAAGCATGGGATTAATTAAAGAAATTCTCACTCCTTGTTTTTTGCTTGAGAAATTAATTCTTCCTATGGGAAATATTTTTAATGCCCTAAAACTATCTGGACTTCAGGAACTTGAGCTTTGTATCGTAGCTGCCTTCTGCCCCTAAGGAATATAATCTATCTAAGCCATTAAATTGTTGTGAATACCAATAATAGGACATTTTTATGGAGTTCAGGATATGAAGCAAAAGCTATTAGACTGCTCTGTGTGTGTGTGTGTGTGTGTGTGTGTGTGTGTTTGCTCACATTGAAAAACTAGTTAAACATTTCAGATCTCTTTAGATTTATACAGGGTTATTTATTACAAGGTTCCGAAACTTTCTAGAGGCAGCAATCTTCTGGTGATCTTTATCAAGCTGTTCTTTATCCTCCTACAGGGCTGCTTGTTTTGTTCTTTCTCCCCCACCCCAGCCCCTGCCCCCCCCCTCTCCTTCTCTTGTTCTTTTTTCTTGAATTTGGCTTTAACAGGGAAATAAAATGTCAACTGTATGTGAAAAAAATCCAGTGGTAAAATTTGCAAGTGGGAATACAATTTGAAAGCAATGCCAAAGTTATGTTAAGCAGCCAGGTTTTTTTTTAAATTAAATTTTTAAAATTTCTCTGCTAATTAGGCTGCACATTTGAAATCTTAAACATGTGTAGAATTGTGAGGGATCTTGTCTGTTGAGAGGGGCTTAATTCCAGCAGTGCTTGATAGCTGAGTGTTGAGTTTTCCAATGGTCACAATAGACACCATCAACACTCATTATTTTTTGAGTGCCTTTTTCTAAATGGCAATGTGGAAGGAAGAATTAGAGAAAGTTAGAGCTGCCCTGAACTCAGATATCATCTATCCCAGGGGTTTTTCATTTTTTTTTTTTAAGCCCAGGAAACAAAATAATATCCAGAAGTCTGATGTGTAAAGCAGATAGACTCGAGCCTCTATGTGTGTTGGGGTGTTTGTGAGTGTGGGTTCATGAATGCCTCATACTTTTCTGTTAGGACAGAGCATTGTCTGCCGGCAGTGGGTACACAAAATTCTTAGGATTATAGATTAAGAGTTCATAATCTCAGACTACTCTCCAATTTTATTGAGTCAGAACCCAAGTCCCAGAAAGTTGAACTGAATTGTCCAAGGTCACACTGCTGGAAAGATGTGGAGAAGGCACTTGACTGCATTTTCTTAATTCGATCTTTCTGTCTCTCTTTCTCTTTCTCTCTTTCTATCTCTTTCTCTTTCTTTTCTTTCTTTCTTTCTTTCTTTCTTTCTTTCTTTCTTTCTTTCTTTCTTTCTTTCTTTCTTTCTTTCTCTTTCTCTCTTTCTCTCTCTCTTTCTCTTTCTTTCTCTCTCTCTTTCTCTCTTTTTCCCTCCCTCCCTCCCTTCCCCTCTCCCTACCTCTCCCTTCCCCCTGCCTTCCTTTTTGAGACAGGGTCTCACTCTGTCACCCAGGCTGGAGTGTAGTGGTGAGATCCCAGCTCACTGCAGTCTCAACCTTCTGGGCTGGGCATGCATCACCACACCCAGCTAATTTCAATATTTTTTTTTTGTAGAGATGGAGTTTTGCTATGTTGCCCAGGTCTTGAACTCCTGAGCTCAAGCAATCTGCCTGTCTCGGCCTCCCAAAGTGTTGGGATTACACGTGAGAGCCACTGTGCCCAGCCTGCTCTTTCTTTTCTACTGTAATGCACTGTGTTTCACTATAATGCTTGTGTTTCCTGGAATGCAGGGAAATTATGAATTTTTGCTAGTGAGTAATCCAATAAATGCTATGGGTGAAAATAAAGTTAGTGTATATGTAAGGATAAGGTGAGAAACTTTGTAAAGTTTCATTAAGATGACCATTCAAACTATATATATAGCTGGCGAATTAGGAGTGTGAGAAATAACTGTGAAAGATTGATATAACAGCATTATAAAAACCAAGAAAATGGCCAGTTTCAATCAATAGACCTATTCTCAATGAATGAGAATGTATGAATTAATGAAAAGTATACCTTTATATATAGTCATTGATATCAATGTAAAGTTTTTAGCTTTTCTTTTTTCTTCTTCTTCTTCTTTCTTCTTCTTCTTTTTTGTTTTTTAAATGAGACAGAGTCTCACCTTATTGCCCAGGCTGGAGTGCAGTAGTGTGATCACAGCTAACTGCAGCCTCAACCTCCCAGGCTCAGGTGATTCTCCCACCTCAGCCTCCCAGGTAGCTGGAACTACAGGCGCGTCACCACACCTGGCTAATCTTTGTAGTTTTTTTTAGAGATGGGGTTTTGCCATATTGCCCGCGCTGGTCTCAAACTTCTGGGCTCAAGTGATCTGCACAACTTGGCCTCCCAAAGTGCTGGGATTACAGGCATGAGTCAGTACACCCAGCCTAGTTTTTTGATTTACAATTTTTCTTAAAGTTAAGAGAATATTACCATACATCCAGAATACATGCTTTCCTAGTGATTTTCCAATATTCTGTATTTATAAAACAAAATGTCCTCTGTATTTCTACTTTAGAGCTACTATTAGTGCATATGTTATAAATGTAATTAAAAACTTCCCCCCAGACAATCTCTGTGCAAAATTGTTCTGCACTTTTTTTCCAGCAAATGTGGTAGTTTCTGCCTGCTTGGAACTCACTATCAATAGTCTCATCCTTTATCACCACCATTTGGTTAGAACTTTGTGTTTTTTTTTTTTTGTCATCAGGAAACATTCATCATATGGATGTATGTATGGTCTTGGAGTTGTCCTGGGGATGCCACCAAACAAATATCTGATGTTTGAGCAGGTTTAAATCTAGTAAGATCTGAGCAGCTGAGACGGGGCAGAAAGCGGGGAGTGTAGGTAGTCCAGAATCGAAGAATCAAGTTGTTGGCAAGAGTAGCACAACAGAGATTTTTACTCTGCCTTGTTTAGTCTCATTTGCTGAGGTAGTGGTAGGGTACCTGGTTCTAATATCTTAAGGGGCAGGAGGGAGTCAAGGGGCACTAGGCTGGGCAAATCCCTCCTGTGATAAGCCAGGAACAGAGATACTAGAATTTCCTCACCGCCTCCAACCCAAAATGGACTGACCAATATTAGAGACCAAAGCACTCATTTAGGCAGGATTTGGTCCTCTAAGTTGCTTTTTTTGTGGACAGTACCTCTTCCGAGAATCTAGGCTTCATAGTTCCTCAGAGCTTGGGTGGTCTAATTACCAATTCTTTGTTGAAAGCTTTGCAGCATTCTGGCAATGTGAAGTTGAAGCAATCTCACCTACTTCTCCAGGCCTTTGAGAAAATGCATATTTCAGTGCTCATGCCCTTTTCTTTTATCTATCTATCTATCTATCTATCTATCTATCTATCTATCTATATCTATCTATCTATCTGTCTATCTTTCTTTAAGTTCTGGGATACATGTGTCTGGGATATAGGTTTGTTACATAGGTATACATGTGCCATGGTAGTTTGCTGCACCTGTCAACCTGTCATCTATGTTTTAAGCCCCTCATGCATTAGGTATTTCTCCTAATGCTCTCCCTCCCCTTGCCCCTCACCCCCCAACAGACTGTTGTGTGATGTTTCCCTCCCTGTGTCCATGTGTTCTCATTGTTTAATTCCCAGTTATGAGTGAGAACATGTGGTGTTTGGTTTTCTGTTCCTGTGTTAGTTTGCTGAGAATGATGGTTTCCAGCTTCATCCATGTCCTTGCAAAGGACAGCTCATGCCCTTTTCTACTTCCCCTGTTAACCTTGAAAATGAGAGTGAGGGTTCAGCCCAGAAAAATGAATGGGGAGGGCACAGGCTTTGGGCATTCGATAGATTCTGGGAAGCGGCCCCCTCCATCCTAAACAATAAACACCAGTCGTTCTTCTATTGTGTCAGGCATAGATTTACATCATTAAACATTCATTAGCCCTCTGATTCTAAAAAGCATTTTCATGCACTGAAAATGTCTTCAAATATGGAGAAATTACACTTTAATTGGATTACCATCTTCATAGGGATTAGTACATTTCTTTGATTCTAAAATGCATTTTTACCCCACATTTTTAACACTTGGAAAACTGTTATTAAATTGATGATTCATTTGAAAAGAGATGACATCTTAGAATAAAATACCATACCATAGCTTCTTTAGTTAATTTCTAATTTTGACTCTGAATGAAATTGTGTAACCACAAGATCATGGTGGTAGTGACAGGAGAGGAGGAGGTGTGAGGAGCGTGTGGGCAGATTCTTGAAATGAGAGAGGGATTGTGCTACAGAAAATTTTGCCTGCTTATTTTTTATCTGGGATTATGGTTCTCTCTGACCTCCATTCAGCTGCTTGTAACTGGGCATTTCTCCCCCAACTTTACTGGAGAAATTTGGATCTTTTTCATCATTACAATCAGCCATTTGTTTATTGTCCACTACATAAAATTACAAAGAGATAAAAGGCAAGCCCTTCTACTTCAGGATATATGGGAAAATTGAGAGGTTTTTGTGACTGTTGTAGAGTAGGGTGGGAAGAGGCCTCCATTAAATATTACTTATTTGTAACAGCTCTGTGTGGTTATAACTCACATGCCATACAATTCACCCATTTAAAATATACAATTCAATGAATTTTAGAGTCCTCATGGAGTTGAGCAATGGTCATCACTGTCAATTTTAGAACATTTTCATCACCACTAAAAGAAATCCTGTACTCTTTAGCAGTCACCCTTCATTCCTCCCGTTTTCCCCAACATTAGATACTATTCCATTTAAATTTGTAGACCAAAAATACAGCATGGTGGTCTTCTAGGAGTTAGAAGTTTCAAGAAGATTCCAAATGTTGGTGTTGCTACTTAAAAATTATTTCTTTGAGCCATATTTTCTTCATAAAATTGGTATAATGACCCTCTCACATCATAGGTAATTATTATTAATGTGGAAGTCATGAGGATTAAATAAGGTAACGCATATGAAAGCATCAGCATAGGGCATGTCACGTACTGGGTTCAGACGAGATTGGGCACGCCTAGGGTGGTATGGCCGTAGACATACTAGGTTAAGAATGTTCTTCATGCATTCATTTCCTTCAAGATGGAGCCCAGAGTTGAATTGCAGAAAGATGAGTGTTTCCTGGTCTCTGTCTTCCCTCTATGTGTAGACCAAGTCCTTGGTAGATGCCAACTCAGTGCCTCTCAGAAGCCCCATTTGGAAACAGTTAAAGCTCAGTACTTGCTGGTGACACCTCAACTCAGCGGTTAAACTGATAACACAAAACAGTGGGCTTGATTTCCATTTTCTTGGAAAAGAAAAAACGATGTTATCTATTTTATTCAGATAATGGGAAGTAGGCCTAAACTCTCAGTATTTCCCGCAACTGGGTGGATTTCAGAGAGATGCAGCATCCCCAGAGCCAGAGTGGTCAGTAAGAGTGATGACGTGGGATAGAAACTGTGATCCTTTGAGTGCCAACCCTCTCTTCCTGTGGACCTGCATGCAATATAAGGACTAAGAGATGAGGGTTGCTGGGACTCCAAAATCAATCCCACAGGCATTTTTGGCCCTGGAAAACCCCACTGAACAGAGTCAAACACTGTTCTTTGAGAATCTCAGAGAGGGGCGAGATTTTGCCTTTATTTGCCAATTCTTGAGTAGCAGGAAGGTGAGATGTGTTTCTGCCTTAGTATGATGGATGGCAAAACTGAAGTGGAGGGTAATTTCTGTGGTCTGAGGTCCTGAGATCTTCCAAGAAGGGGGTTTATGATGATCTCATGATTCTAAACTCTCTGCTCCTGCTTCTGCCAGAATCAGGATGCTCCTGGGAGCTTTGAGCTCTCTCTGTCTCTACTGACTTTTGCCAGCACCATCTCCAGATTATTCAGCTGAAAACAATTTAGCCAAAAATAAACTGTTCAACATTACTATTTGGTGAAAGAAAAAACATAAAATAATTATTTCTCAGACATTAATCCCAAAGCCTTGATATTTTTTGTTTATGATTGCAACCACTTTGTAATCTTTATTTATCTTTAATGATTTTTGCCCATTTAAAATTTAACTTTTCAAGAGGCCAGGCATGGTGGCTCACACCTGTAATCTCAGCACTTTGGGAGGCTGAGGTGGGAGGATAGCTTGAGGCCAGGAGTTTAAGACCAGCCTGGGCAGCATAGGGAGATCACGTCTGATATGGTTTGGCTCTGTGTCCCCACCCAAATCTCATCTTGAATTGTAATCCCCACATGTCTAGGCAGGGACCTGGTGGGAGATAATTGGATCATGGGAGTGGCTTCCCCTATGGTGTTCCTGTGATGGTGAGGGAGTTCTCATGAGATCTGATGGTTTAAGAGTGGCAGTTTCCCCTGCATGCTCTCTCTCTCTCGTGCTGCTTTGGAAGAAGGTGCTTATTTCCTCTTCGCCTTCCACCATGATTGTAAGTTTCCTGAGGCCTCCCCAGCCATGTGGAACGGTGAGTCAATTAAACATTTGTTGTTATAAATTACTCAGTCTCAGGTAGAATCTCTATAGCAGCGTGAAAATGGACTAATACAAAAAATTGGTACCAGGAGTGGGGTACTGCTATAAAGATAACCAGAAGACATGGAAGTAACTTTGGAACTGGGTAATGGGCAGAGTTTGGAACAGTTTGGAGGGCTCAGAAGAAGATAAGAAGACGCAGGGAAGTTTGGAACTTCCTAGAGACTTGTTGAATGGTTTTGGCCAAAATGCTGATAGCGATATGGACAATGAAGTCCAGGCTGAGGTGGTCTCAGATGGAGATGAGGAATCTACTGGGAACTGGAACAAAGGTCACTCTTGCTGTGCTTCAGCAAAGAGATTGGTGGCATTTTGCCCCTGGCCTAGAGATCTGTGGAACTTTGAATTTGAGAGAGTTGATTTAGGGTATCTGATGTAAGAAATTTCTAGGCAGCAAAGTATTCAAGAGTTGACCTGGCTGATTTTGAAAACATTCAGTCATATGTGTTCACAAAGAGATGGTTTGAAAATGAAACTTATGTTTCAAAGGAAAGCAGAGCATAAAGATTTGGAAGATTTGCAGCCTGACCATGCAGTAGAAAAGAAAAACCCATTTTCTAGGGAGGAATACAAGCTGCCTGCAGAAATTTGCATGAGTAATGAGGAGCTGAATGTTAATCACCAAGACAATGGGGAAAAAGTCTCCATGGCATTTCAGAGATCTTCATGGCAGCCTCTCCCATCACAGGCCCAGAGGCCTAGGAGGGAAAAATAGTTTTGTGGGCCAGGCCCAGGGCCCTGCTGCTCTGTGCAGCCTCAGGACTTGGCGCCCTGCATCCCAGCTGCTCCAGCTCCAGCCATGGCTAAAAGGGACCAATGTACAGCTCAAGCTGTCATTTCAGGGGCTGCAAGCCCCAAGCCTTGTCAGCTTCCACATGGCCTGTGGGTGAACAGAAGATAAGAGTTGAGCTTTGGGAGCCTCCACCTAGATTTCAGAGGATGTATGGAAATGCTTGGATGTCCAGCAGAAGTCTGCTGCAGGGGCAGAGCCCTCATAGAGAACGTCTGCCAGGGCAGTGCAGAAAGGAAATGTGGAATTGGAGCCCTCACACACAGTCACCACTGGGGCATTGCCTAGTGGAGCTGTGAGAAGAGGTTCACCGTCCCCCGGACCCCAGAAAGGTAGATCCACTGACAGCTTACATCATGTGCCTAGAAAAGCCATAGGCACTCAACACCAGCCCATAAGAACAGACACAGGGACAGAGCTGCCCAAGGCTGTGGGAGCCCATACCTTGGCATCAGTGTGACCTGGATGTGAGACATGGACTCAAAAGAGATTTTGGAGCTTTAAGATTTAATGACTGCCTGTCCTGGTTTTGGACTTGCATGGGGCTTATGGACCTGTTGTTTTGGCCAATTTCTCCCATTTGGAAAGGGAACATTTACCCAATGCCTGTACCCCTATTGTATCTTGGAAGTAAACTGAATTGCTTTTGATTTTACAGGTTCCTACGTGGAAGTGACTTGCCTTGTCTCAGATGCGATTTTGGACTTGGATTTTTGAGTTAATGCTGGAATGAGTTAAGACATTGGGGGACTGTTGGGAAGGCATGATTAGTTTTTTTTTTTTTTTCTGTTTAAAAATTTTTTTTTTAATTTTTAATTTTTAATTATTTTTTTTAGTATTTTTGATCATTCTTGGGTGTTTCTTGGAGAGGGGGATTTGGCAGGGTCATAGGACAATAGTGGAGGGAAGGTCAGCAGATAAACCTGTGAACAAGGTTCTCTGGTTTTCCTAGACAGAGGACCCTGCGGCCTTCCGCAGTGTTTGTGTCCCTGGGTACTTGAGATTAGGGAGTGGTGATGACTCTTAACGAGCATGCTGCCTTCAAGCATCTGTTTAACAAAGCACATCTTGCACCGCCCTTAATCCATTTAACCCTGAGTGGACACAGCACATGTTTCAGAGAGCACGGGGTTGGGGGTAAGGTTATAGATTAACAGCATCCCAAGGCAGAAGAATTTTTCTTAGTACAGAACAAAATGGAGTCTCCCATGTCTACTTCTTTCTACACAGATACAGTAACAATCTGATCTCTCTTTCTTTTCCCCACATTTCCGCCTTTTCTATTCGACAAAACCGCCATCCTCATCATGGCCCGTTCTCAATGAGCTGTTGGATACACCTCCCAGACGGGGTGGCGGCTGGGCAGAGGGGCTCCTCACTTCCCAGACGGGGCGGCCGGGCAGAGGCGCCCCCCACCTCCCAGACGGGGCAGTGGCCGGGCGGAGGCGCCCCCCACCTCCCTCCCGGACGGGGCGGCTGGCCAGGTGGGGGCTGACCCCCCACCTCCCTCCCAGAGGGGGCGGCTGGCTGGGTGGGGGCTGACCCCCCACCTCCCTCCCAGAAGGGGCGGCTGGCTGGGTGGGGGCTGACCCCCCACCTCCCTGCTGGACGGGGCAGCTGGTGGGGCGGGGGCTGCCCCCCACCTCCCGGATGGGGTGGCTGGCTGGGCGGGGGCTGCCCCCCGACCTCCTGGACGGGGTGGCTGCCGGGCAGCGGGGCTCCTCACTTCTCAGATGGGGCGGCTGGGCAGATTCGCTCCTCACCTCCCAGATGGGGTGGCGGTCAGGCAGAGACACTCCTCAGTTCCCAGATGGGGTCGTGGCCGGGCAGAGGCACTCCTCACATCCCAGATGGGGCGGTGGGGCAGAGGTACTCCCCACATCTCAGACGATGGGCGGCGGGGCAGAGACACTCCTCACTTCCTAGACTGGATGGCGGCCGGGAAGAGGCGCCCCTCACTTCCCAGACTGGGCGGCCTGTCAGAGGGGCTCCTCACTTCCCAGACTGGGCGGCCAGGCAGAGACACTCCTCACTTCCCAGACGGGGTGGCAGCCAGGCAGAGGCTGCAATCTCGACACTTTGGGAGGCCAAGGCAGGCGGCTGGGAGGTGGAGGTTGTAGCGAGCCGAGATCACGCCACTGCACTCCAGCCTAGGCAACATTGAGCACTGAGTGAGTGAGACTCCGTCTGCAATCCCGGCACCTCGGGAGGCAGAGGCAGGCAGATCACTTGCGGTCAGGAGCTGGAGACCAGCCCGGCCAACATGGCGAAACCCCGTCTCCACCAAAAAATGCAAAAACCAGTCAGGTGTGGTGGCGCGCGCCTGCAATCCCAGGCACTCTGCAGGCTGAGGCAGGAGAATCAGGCAGGGAGGTTGCAGTGAGCCGAGATGGCCGCAGTACAGTCCAGCCTCAGCTTTCACAACTTCAGTGGCATCAGAGGGAGACCGGGGAGGGGCACAACTTTGGTGTCATCAGAGGGAGACCGGGGAGAGGGAGAGGGATTAGTTTTGAAATGTGAAAAGGACATGGGTTCTTTTGGGAGGGGTTGGGGTGGAATGATACGGTTTGACTCTGTTGGAAATAAAGCTCAGAATCTTAAGGAAACTGAGCACTCAAACAAAGGATTTTCAGCGAAGCAATTTTACTTCTGTGCAGAGGGGTGCTTCTCCTTGGCCAGTCACCATGAGAGCACACCAGAACAAAGGGTCTCTGTGTCCGCACTCAAATCTCATCTTGAATTGTAATCCCCATGTGTCTAGGGAGGGACCTGGTGGGAGATGATTGGATCATTGGGGTGGTTTCTCCCATGCTGTTCTCCTGATAGTGAGTGAATTCTCATGAGACCTGATGGTTTAAAAGTGGTACTTCCCCATTCACTCCCTCTCTCTCCTGCCACTTTGTCAAGAAGGTTCTTGCTTTTCCTTTGCCTTCCACCATGACTATAAGTTTCCTGAGGCCTCCCCAGCCATGCAGAACCTAGTCAATTAAACCTCTTGTTTATAAATTGCCTAGTCTCAGGTAGTATCTTCATATCGGTTTGAAAATGGACTAATACAGTGTCCCTCCAAAAAAATTAAAAAATTAGCCAGGTGGTGGTGGTGTGGGCTTACGATCTCAGCTGCTTGGGAGGATTGAGCCAGGAGTTTGAGGTTGCTGACAGCCATGATTACACTACTTTACTGCACTCCAGCCTGGGTGACAGTGAGATGCTATCTTGGAAAAAAAAAATTGAACTTTTCAATTGTTTCCCCACTATTTACTATCATATTTCAAATGTATTTTTAGTCCATTATTCCTATTCTTTGGTGTTTGTTGAAGTGAAAAATTAGAATAATAGGACTCAATTGAAATATCCAAAATATCAAGTTATGATAAACACACAGGTTTCTAATGTAAGTATTATATAAGCTTATATTTGTAGAATAATTATAGTGTACAGAAAAATTATTTGGACAATTATACACCAAGGTCTGAATAGTGTTTGCCTTGGGTGGGTGGAATTATTTTGCTTATTTATATATTTTTTAATCAATTTGACAAAATTTTAATAAGCTCTTATTAAATGTCAGCCATATTCTTTATGTTGAGGGTATAACAATGAAGAAAAAAGAAAAATTTGCCCTGATTGAAGGTACATACTTGTAGGAGTAGGAAGCAGACAAAAGAATTAAGTAAGATATATCACAGGCCAAACAGTGACAAGCACTATGGAGATAAATGAAGCAGGGAAGGGGGCTACAGCATGTTGGGGAGGGGTTCCAATTTTAAATAGGGTCACCAGGGAGGTCTGACTGTCGAGGTTACTTTTGAGTGAAGATCTAAAGGAAATGAGAGCCTGAGCCAGGTGGATATCTGGGGGGAAAAGCGAGCCAGCAGAAAGAGTATCAAGTACAAAAGGCTTGCTAGAGGAGCATGCCTGGTTTTGTGTGTGTGTGTGTGTGTGTGTGTGTTTGTGTGTGTGTGTAGTGAGACAAGGAGGTCAGAGGACTGGTGCAGAATCAGCCATGAGGAAGAGTAGGAGAAGGTGAGTTAGAGAGGTAGCGAGAGAGCCAAGTCATGTGTAGTCTTATAGGCCATTGTGAAGACTTAGACTTTCACTCAGCCAGCTAGAAAGCCACTGGGGGTGCTGAGCAGAGAAGTGACATAATCTATGTTATGTTTTATGTGTATCACTTTGACTGCCCCTTTGGGAATAACCTGTAGCAGGGACAATGGTGGAAGCAGGAGACTATGGGTGAGAGGTGATGGGGGCTTGGATCAAGGTGATAGCAGTGGAAGTGGGGAACAGTGGTTAGTGGTTACAGTATTGATACATTTTGAAGTTATAGTCTACAGGACTTGCTTACATATACAGAACATGGACTTATGAGATAAATAGAGTAGTCAGAAAGGAATCCAAGCTTCTCGGCCTAAACAAATAGAAGCTTAGAACTAAGTTAATAGAAATGGAGAAGTCTATAGTGAGATAAAGATCAGGAGGCAAGATCAGGAGCTCAGTTTTGAACATAAGTTTGATACATTTATTAGTCATCTAAGATGTTTCTGTAATGAGAATGCATTGTTTTTGAAATTGGGGAAAAACAATAAAAACTTTCAAAAGGCATTCTATTGTGGGACTGGGTTGTTTCAACGAGTCCTCTATTGTTGGCCTGAATTATTCAGTTTCTGTGGCAAAATTGTTTTCAGTCAAACCATCTGGAACTGGTGTATGCAGGGGGCCACTCTGGGTAACCACAAAGCACACTTGCTCCTGGGACTGCCCTGCTTAAAAGAAAGTCAAAAGCAGTCTCAGCACTGCTTTGCTATCTTGGCTGTCAGGGCCATTGATTCAACTGATTTCCTAGATGCTTGTTTTAACTCCCTAATCCCATGAGTCTTGCCTTGCTCTGTCACCAGGCTGGAGTGCAGTGGTGCGATCTCGGCTCACTGCAACCTCCGCCTGCTGTGTTCAAGTGATTCTCCTACCTCAGCCTCCTGAGTAGCTGGGACTACAGGTGTGCACTACCATGCCCAGCTAATTTTTGTAATTTTAGTAGAGACGGGGTTTCACCATGTTGACCAGATGGTCTCAATCCCCTGACCTTGTGATCCGCCCATCTTGGCCTCCCAAAGTGCTGGGATTATAGGCGTGAGCCACTGTACCCGGTCGCTTACCTGAAGCTTTTAGGATCCAGTGTCCCTGGACCCTTAGTTCTTACTATCCCCTGATAGTAAACACCTATCCTATTACCACCATGCTGCCATTAGTTAATTCACAATACATTTCTTGAATACCTGTTTTGTGCAAAGCACTGGACAAAGCATTTTTGGGACAACAAAGAAGCTGAGATATGATATTGAAACTCTAGGAGGTTGCAGTGCTGTCGGGGAATGTAAGGCTATATAACAGGAGTGTGATGGACAAGTATTTGATATCATGGAAGGGAATCCAAGGCTCTGATTTTTATTTTTATTTATTTATTTTTTGAGACAGAGTCCTGCTCTGTCATCCAGGCTGGAGTGCAGTGGCACAACCTCGGCCCACTGCAACCTTTGCCTCCCAGGTTCAAGTGATTCTTGTGCCTCAGCCTCCCGAGTAGCTGGGATTATAGGCGCCCACCACCATGCCTGGCTAATTTTTTTTTTTTGTATTTTTTTTTAGTTGAGATGGGGTTTGCCATGTTGGCCAGGCTGGTCTCGAACTCCTGACCTCAGGTGATCCACCTGCCTCAGCCACCGCACCCAGTGGTGTGAGCCACCATGCCTGGCCCAAGGCTCTGATTTTTGTAGTGATGACCTGCTTGGTCTCACCAGCTTCAGCACTTTTATAATGCCAGTGACTATAGACTTTTATCAGAGGCTTGCTGTACTTTTCAATTGCTAAAAAAATTTAGCATTTGTTGTTTTTACCCGAGTATAAAGTAACAGATACTCATTGCATAAAATGTGGGAAAATCAGGAAAACATGGAGGAAAAAAAAACCTGAGAATTTTATCACCCAGAGATAGAATGTTACTGTTAATATTTTGTGTCTTTCTTCTCAATCTTTTTTTAAAAGATTTATTGTTGGCATTTTCCTGTATCACGAATATTCTTTAAAAGAATGCTTTTAAGTAGCTGAATGGAACTGATGTCCCATTTATTTTGGGGTATGGTTGAACCTTTTCATATTTTCATAAGTAAGTTCCTCCTTCCTGGGCTACATAGGTTGGTTGTTGAGGCTGTTCCAAGGTACCTGGGAGAGAGTAGAGTCTCATGAACATGAGGGTGTGCCCATATGGAGTGCACTTGGGTGGCAGGGGTGCAGTCACTTGGGGCAGCAGCACTTAATCCATGCTTCTGCCCAAGTCTGCACATACATGAGCATAGTGGAGACCACAACTGAAATTTCAGAGAGGACCCACTTTCTGTTTGAAAATCGGATTGACCTTGGTAGACTCCGCATTGGTAGACCAAGAAACTCTGAAATCATATAATTTTAATACTGATCCTTTTTTATGAAAGACATCAATAGTTATGTTTGTCAAGGGGGTCAATAGAAATGCCATAGGGCCCTTCTCTCGAAAAGTAGAAAATGATCAAAGGAAGGTGGAAGAAAGTGGTATAGCAGCTCCCCTGATAATATAGATGAGATTCCTCAGTGGGATTCCTTTGTGGGGAGACCTTAGGAGAAGAGAGGGAAAAAAATACAGAAAAAAAATTGGAAAGACTTGTAATTTAAAAACCAATAATGCTTTTCAAGGCTGGTATGTAAAACTTGCCCTTCTCTTTGGCTATTCCAGCCACAGATGAATGTTTTCTTGCCAATTAGAACATTCTTGGTGTGTTTTCCTTTGCTTCATGTGATGTTTGTTGTGAACCCATGTTCGTCATTATCTATAAATTAATTTCTGCCATTGTAATAAATTGTAGGAACACCAATAAAACCACAATGTACAGTTAAATCTTTTTTTCTTTTTCCTTTTTTTTTTTTTTTTTTGCTGGGTTTTAATTTTTTTCCCCTGTGGGAAAGACAAAGTAAATAAAACAAAACAAAAACATTTCCAGTAGTGGATGGGTGGTTTATGGAATACATTTTAACCACCATTTTTCTTAGTCTTTTCAATTACTGTGTGTATCTCCCATTTGCTTAAGGCTTCTCAATCACCTTTCTTGGTTGGAATAGTGAAGAATTAATCATGAGGATCAGGGTTGACGGAAAGGAATTGATGGAGTATCTTTTCTTTTGGCAAGCAATGCCAAAGGTAATGATCAATACTTCTTTAAAGGTACCCAAACCAGGAAAGCAAGTAGAGAATTAGTGGTATCAATAAAATGATCATGTATAAAACATTTATTAGGGTGACATAAAGTTGTCAAAAATTCTTCACTTTTTAAACTTCACTTTCAGACTTTTCTGAGAAAGACTTTGTCAGGAATTTTGGAGGAAGTAGTTGTGAATGCTGTAGAAGAGCATCTCCCCAAATGAGTCCCATAGAATGTTAAAGAGTAGACTGGATGTCTATTATTTGTGCCTGCCTTGAAGGCATTTCCTTCTGCTGGAAGCAATAACCCTCATCATCACTGGTCCATGTGGTTTGGGTGTGACTGAGGGCCATATGTACAGCTCCAGAGGTAGGCACTGGCTCAGGACTATGAAGTCAGTACATTCCTTCTCCCCAGTCTCAAGAATTGGTGCAGCAGTGACTATTGACCAAAGACAGTCCAGTGAGATTTCTTCTAGGCTCTTTTTGAAATTATTGAGGGAGGGAGAGAAACCCCTTTTTTCACCGGGGCTGCTGAAAGAGAGAATGTAAGCTCAGTGCAGATGGTCATCTTTCTGCTTTGTGAAAGGAGCCTGTTTGAATGAAGCCAACAAAAAGGTGTAGTGCCCAGAAATGGAGACAGAGTGAGTCTTCATGATACTGTCCAAGGCCTAGAGTCCTGCCAGGCCTAAAGCTAGCCCTGTCCTGGTCTTAAATAAAACTAATTTTTTCTGTTTTCACCAGTTTTTATTGGGCTTCTCTCACTCGCCACTTGGATCAATCACTTGGGATTGATTTTGGAGTTTTGGCTAATTGAAAAAGTGTGATGTGAAGGTCTATCATTAGACATGTGTGAGAAATCCTGGGCATATTAGTTTGGGTTGGCCCAGAAATAGACTCTGCAGTTGAATGTGCATGCTAGTAGTTTATCTGGGAGATGGGAGTGGGGAAGTAAGGAATGGAAGGCACCTGATTAAGGGGAGCTTCTCCAGCCAGCAACCACTGTGGGTGGCTGGAACTAACTTAACTGCATGAGGAAACGATAGGAGACAGTGTTAAGCATATGACTCTGAGTTATCCCCACCAAGAAGCAAGGGAGCTGGGATACCTCAACTTCCATCAGTTATTGCTTTAGGACTGTTCTTAGGTATGTGTTAATTTCTTGGTATTTCAGGCCTGCTCTGCAAGCAGTCAGAACAGCCTTCTAAGGCTTAGAGAGAGGGAGAGGGAAGAAAAGAGAAAGAGAGAGGGAGAAACAGAGACTTAAGACAAAGAGGTACAGAAGGAAGTCAGTAGGATGCAGGGGTGTGGGCTAAACAAAGCTGTGATTTCTTTACTTCAGGACTTCTCAGAACCTCCAATATGCTAACGTAGATATTGAATATCCAAAAGTGAAGTTATGACATGCAATGTTTTCCAAGTCTATTTCACCACAGAACCTTTGTTTTGCGGATTATTTTTGGACTTGTAGTTGTAGCACATACTTTGAGAAATGCTGTCTTAGAATATCCTGGACTTAAGGCATAACCGACTATAAAAATTCGTAGGAGTTGAAAACCAAACATCGTATGTTCTCACTCCTACGTGGGAACTAAGCTATGAGGATGCAAAAACACAAGAATAATACAATGGACTTTGGGGACTTGGGGAAAGGGCAGGAGGGGGGTGAGGGATAAAACTATACATTGAGTACAGTGTACACTGCTCAGATGATGGGTGCACTAAAATCTCAGAAACCACCACTGTTATGGTTTGGCTGTGTCCCCACCCAAATCTCCTCTTGAATTGTAGTTCCCATAATCCCCATGTGTGGTGGGAGGGACCTGGTGGGAGGTAACTGAATCATGGGGGCGGTTCCCCCATGCTATTCTCGTGATAGTGAGTAACTTCTAATGAGATCTGATGGTTTTATAAGGCACTTCCTCCTTTGCTCAGCTCACATTCTTCTCCTTGCTGCCACCATGTGAAGAAGGATGTGTTTGCTTCCCCTTCTGCCATGACTGTAAGTTTCCTGAGGCCTCTCCAACCTTGCTGAACTGTGAGCCAATCAAACCTCTTTCCTTTATAAATTACCCAGTCTCGAGTATTTCTTCAGAGCAGTGTAAGAATGGACAAATACAACAACTAAACTCATTAATGTACCCAAACACCACCTGTTCCCCCAAAACCTATTGAAATAAAAGAAATTTGTAGGACTTTATGGCATCCACCTCAAAATTTTGAAGTAACCATTGGGTAAACTGTCAAACCTTTGGACAACAAGCATAATTATTATATTTAAAAAAATGTAACAGGCCAGATGCAGTGGTTCGTGCCTGTAAATCCAAACAGTTTGGGAGACTGAGGCAGGAGGATTGCTTGAGGTCAGGAGTTTGAGGTCAGCCTGGGCAACATAGTGAGACCCTGCCTCTCCAAATATAAAAAAATTTAGCAAGATGTAGTGTACATACCTATAGTCCCAGTTACTCAGGAGTCTGAGGTGGGGAAGATTGCTTGAGCCTGGGAGGTGAAGGCTGCAATGAACCATGATGGCACTATTGCACTCCAGCCTGGGTGACAGAGTGAAACCCTGTCTCGAAAAAAGAAAAAAAAAATGACTATTGTAGATGATTCTATTGTCTTATCATTTGAAGGGTGAGGCAGCAAAGGCACAGAGTTTCACTCACATGATTAAGGCTGTTAACAAGTTTGTGCGAAGTCAGGACTAGCGTCTAAACTCAGGGTTCCCTCTTTCCCCTAACTAAGCTGACTTTGTGGATCACGCATTTTAAATTAAACTCAAGGCTACGTTGGAACAACATTCTGTCCTGTAATCTTCCACATATGTTGCTAGTCTTCACCACTTTTCTTTGTCGATAAGTATTTAACAGGTAGCAGAATCTTGGTTGTTTTTGTTTTGTTTCGTTTTTAAGCTCAGTTTTGCAAATAAAGGTCTTGGGCACTGTGTACCCTTTTCCTTGGCTGGCTGGCAGGCAGCCTCCATTCTCTAGACTTGGGATTTGCCCTGGCTTTGTCAAGAAGCCTATTTTTCTTTCCACTTGCATTTCTAGATCATGGTCATTAATATTCGTAAGCTTATGATGTCAGTGAGTCAGAGAGACTAGTTAGGTCAAGAACTGCAGTCATGAACTTGCTTGTGGATGATTTCTTGTACTATTGAGTATGATTATGAACAGTAGCTTTAATGTGTAGCCATATCCATTTGGCAATTGCAGGCATCCTAAGATCTTGGCAGATGTGCATACAATAGGCATATACCCACACAAAGGCTTAGCATGCTGACTTCTGGTTACCCAGGATGCTTTGCCCAAGTAAGTGGGTTTTTATGTCCAGGGACATGGCCTTGGTTCTCAGATGGAGAGAGATAATGGGAAGGCATTTCTGCAGAAGATAAAGAACAGGGAGTTATTGTTTGTTCTTATCCTGTGTTCCTAGGGTGATAAATGGAAATGAATAGGGTTTTCTGCTGGTTGTTTCTGACCATCAACCTTTTTATGCTGTCAACTATATGTTCTTATATATTGATGGTCACAAACTTGAGGTGTAAATCATTGAAGGTCTGTATAGTAAAGGCAGTAACAAAAGATGTTCTAGTAATCAGTAATATTATTGCCAAGCATGGCCTCTCCTATTCATTTCTGCTCATCCTCCAGGACAAAGGAAAAGAAATGCACAGTTCATTAGGTAACTAAGTTGTGAAAGTAGTGCCATTTTTCTTGAAACAGTAATAGAGATTTAAAGGCTTGTTTTCATTAAAATTGCTGGGTGAAAATATCTACACTGTACCTTTATTATGATTTATTTCTATGTACTATGTATAAATACCAAATATTTAACCAGCCTTCTCATTCTCTCATTTCTGGGAGTTCAAAATTTAGTACTAGGTTTTAAATGATATTATCTACATGCGGGGAAACTGTCTTAAACATGTTTCTTTATTATATAGCTCTGGCTAAAACATGGGTCAAATTATACACACTGAAACATATTTCTATAGAATAAATTCTCAATACAGTGTGATAAGCTTATAAGTGGTTAGTTTTATCATATAATAGTAGTATTTTAATGGAATGGCTATTACCATTAGAAATATCCCTCAAGTTTTAGCAGTCACTCATATGGCCTCATAATGGTGCTTATCATCTGGTGAATACAAAAGTAAGAGAGAGACATGGTTTTTGCTTTCAAGGAGTTAATAATCAGTCTGGCTAGACATGTATTTCTGTGATAAATAGAAGGTAATAAAACTCAGATATCATCAAGGCAGTAGATTGTGTGATGTAGACTTTGAGAGAGATACGCATTTATAAGAAGGAAGACCATTGTGGGCTGAGGATGTTGAAAAGGACTTCTTGCAGGAGGGGAGGCAGACTTTATTCAGAATTTCATACCTCTGGGGCTCTGAATTTTTTTTTTTTTTTTTAATTTGGAGACGGAGTCTCACTCTGTCACTCAAGCTGGAGCAGTGGTGCGATCTTGGCTAACTGCAACCTCCGCCTCCCAGGTTCAAGCAATTCTCCTGGCTCAGCCTCCCAAGTAGCTGGGATTACAGGCACCCACTGCCATGCCTGGCTAATTTTTGTATTTTCAGTAGAGACCAGGTTTCATCATGTTGGCCAGGCTGGTCTCAAACTCCTGACTTCAGGTGATCCACCTGCCTCAGGCTCCCAGAGTGCTGGGATTACAGGCATGAGACACTTTGCCTGGTGGGGCTCTGAAATTTATTGCTGAGTTCTCTATATGCTCAATGCTTGTGGGTCCACATCAAGTCCAATTCATTTGAGCTTGCAGGTGGACCCAACGGGGCTGACTCTCCTACAAATATTCTGTTCACTTACCAAAGCAAGTGACTATTCAGACAGTATTTTGCATGGTATATCTTTTCTTTTCATATTACCTTCGGGTAGACACTACTAAAAGGTACAAAGACATGCTACACATTTTATTTTTTGCTTCAATCCACTCTCTTGAAAAGAAAGGGCTTTTCTCTAATGAGTAATGTGTTATGAGTGCTTTTCTCAAAAGAGTAGTGTGTTGTAGTAGAAAGAGCAATGAGGTTGGAAGTCAGGAGATTCAGATTTGAGTCCTGGTCCCAGCATTTCCTAAGGGATGTTGATCAGCTAATTGAACTCCTCCTAGTGTCAGTTTTCTCATCTATAAAATGGAAAAATATGACATACTCCATCTATCTCTTATGTTGTTGTAAGGATCAAAAGAGATAATGCAAGTAAAAATATGTTTATAACCTGCAGTACCTGATACATATATGAGGTATTATTAATGCAACCTTAAACAAATACATCATTTTCCTCATCTGCAAAATGGAGACGGGAATTGTATCTATGTCATTGGATTTCTCTAAGTAGTCAATGGAATAAACCATTTAACATCTTCTAGAATCGGGCTGGGTGTGGTGGCTCACGCCTGTAATCCCAGCACTTTGGGAGGCTGAAGTGGGTGGATCACTTGAGGTCAGGAGTTTGAGGCCAGCCTGGCCAACATGGGGAAACCCCATCTCTACTAAAAATAGAAAAAATTAGCCGGGTGTGGTGGTGTGTGCCTGTGGTCCCAGCTTCTCAGGAGGCTGAGGCAGGAGAATCGCTTGAACCCTGGAGATGGAGATTGCAGTGAGCCGAGCCTGCTCCACTGCACTCCAGCCTGGGCAACAGAGCAAGACTCCATCTTAAAAAAAAAAACTCTTCTAGAATACTTCATGGCAAATAGTAAGTACTCATTAAATCCAAAGATTCCAAAGATAAAAAAACTTGTGACCTAAAAAGACCCTTTAGATCTTAAAGCCCTCCAAAAAAGTTTTTGCTTGTAACGTTTTCACTAGTCAAATTCACCTTTACCTTCAATGTTAAAAATGTCAACTTTGAGTGAGGTTGATCATTCACAAAACAGTAGTTTTCTCTTTCAATCAGTGCTGCTCAGATCAAGCAGGCAAGCTGGTCATGTGGTTCTTCCTGGATGGTGCCAGCTGAGAGGGGGAATCAATTCTATCAGAGATTCTCAAAGTGTCAGCCAAGGTCTGGTCTTCTCTATTATTCATACTGTAATTTGACAGCATCCATACTTTAGTTTCTGGCATAAATTAATAATGTGATATTGAATAAATAATTATCCTGTTGAATACAAACCAGACATCACCTCATTGGTGTCTCAGTGAAACCATGGATTTTCTCCCAGGCACTTTGAGAAGGTTTTCTCAGGACCAAGTGGATGGACTTGGACCATCAGTGGTGAGTGCCTAGATAAACTGATGTCTGGATCAAAAAGTCTTTGCAGTTCCTTGGATAAGTCCTCCTTTGACCGTAGTTCTCTGTGAAGTGGCCAACAAAAAACAACAACCACAAAAATTCCGTGGGTACACAGCAGGGAAAGCTAATCAAAATCAAACAGGGAGCTTTGAGGCTGGTTTCTCCAGAAGCCTAAATATCTTATACTTGCGTATGGTTCTCAGACCTTAGGTATCCATGGATATAGTTTTGTGGAGTGGAATTGATTTCTAAAGAGGAAAATCAGGTTTTCTGGGAAAATGAAAGGCCCTAGAAGGCGTATAATTTTTTTCTCAAAATGAAGATAATTTTTGCCAGAAGAATGTATCATAAGAGAATATCCAGCTCTTCAGTCTTTATTTCCCCCAAGGATCCTGCTTTTAGTCTTATAAACTGAAACTCACAGAGGGAGCTGTTTAAAAATTAGACTGGGGTCTGGTCAGATGTGGTCTGCTGCAGCTGGGGGTCAGTATAGTAAGGGGCCTGTTTGGAGGGAGTGCATAGTTCTCCATTAGCCCTCCAGGTTTCAGGGTATGGCAGGTTCTGCTCACTTACTCTGTTACTTCCTCACCATACACACAGTGAAACTACCTTTCCCAGCCTCCTCTGCACTCAGGTGTGCACGTGACTGAGTTCTGGCCACCAACATGTGGGTTGAAGTACTATTTGCCCCTTCCAGTCCTGGCCTCTAAGACCTCCTCTGACTCCATGTTCTTCCTTCTCTGCACCCCTGACTCAGAAATGAAGCCCAGGGAACTTTGTAAGCTGTGAATTTGTGCAGACCTGTCCATTTGTGCAGAGCCCCAAATCAAAGGAACCTGGTTTCTGAATCATTAGTTGGAAGAGAGCTGCTTAAATGTCATGTGAAACAAATCTTTACTGTTTTAAGCCTCTGAGATTTCAGTGCTGTTTGTTACCGTGGTTGGCTTGCCTGTCTCATATGCAAGGGAAGGCAACCATCATTAAGCAGAACATCTTCTTCTCCCCTAAAGGGAAATGAATGTCTAGACTCAATTTAACAGTGCATTCTACAACTGCCACACTCATAGTCTTGTAGCAAATATTGGGTGAGCACAGGAATCTTCTGGAGCAAGATTGTTAACATGTGAGTTACTTTTCAGGAGAAGTATTTCATGCAAACTCAAAGAATGTATTTGGATAACTCAGGAGGTGACCCACCCTACCCTACACATAAGTGAATTCAAATGGCTTGCCAGGTGTGCTTTTAGGAGTATTTTCCCAACTTTCTTCATCAGTTTTCCAGAATACTTAAAAATCCTCATTATGAGAATCATTAACCAGAGGGTTAGAAAACTACCTCAGAAAGTTCCTGTAAAAATACATGTACGTTACCTGGCAGAGGTACCAGATTAACCAATTCATACCTATTAGTAACATCTAGTGTCTCAGATTCTGAGAAGAACATACAATGTTAAAGAGATGACACAGCAGTGAGATGGAATTTTGATGGAGGCAGAGAGGGTGAGGAGAGATGAAAATGTTTAGAATGAGGGTACTTACCACGGGTAAGGAAGATCTGGTTGGGAGACTGTGATTCAGCTGCATTCTATCCCTCTAAGCATCTCTGAAGGAATTTAGAGATCTTGAAAAGTCTGTTTGGATTCAAGCCTAGAACTGATGTTAATATTAGTTGGGCTAATCTCAGCTCATTCCAAAAATGGTGGATTAGAAAAATAAATAATCATATGAAAAGTTTTTCCAAAATAACGTGTGTCATAGCCTGATACTCCTCCTCACCATGCTCTTTGTCATCTGGCTCCTCCAGCTTCAGCAGTTCAGCATCAACCTTCAGCTTCTGGAAAACACCTCTCAGATAAAGCTAAAAGAAAGAAAGAGGAAAAGTAGTACTCTATCCCCTGAACTCAGAACTGCGGATTTCAGGCACCTGTGAGTTGTTAGCCAGTAACTGATATGCTCTGTGGTCTTGAGTTTGGTGGTAACCTGTATGTATCTGTCTTGCTTACCCATGTAATAAAGCTTCTATTTTACATCAGCCCCCAGCCATCTTTTATTAGCTAACTACAGACTGTGAGCGCTTTGAAGGCAGAGACATCTTCAATTACTCCGTTGTCCTGACATACAGCACTTGGACCTGACAGGCAGTGAGGAAATGTTTACTTAATGAGCTAATCACTTATGAATCCTCACCTTTTATTTTCCTTCTTCACTGGGGGAGAGCCAGGCGACTACCTTCACTAAATGCTATTTCCCCACAAACATATTTCTCTGAAAGACAAATTCAGTGAAGCTGAGAGTCGAGAGTGATTGTAACACATTCCTCCTGACTTGATTTTTGCTGGATGTGCCAACTGATTTCCATTGGCTGCAGTCTGATTTTTTTTTTTTTGAGGTCTGTGGCATAGGTAGATGTTTGTTTTTCTGGCTAATGTGCATATTCATTTTGTGTTTGCCATGGAAAAGACTCCACCTAATCTTTAAGGTATAAATGTAGTATTCAGTTGTATGGAACTCACTAAAATGCTCTCTGGATTTTCTAAACCCTGTACCCCCAGGTTCTGTTGTGACCCTGTCTTCACTTCCTTCTTTGTAGGTCTTTTTCCTTATTCCATGTTCCTCAAGGCAGACTAGGGGAGTGTAGCAGACAGGACATGTTCAGCTGTGAGTGGGAAAAAAAACCCAATGAGAAGTGGTGTCAACAGTCTAGACATCATTATGTCAAATTGTAAGTTTGGAGATAGGGTAGTTGCAGGGTTGGTTCATCTGGAGTCTCAACCAAGTGCAGCACCTGGGTTATTCCCATCTTTCTGCCCTGCTATGCATAGCATATTTGCCTTTGTCCTCAGACTGACATCTTTCCGTGATTGCAGGAAAGCTGCAGTGGCTCCAGCCATCACTTCTTCACCAGCCATGCTGTGAGCAGAAAAATGGGCTTTCTTCTCACACATTTGCTTTTAAGAGTAAGAAAACTTTTTTTCAGGCTGGGTGAGGTGGCTTATGCCTGTAATCCCAGCACTTTGGGAGGCTGAGGTGAGTGGATCACCTGAGGTCAGGAGTTCGAGATCAGCCTGGCCAACATGGTGAAACCCTGTCTCTACTAAAAATACAAAAATTAGCCAGGCATGGTGCTGCGCGTGCCTATAGTCCCAGCTACTTGGGAGGCTGAGGCAGGAGAATTGCTTGAACCTGGGAGGCAGAGGTTGCAGTGAGCCAAGATTTTGCCACTGCACTCCAGCCTGGGCAACAGAGCAAGACACCATGTCAAAAAAAAAAAAAAAAAAAAAAAAAAGGAAAACTTTTTTCAGTAATCTCTCTACAGATCTCTTAATCTTATTGGCTCAAACTGGGCCACATGCCCACCCTTAAACCACTCACTAGAAGATAACGGGAATTACTACGATTAGCTTAGATTCATTAAGATTTATCCTTGGGAATGGGGAGGGTCCCTGCTCCCTTTGAAGCATAAAACTGGAGTTGTATTATCAAGGAAGAGGGGAGAGGAGGGCTGCTGCAGGAAGCAAAGGGGATATGATTGCAGGCTCCCTGGGAAAACTTTGACTTCAGCCAAAGGCCAGGGCAGCTCCCAGTGGGACCCTCTGCCTTACCATACCATGGTAACTTCTCTCCCTTGGGCTCAGTCACACTTGCAAGCCTGTTGTTGGGGGATGGTTTCAGGATTTAACTGTTCCACCACTGATCATCGGGCATTAGTTAGATTCTTATAAGGAACATGCAACCTAGATCCCTGCCCCCCGCAACCACGTACAGCTCACAGTAGAGTTCACACTGCTAGAGAATCTAATGCTGCCACCATCTGACAGGAGGTAAGGCCAGACATGGTGGCTCACACCTGTAATCCCAGCACTTTGGGAGGCCAAGGCAGGTGGATCACCTGAGGTCAGGAGTTTGAGAACGGCCTGGCCAACATGGCAAAACCTGTGTCTACTAAAAATACAAAAGTTGGCTAGGCGTGGTGGTGGAGGCCTGTATTCTTAGCTATCCAGGAGGCTGAGGCAGGAGAATTATGTGAACTCGGGAGGTGGAGGTTGCAGTGAGCCAAGATAATGTCATTGCACTCTAGCCCAGGTGACAGAGCAAGACTCCCTCAAAGAAAAAAAAAAAAAAAAAAGATGACAGGAGGTGAAGCTCAGGCCGTAATGCTCACTTGCCTGCTCACATCTTGTATGGCCTGGTTCCTAACAGGCCACGGACCAGTACTGGTCTGTGGCCCAGGGTTCGGGTGCCCTTGTTTTGCTTGCCTTACCAGTGGGATGACTTGCCTTACCAGTAGACATTAGGGCCCACCCCAAGCCTCAGGACTCCCCTAGGGGGCAGTTATAAGGTTTTCGTTTTTTTTTTTTACCAAAATTTTATTAAAACTTCAAGACAAGAACAGAAGTTAAAAAGTAGGAAATAAAAATCTTGTCTTCCCTTATGGAAATCCTACTCTTCAGAGATGCCACTTAAAATCTTGCTGTTTATCGTTCTAGACTTTATAATGGCAGGTTTTAAAAAAATATCATCAGGGTATACTTAGGGGAAGAGGCGACATCGTTGTAGTTAAATACCCTGGGCCTCTCTGAGTAATGGTTCCCTGGATTCTCTAATCCCACACTGTGCAAGCCACTGAGGGCCAGCCTAGACCTTAGCAATGCCCAGAACCAGACCAGAGGATATCTCTCTTGGACATCATACAGTGACTATTCAACTTCAAACACCACACAATGATGAGTTTTTCCAGGACATTCCACCCACTTTTTAAAATAAAACATATTAGTGTTATAAATCAATCGAATATGGTTCGTAATAGCAATAATGCCCTTGAAATCTGTTAATCTTGCCATTGAAAAACGGTATGCCACAGCATTTGCTGCCTTGGCTTCACCTTGGGGTATTAACTAACAAATCAGTTATTAGCCAGTGGTAATGACCAATTTTCGAGAGATGATTGCTTAAATATCGCCCACCTTGAAAAGAGGATTATTACTCAACCGAGAACTGAACTCTTATTTTCGACTCAGTAGAGCTAATGATCTTTTCTCACACCATTTTGTCTCCCTCCTCCAGGTCCCCCCACCCAACCCCCCTTGCCTCATCTTCTTTCTTCCTGGTATGAGGTGTGTGGGGATCACATGGTTACATAACTACTTCCCTCTCAGCCTCAGTGACTTGAGTCCAGGAAAAGTTCCATATTTAATATTTATTCACCAAGCAGCGGTGGATGAAGACAGATGGTAATGAAATCAGTCTTGCTGAGAGTGACCATAATGATAATAGATTCTTTATGATGTCCAGGAATTCTGGACTCTCAGTCTCTGCTTAAATGCATGTTGGCGCCAACTCTGTCATCTTAAGCCTTAGTATTCTTGTCATCCTCCTGACCTCTCCTAGACCAGAGCAGGCAGGCTGTGCTAAAGACATCAATCTGTCGTTCTCCTCATATAAATGCTTTAAACACCTATAGCCACAAATGACTCACCAGCAGAGATTTTTTCAGAAGAGGAAAAATGAGAAGATAAAATAAAGGCACCCCTGCAGCTCTAGTGGAAGGGCTGGCACTGGTGTTCGGGCTCGTTTTGCATGTGCTGCCTCTGTGCCTGTAACTGGTCCTGAACAGCCCAGGTTACCCATCTGGACTTGCTGGGGATTTCAGAATGCCTCCTCTCCAACATCACTTTGTTGGCCTGGAATGAAACTGGGAGAGAGGGTGGGATAGGGAAGAAAAAAGGGGAAAAGGGAGACATAAAACGAAGTAGAGTTGGCAAAGAGTCACGCTCCTGTCAAACGAGTAAACTCAGAACACTGATTGCACTAGAGACAGCAATGTCCTGGGTCAAGCAGAGCTTTTTTTCAAGCAATCTGGCAGCCCTTTTTAGTAATAGGAGGTAAATCATTCTGACGTTCCTTGCTATCCAAAGCATTAATCATGTTGAATTCCTTTGTTGTTCTGGGGTCTGGATCAACTGTAATTCTACAGGAATTCCATTGTAATCTAGTATTAATTAATCTCTGTGTTATATAGAGTGGTGCCAAAAACCTTTCTCTGCATTTGTTTGCTTGTACATCAGTTATTAGCTTTGTGAATACCTAACTCTAGCTGGGGAACAGTTACTCCTCTCTCTCGCTCTTTTTTTCCTCTCAGTCTTGGAAATTGTCATTTTCCTTGGGTAGGAACTAGGGCAGCTCACATATGAAGGAAGACCTTGCCTTGTTACACGAAAGCATTAGGAGGGGGTGGGAGGCAAAGATGGTGAGAGGGCTGGTTACAGTCCCCTTGTGGTTTCCACTCCAGCCCTGCCCTTCCCAGCTGTGTCACTTTTGGGCAACTTATCTAACCTCAGTTTCCTTATCTGTAAAGTAGACATTATAATTGTTCCTACTGCCCAGGATTTTTATGAAGATTAAACAACAACCAGCTCTTTCTTCGGTGACAACAAAGGCTGCCCAGGGAGTGGCTACGTTTGATGGGATGGTCTTCAGTCAGTGACGCTGCAGGAGTCTTCCTTCCAGGACGTAGGGTCTTGGGGTAGAACATCACTAGCGTTACTCCAACTTGAAGATTTTGAGTGTTTGCAGGAGAAACCATGTGTTACTGGCTCCAGGAAACACCTGCCTGCCTCTCAGCTCTTCCCAGAATATGCCTAAGCAATAATAGAGGGTCAGAGGCTGAGATTCTTGGTTTTTCAGTGGTAAATAATGAATGTTGCACCAGCTGCTGGCAGACTCTGAAATCTTCTGTTTTAAAATGCAGAAGGAAAAAGAAACACAATAAAAATATCCAATATGCATTTATCTGGTACATCATCTTTAAATAGCTCCCTTCAGATTGCAAAAAAGGTAACTCTATCCTCCTTCCTGGCTGGCTCTCTGCATCCTGCCACAAAACAGGGCTATTGGCCCTCGATTTTGACCTGGTATAAAAAGCAGTATATTTTTATGACCTGGTAACAGTCACATTTCTACACCATAAAATATTAAAGCAGGCATGACAGTGCCTTTAAGATCTTTGAGGCAGGTGCTATCAAAATGTGCCCCTTTATTATTTATTTATTTGACTCTTTTTGTATAGTGAGGCTTAAATGCTTTTCAGGCCAAATAATTAAATTCCATTATGGAGAGCGGGAATTGTTGGCAAAATATACTCACTCTCGCTATTAGACCCTTCAGTCCCCAGCGGAACTCCATGGAGGGGAGTAAAAAAAATCTGGCTTATATTTATATGTAAGATATGCAGTATGACATATTGGGCCCACAGGAGTGATGCTACATGAAAAAACAAATAGGGAGGGGACTGCTAGAGATCCTTCTCTCCTGGCCAGCAATCTCCTAGAGCAGGGGTCTGCCAACTATGGCTTGTGGGCCAAATCTGCCCATTGCCTGTTTTTGTACATCCTATAAGCTGAGTATGGTTTTGACAATTTAAATGGTTGAAAAAAAGTAACAGAGGAATAATATTTTGTGGCATGAGAAAACAAAATGAAATTAAAATTTAATTGTGCATAAAAAAGTTTGACTGGAACACAGCCACACCCATCATTTACATATTGCCTATGGTTGCATTTACATTCCTTCAAGTTGAGTGGTTGCCACAGAGAACGTAGGGCTGCAAAGCCAGAAATATTTACTGTCTGGCCCTTTACAGGAACAGCTTGCTGAACCCTGTTCTAGAGGAATTTGGACTTGGGCTCTGGAAAGGATAGCATGGGGGCTAGCCGAGTTCAAGATCCTTTATGCTGTTGATGCATTTGGATGTTGACTTTGATTTGATGAACCTGATTGTTTTTTGAAATGGACACATAGGCCGGTTAAGGGAAGAGGACAGGCATGCCCTAAAGTAGTTTTTGGATCCCATAACCCTCCCCTTCAAATGCAGCTCCTGGGATTGTATACTGGGTGACGTCCTTTCCCTCTCTCTGCAGTGTGTTTCTTTATATCTTTTCCGCCTCATCATCTCCATGACTGTTACCCACGGTTAAGGCATGACCATCTCCCCTGTTTTTGGGCAAAAGTCTGCAAACTGGTCTATTTCTATTCCATTTCAATAAGCAGTTGCTTCTCCACATAATAGTTGCAGCAATGTTTTAAGAAACAAAAACAGACCATATAACTTCCCTCAGATGGATGTGCTCCCTACTTTAGTCAAGATTCTGCTCAAATGACACCCCCAGGGAAGCCTTTCCTTGCCCACTCTTTCTAGAACAGCCCCCACCTCACTCCATCACTGTTTATGTTGTTACTTTTTTTTTCTTTTAAACTGTGTGCATAGCTCACTGCAGCCTAGGCTCAAGTGATTCTCCTGCCTCAGCCTCCTGAGTATCTGGGACTGCTGGCACATGCCACCATGCTTGGCTAATTAAAAAATTTTTTTGTAGACATAGGCTTTCACTTTGTTGCCCAGGCTGGTCTTGAACTTCTGGCTTCAAATGATCCTCCTGCCTCGGCCTCCCAAAATGCAGGGATTGCAGGCATAAGTCACCACACCCGACCTTGTTACTCCTTTTTATTGCTGTTCCAGCATTTGTTATCATCTTATATTATCTGAGTTGGTTCATTGGGTTACATTTGGTTTCCCCTGCCAGAATGGAAGCTCCATAAGAGTAGGTACCTCGACCATCTTATTCATTAGAGCATTTCCAACATCTCACGAGTTCTCAAGAAAAGGTTGTTAAGTGAGTAAATAAATGGATCAATCCTCCTGGCATAGGCCATGCAGTGTTGGCATCACCTTCTGCCTGTCTGCTTCTCCAGCGGTGTGTTAGCTTTTAAAATTTCTATATCCTTGCTCTCAAGGAGACCTGTGACTAGTAGGAGACACAGACATTAAACACTTCTTGGCATTTCACTTTCCTGCCATCTGCACCCTTCCTCCTGGATCCTGTTGTCTTTTAAGGCTAACCTGGTTATTTTCCATGAACCCACAGAAGGTTGAGAAAAGCTTCCTGTGTGTGGCAGACACTGTCAGGCTCCTTTTAGATCCCTTTGGATCCATTTCACTCTCCTTCCCCTGATTGCTTTTGCTTCTGTGACCTGCTCCAGTCACTCTCTTCAAAGGACACTTTTGGGCAACTGAAGTGGCTTACCCCCAAATCTCAGATAGGTGGAAATGCCTATGGGTTTATCCACCAGGGGCTGTTCTTGGTGAACAGCTGACTTGTGCAGAGGCATAAAATCCCAGCTTCCTTACCTCAAATGTAGACAAACTCTGAGGTACCCAACTTTCACTCCTGGGTTCTCTGTGGAGTTGGGTTGAAGCTGCTCTCCATGGGAAAAGGCCAGAAATCAAGCCTTTGCTCAGCTTCTCCCCCCTTCCTTCTTCTCCCTTACCAATTTCTCCCGGGAGCATTTCCTTAACAAATCTCTTGCCCACATGCCTTCCTCTCTGAGTCAGCTTCTGAGAAATCTCAGGTAACACACTCTGCTTTTGCATCATAGAGAGGCACATACACATTGAATCTAAAGAAAGTACATAATGGGAATATCAGCCACTGTGGCAGACCAGGGTTTAATATATTTTTTGGTTGGTGGGTGGAAGGCATGAGGCCTAAGACAGGAGGACTTTGAAGGGCCATGAAAATTGAATCATGTTGGTGATGTACTATTTTGATAATATGTTAGGCTTGTTCTTAGTAAAGGAATCGCATAAAAAGAGGAAGCTAGGAATGCCCTTATTTGAGCAATAAACGTTAAAAAGAAAATAAAAGTAGCATACATTTGGTTTTAGGGGATGGCAGAGCAGGAGTCATGGGGGGAGAAAGGATGATTTTACATTTAGGATGTTCTATGTCAAGGTCCATTCTAGCAGATGTGCTAAGCTCTCCTGTCATCATTACCGACATGCCAACAAATCTTTTCATCCTGCACATGCCGGCAGCTTATTTAAGATCATCGGGCCCAAAATGACATGGTTTTTGTCTTCCACCAGATGGTTCAATTAGTCAAGATTCTGAAAAAGCCAACTGGAACATTCTTTTAGCCCCATCTATTCAAGTCAGCCAACACTTCAAAGCTGGGTGGGTGGGGATTCTGAGAGCAACAGATTTCCCAGCCCCAAGGCATCAGGGTTATTACTTTTTGATGGGCTCCTGGAGGGCTGTAGGAGGCTGCCAATGCACTTTCTCCATTGGACAATGCCAACGCCAGAAGAAAATGGGGAGAAGAGCTTCCTTTCTGTTGGACTGTTTGGAGTGAACAACCTGTTAAGGACTTGTCATGGAAGAACACCTTTCCTGTTCTCCTGCCACAACACACTCCAAGTCACATAATCATGTTGATTTTGATTGTCTAGTATCTTGGTGCTACCTGGATACCTTTGCTTGAATGATACATGGAATTAGTTCCACAGTTCTTCCCTTGAAATTAGCATATTAATGTGGCAGATTGATAATGCTAGAAGGATGGATGCTTGAACACACAGGCTGCCTTCTTCCAAGGGCTCCGACTAGCAGCCCTGTTTTAGAGTGAACCTCAGCACATTGGCACGAAGTCACAGGGTTTAAAATGTAAAAGGCATCATCTAGATCATTTTTTCTGGAGGAAAATGAGGGCTTACATTGATGACATGAACTGATTCAAGGGAAGTTTGTTGGGCCCATATGCTAGAGACTGATGAAACAGAACAATTTTTATTACAATCTCATATTTTAAGGAGGCAACTTGGTGGTGGTGAGAAAAATGAGAAGAATCTGTGCTTTCTAGTCAATAGACATGGGTTCAAATCTTGGCTTTCCTACTGGGTATAATTTGGATCAAATGCTGAAACTCCCTGAGCATTAGTTTCTTCACTTTAAAAAACTGGGAGAGAAATAGCTCCTTTGCAGGGGAATTAAATTTTAAAAAATCTGTAGAAAGTGTTTAATACAAAGTCAGCCCGTAGCAAGGGCTACACAAATGTTCTCATTCCCTTTCTTCTCCCCAAAGACACAGAGCTAATTAATGGCAAATCTGGTTAATGGCAAATCTGGTCTCTAGTTCTTCTGACTTCTGGTTTGGTATTTCTTCTACATCATCTTTATTTGTTCCATGATTTCTAGTTATTCTGAACAATTTTATTCTTATGAGTATGTTGATGAATAGCATTGCCTGAATGTAAACATTTGAAAATTATGAAGTATAAAATGGGAATTAAACATTACTGTAAAACAGGACTCATATAGTCATATTTTCCAGGAGAAATGAGAAAGTGGGGTGGTTTATTTCAGATACAGAATAACAAAAATGATTGATAATGGTAAAATTGATATTATTTAATAAAGTCAACAAATATGTATTGAGCACTTGCATTAATTTGGCACTGGAGGTGACTCAGAGCTGATTGAAGCAGATATGGCAGATACGGTCCTGTGCTTAGCTTATGTAAGGGGGTGGGTGGGGTCAAGAAGGATTTGTTCTTTAAGTAAACCCTGACTCATTTTATTCCCTTTGAGCTGTGAAAGATACAGCTAAACAGAGGTAAAATAAAAGGAACCTCTAGTAGACACAGCTTGCAATCAGAATATGGGACTCACGAGAGATAGTAAAAGCTGAAAATGTAGTTTTTAAAAATATTTAGGAAAAGGCAGGGTGAGGTGGCTCACACCTGTAATCCCAGCTCTTTGGGAGGTTGAGGCAAGAGGATCCCTTGACCCAAGGAGGTTGAAATTACAGTGAGCTGTGATCATGCCACTGCATTCCAGCCTTGGGGACAGAGAAAGATTCTCTCTTTAAAACAAAAGTTAGGAAACAACTTTGATGATAGATAAGTAGCTGTAAGGTGAAAGAAGGATATTTTGGGGGATATTTCCAATCTTTGAGGATAGCGTTAAAGAAGACAGACCTGTTTTCATACTTCATTCTTTTAGCAATAGGTTGGAGTAATAATAGCTTCTGTTAGTGAACACTTACTAAGCACCAGGTGTTGTGCTGAGTGTTTCGAATGCATTATTTCAATCTTCACAAGATGGGATGGTAAGTTTTAATATAATCATTTTTACAGATAAGGGAAGTTGGAGTGCTAGGAGAGGTTGATAAAGTGACCCAAGGTTAGCCTCAAGGTTCAGATTCAGGCATTCTGACTCCAGAGCCCAGGACATTCACGTCTCAGCCCAGTTTTGAAGGAGACACACCTGGTAGGCTTAGTTAGCTCCGTGCTTCACAACCATGCACATTGGGCAATTACTGAATATCTCCGTGATTCAGTTCCCTCATCTGTAAAATGAGTTTTGTCCCAGGGTTGTGCTGAGGATCGAACGAGATAATATTAATGAAAGCCAAGTGGTGAATCTGCCAGGCAGGTAAGGTGATCAGCTGTCCCAGCCTTCCAGGGACTTTCCCATTTTTAAACTTTAAGTCTTGTAGCCTTGGAGACTCTTCAGTTGTGGGTAAATCAGCACAGCTGGTCACTTCCATGCAAGTCCCATTCCAACCTGCAGAATATCTGGGCAAAGCGATAATAGATTTTGGAGAACAGGAAGCAGCTCAAGGAGGCAAATGAATTTCAGCTGGTGTTTGAAGCGGCTGTCAACTCTTTTGGGTTGAAAGGCATCAGGGAAATTCTCCCTGATAAAGCCTGTGAGAAAAGTGGGGGAGTTAGGCAGAGTTTGGGAAACAGGATGGTTGCCAAGCCGTGGTGCTAATGCTTCGTGTCTGGAAGCCTCTGATGCACATTCTCTTCTGGGGTGCTCAGAGCCTAGGGGTGACTTACTGACTTAAAGGGGAGTTGGAGGGGGAGTCCAGGTGGCAAACTCAGCCCTTTGACATTTTGAGATACAGCTTTCCCCATTTCCCCTTTTATGGAACAGATTTTGGTGGATTTGAATCTGACTTTGCCACTGACTAACTGCATGATATTGGGAAGCTATTTCACCTCTTCCATCTTTAGTTACTGCATCCATAAAAAAGGAATGATGAGAATCCCAACCCCCTATGATGTGCTTAGGATTGAATAAGAAATTGTGCTTGGCATGAAGCACTCAATTGTTGGTTACTGCTGTTGCTACTACTATTACTAGTTCTACTTAAATTAATCTATTAGGGTAGCATTGTCAAATTTTGCAAAAAACGGTTTAGGCTTCCTGGTTAAATTTAATTTAGATAAACAATAAATATTTCTCAGGACAAGCTTATGCTAAAAATTATTCATTATCTTAAATTGAAATTTAACTACGTGTTCTGCGTTTTATCTGGCAGCCCTGTGTTACGTAAAATAACTATTCTGGTTATATCTCAGATTTGAGGGGTTTCCCAAGACCCAGGACTTTTAGTTTACAACTGGAATAGCCACAGACAAACAGGCATGATTGGTCACCCCATTAAGTCTGGTAGCTGTTTAGATGGTCACATTTGAAACTTAAATGATGGTAACAGGCACTCTAATGATACACACTCAACGTAAACATACACATGCAATGTTTTACACACATTTTCAGGAATTTCTTGGACTTTTTGAAGCCTATTCATGAGTTCCCGGTTAAGAACACAAGCTCCCCCAAATCATCCAGATTCCAAATACTTATTCTTCTGGCAAAACTTGTGACGATCTTATGAAGAGACTCAGGAAATAGGTGGTAAGGGATCTGTGGCCTACTAATCACTTCCAAACTGAGCTTTCAGTAGATTAGAACATTGATCAATAAAATGAAGATTAGAGCATATGTCTATGTAGCATAAAATGAGGCAGACTCTGTGTTGAAATTAATTCACTTAATTAATTCAGGCCTTCTAAATCCAATTTAAGGTCACAGTGATCTGGTTTGGCGGTTCGTATTGATTGAATTGACTGAACTTATTTACTATTCCACTATATGAAGAATTGAGGCAGGGCATGGACCTATCAGAGTCTGGGAGATATTACAGAAAAATTGAAAACTGTATATGCTTGCCTAGCTCTTTCTCTTTTTTTTGGTATTTATAAAATATAGTGAAATATACATACAAATGACTGAATGTAACAAATCAGGACAGTAAAAAGAGTGTTAATAAATAACCAACCACATATTCACTAACAGCTTAAAAACTAGAATATCATCAATAATTTTGAAGACACCTCTGTGCTGTTTATTGTCACTGTTGTACAGTGCTCCATTGAATACAGACATCCAACCTATTAACCATCATATCATTGATGGACATTTGAGTTGTTTCATGTTTTGTCTTTATTTTTCTGATTACAAACAATGCTATCAACATTCTCAACATGTTTTCCTGGTACACATGCATTGACAAGAGCTGCTCCAACATGTACATTTAGGAGCGGAATTGTTGGGTTGGAGAACAGATGTATTTTCTACTTGATGTTGATTGTTTTCCAAGGTGTTTATGGAAATTATAGCCCCACCAGCAGTGTAGGGGAGTTCCCATTGCTCCACATCCTCACCAGTGCTTGGTATGGTCAGGCTTGTTAGTTGCTGCCTATCTAGTAGATGTAAAATAGTATCTCACTGAGATTAAGCTTTTGTTCTTATTACTTATAAGGTTGAAAATCTTTTCATATGTTTATTGCTATTCATTGTTTCCTTTTGTGTGAAATGCTTGTTCATGTCTTTTGCTAATTTTCTCTTTTTTTTTTTGGTCTTCTGCTTAGCTTTTTTGCTTATATATGTAGCAAATATCTCTTTCCGGTTTGTGAATTTTCTTGCCACTCTCTATACAGAAGAATTTGTTAACTGCTTGTGCCTGTCATATTTATAATTACTTGTTCAGTGTCTGCCACTCTGAACTTCCTGTAAGCTCTATGAGGACAGATACTGAGTCTGTCTCTATCCCCAGAACTAATGCAGTGCCTGACCTACATAGTAGGTATTTGATAAGTATTAATCTAGAAATAAACCTGCATGTCAATGTATTGTATAATAGGGAGGGGTTCTTTTCTTTTTGGTTGTTGCAGTTTTTAAACTGCCATTTACAGAGGAAGGCAGAATAGGCTGGGTGGAAAATCTTTGTCATCTAAGCATGATGAAGACCATGGGATCTGGGGTACCATTGCTGCTTACTAGCTCTGTGACAATGAGCAATTAATTAACCTTTCTGTGCATCAGATCCTTCTTGGTAAAATGCTACCTATCTCATAGGATTGTTGAATTAACACATATAATATAAGGCACTTAGAGCAAAGCCTGGCACAAAGTGAGCACTACATTAGTGTTTGCCGTTATCATATTCCTGCTGAGTAAAAACCTTGCTGAGGTTTTCTGATTACAAGTTTGAGAATTGGAGTCAGAGAGTTCTAGTTTATTCTGCATGACAGAGGGGCAAAGATCTGAAATTATGGGGGCAAGCTTGGTGTTGGGTGGGGAAAGAGTTGGGTAGGATACTTTCTGGGGATGGGGTGCCTGAAAAGGGATTTTGAAAACAGGACTGTCAACTATGAATTAACACTAGCAGAAGCCTTCTAATTGGATGTGACAGGAGCAGTAGCATAGTTAATGAAAACAAAAGGTTAAATCAGGATATCATAAAAAACACATTTATATGTTTTATTTTAACCTGAGACACATAAAGTATGTGTTCTTTACTCATCATCTGACATCTGGCCAAGGTCTGTTTTCTGGCCAGTGTCTGCTATTGGAATTTCTTGCAGCAGGCACTCCATCCATAACACATTATCTACGAATTCTAGTTTTTACTTTTTTTTAACTGGAGCACCACCTTAAAAAAAACTTGAGAAGTAATCTCAGGACAGAATCCTTCCAGAGGTTTACTCCTATCCCCTTATCTTTTATAGTGATCCTTTTTCCCCAAAGATTGAACCTGACAGTAATTTCTCTCTAAGCCTGTTCAAAGCATTCAACTTCATTTTGATAGAAACGAGAGCTGTATTTTTGTACTCCTATTTTTGTCTGCTTGTTTATACTGAATTGAATTACATAATCACCAGACCAGCACAATTGCCACAAGCGAGTTGGGGCATTCAGACTGGGGCATCGGTTAAAAGCTGTACAAGGTCACGGGTAGCATGGATTCATCCAGTGGGTCAGTCAATAGAGGTCATTCAATGTGACTTCTCATGTAGCTTGCTGGAGGACACACACTGTCTTCTCTCTGAGATCTTCAGTTAAATCCTCATTGTTCAACATTAGCTCTCTGAGTGGATTCTTTGGGAGCAACCTGAGGAGGGGCTGAACTTTACATCTGGGTCCCTTTAGTGGATAGCAGAGATAATCTCCTGGACTTGGGAGCCAGGGAAAAGCAGGTAAGAGAGACTAAGCTCTTAGAAATTACAGAAATCTTGGGGGAGATGTAGGGCTTCCCCCATACCACAAGAAGTGGGAATTTAAGGCAATCCTCTTTAGATTTAAAGGGCCTGAGAAGACCCAGATGGCATTATAAAGAAATAAATGCTTAGATGTTAATTCAAAAGGAAATTCTCCTGTATCTTTTCATAGATGTTTGCATGTTATGAGAAGACCAGAGAGAGATGACTTTACAAGTTGCATTTTTCAGTGGGCAGTGGATTCTCTTGACAGGAGATCAGTAGTTAGGCCAAGTTTGTCTTCTTTGTTGTCTCTGTATGCCTGAGGCTCAGCTTAGGAGGGGTTTGGGGTGGGAGGAAGGAAGTGGGAGGCTTTGCCTATACAGAGTTGGGGGGCATCCTGCCTTGGGGTGTGAAACAATGCCTCTCTCATAAAGCAAGTGCCTTGCCATGTTTATGGAGCACCTGACAGTTTATAACCAAACTGTGATTCCAGGGCTGTCCACTTCACACCAAGTCTTAGTCACTTGTGAGGCAGGTATAATACCAGCTCTTGGGGGTACTAACAGCCTTGTAAAAAATGCAGATTTGATACTAGAAATTAAAACTGTGCTTTTTTATTTTTTAAAAAGCCCTACAAACTGAAGCTAGACAACTTTATATAAACTTTGGGAGAAATCATCACAGCAACTTACATGTAAACAACCTCCGTGCTTGTTGACGGATGGACTACTCAGAAAGTCCACTGTGTTGACCTAATGGAAGAAACTGAGGCAAAATTAATATAAGTAGAGAGTTTATTTGGGTCAAGTTTGAAGACTGCAGCCTGGAAGACATAAATTCAAGTTGCCCTGAATATATCCTCCAATTAGCAGCAGTTACAAGTGAGTTTTGAAATAAAAAAACAGGGACAGTTCTTAAGCTGTTTGTCAAGAATTTGCATTGGTTCATAAAAATAACATAAGCCATCAATTTGATGTTCATTGTTCTTTGTATCACAAATTCCAGGAACATGAAGATAGTGGGTGAGGGTCATGTTGTGCAACTTGTGGTGACATTTTAGGAAATTTATCAGCTAGTTTGGGAACTACAGGGAAAGAAAGAAAAAACAAAACGCCTTGAAACAATTACCCCTGGGCATGGCTGTGGGGGACCAGACTGAAGTCTCATGCTCCTGTCACTTTGGGCCTGATAAATTTTCCTTACAATCTTCAGACTGCTCTGAGACACATTTCTTTCTTAACTGGAACATCTGATTCAAACTACAATCCATGAAAGTCTGTCAGATTGTCACTGCCTGCCTATGGCAACTGAAGATGCTTCAGAAACTCTAGAAAAACTAGTTTATAGACTACAGTGATAGTCCTTTTTTGTGTCACTATCAAGGAATACCTGAGGCTGGGTAATTTACAAAGAAAAGAGGTTTATTTGGCTCATGGTTTTGCAGGCTGTAGAGGAAGCATGGCAGCAGGTTGCCTCAGCTTCTGGTGAAGTTCAGGAAGCTTCCAATCATGGCAGAGGCAAAGTGGGAGCAGACGCATCACATGGTGAGAGCAGGAACAAGAGAGAGAAGGGGGGGGCCCAGATTCTTTTACACAACCAGATCTCGTGTGAACTGAGTGAAAACTCGCCCATCACCAAGGGGATGGTGCTAAGCCATTCATGAGGATCCACCTCAACGGTCCAGTCACCTCCCTCCAGGCCCCACCTCCAACAATGAGGATCACATTTCAATGTGAGGGGACAGAGATCCAAATCATAGTAAGTACTCTGGACCTTCACCTTTGTTTTTCTTCTGTTTCCATAGAAAGGCATCTTATTAAAGATCTGTTTGCCTGCACTATATATAGAGGCCTAGCTTTGAGAGCCCCTCTGCAGCGCCATCTCCTGAAATGAGACATGACTGTTTAATTGAACTGACCTATTTCTAGAAACAGGAGACTGGTTTAATGGGATCCTTTGCCACTTGGCTATTAACTCAATTTTTCTCTGCACAGCCACTAACTCAGCTTTTAAAGTATGAAACTTCTAGGGAAGTTTCAGAAAGGTAATGTTGGGGTTCAGAAAATGATACCTTGAAGTCTGGACATGCTGAAAGGCCTTAGAAGTGGCCTCAGAGTCAATGTCCCTCTAACCTTGTCTGTCTCCCACCCCCAACCCCAACCAAATGAAGAAATACAATTGTCTTCCTCCCTTCCCTGAAATCTCATTATCTATCTCAGAAAAGAAGACTGAAGAATGCAACCACACTTGGATGGACTTTTTCAGAAGATAATGCCTGCCACTGGAGGCTCATTCAAATTTCAAAGAGAATCTATAGTTAATTTCTGTTCATTCATATTTCCTAATAATCATTTGCAGCTCCTCAAAAGAATTGTCTGAATTCTTCATCTCCTTCCTCCCCTATGAAAAAGAGTATATAAGCTTCTGAACCCCATTGGGTTATTCTGTACCCCATTGGGTAATTATTCTCTGTGCATGCATGTTACAGTGAAAATTTTTATGCCTTCTATCTACAAAAAAAAAGATTCAATAGAAGTGGTAGTGGAGGGAACCTCCATCCTTTCATAATACTTTAGAACACATGAATTTTTCAGATTAGTAAGGAGGGAGCAGAACCTGAAGCAAAGGGAACACGTGGCAGGTTTGACGGGGGACGGGGGTGTTCCTTGAAGGTTCAGAGTGAGTTTGCTTGAGACAGAATGTCACTGACTTCCAGAGCTGGCCATCAAAAGGGCAGCATGAATCGCTGGGTGCCTAGTCAGGAGGGTATGCCCTAATATATCAAAAAAGAGAATAACAAAAGGCTGAACAAAACCTTGGTCTTTACAATTTTTTTTTTTTTTCTGAGACGGAGTCTTGCTCTGTCGCCCAGGCTGGAATGCAGTGGCGCAATCTCAGCTCACTGCAACCTCCACTTCCCAGGTTCAAGTGATTCTCCTGTCTCAGCCTCCTGAGTAGCTGGGACTATAGGCATGCACCACCATGCCTGGCTAATTTTTGTATTTTTAGTAGAGACAGGGTTTCACCATGTTGGCCAGGCTAGTCTCGAATTCCTGACCTTGTGATCTGCCCACCTTGGCTTCTCAAAGTGCTGGGATTACAGGTGTGAGCCACCATGCCTGGCCCACAATTTTGTTCGATGGCTCTGGCCTGTTTCGCTCCCCTGGCTGATTTGCTTTTAGGCCAATATTTTCTTTCTGCTTGGCTCCTTCATGTTCTCTGGAACAGCTGACAACGGGCCCTGTGGAATTCCTTTCTTAGACACCTTACATCTATTGGCTTCTATCTTCCTTGAGTGCAGCGAAGCTCTGGTTCTTTCCTATTGGCAGTGAGGAGAAAATCAATATTTATATTGGATTTAGCAGAGTCTGGAACAGCCACGTGCTGGTGCTGTGTCCTTTGTTTTCTTTAATGTATGTTCTATAGATGAAATCACTGGGCAGATGTTGGTTTAGCTGGTTTCATTATCCAAGTTCTGAATTCCCGGGGGGCCTGGGCTGATTTCCATTAATTATTTTAACAGCTAACCCTTTGTCGAGTTCTTACTATGAACAGGTATTGAACTAGACAGTTTCTATCCATTATCTCATTGAATCCTCCCAACAGATCTGAGAAGCAAGTACTATTATTCTGAGGAAACTGAGGCTGCCTAAGGTTAAAAAAAGCCAATAAGTGGCAGAGCCGGGATCCGACCTTGGTTTGTCTGACTTTAAAGCTGGTGCTCTTGATGCCCACATGAAAACATTGCTTCTTGAGCAACCAGAGAAAACTACACTTTTCTTCTTACTTCTAGAGAGATCACAGGGTGTATCTTGACGTCCCATTCTGCAGACTTGCCTCAGATGAACTCTATTGTCAGCTAAGAAGCTATCAACTGGGCTTCTTCCAGTATGTGAGGAATGTGGGGATTGTTGCTCTGTGTCAGGATCACAGTGTCCAGGTCAGAGCAACAGAAACTTCCAAACATCCTGGGACTAAGGACACTCTAAAACTCAGGCTTCTGTAGGCCAAGGCCATGGCAGCCATAGGGCTGGGCCAAACAGGAATGGCCATCTCAGAAAACTCGCCCAGAAGTATTAAAAACAAAAAAACAAACCAGAGAAAAACCAAGGGAGAAAGAACTTTTTTTTTTTTTTTTTTTTTTTTTTAGTTGGAGTGCGGGGGTCGGGGTATGCATGTGACTTACTGGAGCACTTTCAAATTGTAGCAGTTCTCAATCTCATATGCTCAAGAAATATTGTAGTCTTTTTTCCTTAAAAACAATCCAAACCCCATTTCCCTGGTGAGCTAGAACTTCAGTCTTGCTTAGTCCAAGAGACCATCTTTTCCCCCATCCCCAGAAGGACTAAGGGTGTCTGCAATAGAGTCAAAGGGTTTGGGAGGGTCCCAGGTCATAGGCCATTAGTGAGCCTTGGATGCTGAGATACTCTTTAGCCCATTCTATGAGATGTGATTCCTGGCCTGCTGCTTTTGTGCCACAGTTGGAATAAGAAAATCACTGTCAAAGTAGAGAGCGACACAACCATTCCTTTCTGAAATCTTGCTATTTCTCTGGAACACAACCAGCCAGTCCCCTTGGTTCACTGCTGCTCAGAGTCCGAAATCCCTCTTGTCTTCTCTCTCAGCCTTTGGGAATATCCTCCTTAATCTTGAAAAAATTTATTTCTCTTCTTACTTTCATTAGAGGAATTTCCTCTAGTCTGCAACTCTACTTTCCTATCTCCTAGGGCTCCTGGCTTACTCTCTTCTGTAGGTTTAGATGAAGAATTGCAAATTTAAGTGCCTGAAGAGGCCAGATAGGAATGGAAGTGAGCACAGGAGCTTGGCAGGGGCTTGGAACATTAGAAAGCACTTGGTCCGTGTAAAGAGGCTGCTACTCATTCCTGGTGAACTGCTGTCAGCCATGCTGACCTGTGCTGCTGTGTCTTCTGATTTTCCAAGAAAAGTCAGAAATCCAGTTTTTTAAAATGAGTGATCTCTTTTGGATTAAATGTTGGCTTACGCATTTAAAATTACTCTGTGTAGGGCAAAGTAAAATACCCACGGGCTGCCATGTTGCCACCATGACCAGTGCAGCCTTTTGAAAACAAAAGCCAGGGAAGAAAGTGTTTTACAGTTTACAAAGCTTCCCTTAGGCAAGAAAGCACAGGGCTCAGTCCATGATTGGACACAGGAAAAAGGAAAGAGAAAAAAACAGGAAGGAAAAACACATCAGTGAATTTCTCACAACCATCCTGTTTAAAAACACACTGCTTTCACTCACACTGTCTGCATTCCTGAAAAGAAAGCTTCTTTAGGTTTTATGCTTTGCTTTTCTCAAATTGGTTGCTTGGGGATTAAGAAATTAAGTTACTTTGGTTCAACATAAATTGCACACAGAAGTCTTGTTCTTACATGATTTTGTCTTATGAGCATAGAATTTATACCTGTTGGATGCTGAAGCCAACATTATGTTTTGCATTGCTGGAGTCAAGGCTTAGTGGAATTTGTTTGTTCACACTCAGTTTTTGATGCAGATTTTCCTCATTTGATTTTTTAGAAACCACTCCCAACTCTAGAGAGAAACTTCACAGGGATGTGCCAGTGATACAGATGACAAGTGTAGAAGACTATATATACAGCCAGTTTCCACTTCTACTATTAATAATATGCATTATATCTATTGAACACTCTAAGTACAGGTTAATTTGGTTGAAAGTGATACATACCTAATTCAGACTGGCTTAAGTAGAGAAGAAGTTTCTATAGAAAAGTGCAAACTGTCTCTCTCCAGTGGTATGTTTCAGGAGTGACATGGTCCAAGGGCTCAGCTGATGTCATGAGGACCTGCTTTCTCTTCATTTCTCAGCTGTGTCTCTTGCACGCTGGCTTCATTCCCAGGTTCCTGGTGATGGCCCTGGAAGCTCTAGACTCAAATTCTCCTTACTGCTAGCAGACCCAGGGGAAAACATGATGCTTTTCTCTCATCACTCTCAGAAAAAGCCTCTTTGGTGCTGATTAGATTACAAGCCCAGCCTTGAACCAATTGTTTAGCTTGAAGAATGCAGCTTTTTGATTGGCCAAGGTTACATTAGTGCTCAGCAACCCCTTCCTGTTGGAGCCTGGAGTGGAAGCAACTTTCCCCAAAGCTCATGGACTGAGAATGGGAGGCTCCAGAGCAAAGTTGGGATACTATCACTTGGAGAAGGATGTATAGATATTAGGGGGAAAATAATAGATCTCTATGCTAAGCACATAGAGTGGTAAATATATGGTTTCACCATCATACCCCAAATACATTGAATTAGCTTCAGAACTCCTAACTAATATACTGATGGTGAATGATATTAACTCCATATAGCACACATGTGGTGTTTGGGAGTCTACTGTGAGGGAGAAAGTTGAATATCTTATGTAGAAGACTCTGGTTATATCTGGGATGATATGGAGATGGGAGCAGTAAATCATCAGGTGTTGTGTCTTGTCTAAACAATAAAACTAAAAGCTCCATGAAGGTAAGAACCATGTGTTATCCTGCCTGGTTTTCCTCACAGGCCCGGGCTCCACAAATAAGGCACCTATGAAATATTTAATGGAAATCAGTATATTGAAGAGATACCTGCATTTCCATGTTTGTGGCACCACTGTTCACAATAGCTAAGATTTGGAAGCAACCTAAGTGTCCAACGGATAAGTGGACAAAGAAAATGTGGTACATATACACAATGGGGTACTATTCAACCACAAAAATGATTGAGATACTGTCATTTGCAACAACACAGATGGAACTGGAAATCATTATGTTAAGTGAAATAAGCAAAGCACAGAAAGACAAACATCACATGTTCTCACTTACTTGTGGGATCTAAAAATTAAAACAATTGAACTCATGGACGTAGAGAACAGAAGGTTGGTTACCAGGGGAAGGGGTGTGAAGGGGTTGAAGGGGAGGTAGGGATGGCTAATGAGTACAAAAAGTAGTTAGAATAAGACAGCATTTGCTAGACAGGGAGACTATAGTCAACAATAATTTAATTGTACATTTTGAGATAACTAAAAGTGTAATTGGATTGTAGCACAAAAAGGATAAATGCTCGAGGGGATAGATACCCCATTTTCCATGATATGATTATTATGCATTGCATGCCTGTATCAAAACATCTCATGTGCCCTATAAATACATACATTTACTGTGTACCCACAAATTTAAAAATTAAAAAAATTTAATGGTTTGAATAATTGAGGAATTGATGACACAAAGGGAAATAACAGCTATCATTTACAGAATAGTATGTCCCAGCCCCAGTCAGACTTGACTTTAAATCCTGGCTGTAGCAGCAAATGACTCAATTATCCCAAACATCATCTGTAAAATGGGACTAACAGCCATATATGTGCTAGGTCGTTGGGAGGCATAAATGTGGTATAGAAGGCTCTTGACACTGTTGGCACTCAATAAATACTGGCTGTTATTATTTTTATTTTATTTTAAGTGATAAGCACTTTTTTATACTATCATATTTCATTCTTCCATCAAACCTGTGAGAAAAATACTGTTTTCATCTCTGTTTAAGAAGTGGAACTGAATTTTGACCCCAATTTTTCCTGCCTCTGAATTTCATGTCCCTAATTACTATTCTGTCCTGCCTTCCTATCCTTTAATGTACCAACTGGGAAGACACGAGTTCACTCACAGCCTGAGTTCCTGTTTCTGTGTGTGGGTGTGGTGGGGGGTAAGGCAGACCACTGGGAATGTGGGAATGGGGGAAGAAACCAAAGAACCCCTTGCCTTTTGTGATTTAGTTATTTTTTTCCACACAGAGCAGTTCTGCAGAATCCCAACACTGGAGGCTTAGCTAACAAATGCAAATTACTGTGCAACATAAGACCATTCTTCAGTTAGATCAAAGCCTTTGGCCTCGACCATCTAGATGGGGACCTGTGTCTGGTTCATCTCAAAGTGGTGATTCCTGACTCCAGGGTGATTGTGGCTACCTAGTCCTCTTCCCAGTCATGGGCAGCCAGGGAAGGATTTCATTCAACAGTTACATATCCCTTACACAGTTCTGGGCACTGTTCTAAGCACTTTACAAATGTTACCTCATTTAATCTTCTCGGCTCCCTTGAGGTAGACCATCATCTGTGCTTTCATCATAAATCCAAAATGCAGAAGCACCTGAAGGGTACGTACTGTCTTCCAAATACTGTTCTAAGTGTGTCAAATACAAAAGCCCACAAGGTAGATCCTATTATTATTATTATCATTCCTATTTCACAAGTGAGGAGACCTAAGTATGGGAAGATGAAGAAGCTTGCCCCAATGTCACCCAGATAGTAACTGATAGTTCTGAGATTTGAACCCAAGCAGTCTGGCCTTAGAAACCACACTTGTCTACTAACTACCCCAGCTGTCAGCACCCATTCCTCCATTTCTTAAAAATAGTTAACTCTTTTTGGTTTGTGAAACTTTAAGAAAATACAGTAGCTCTGCTTAATGTGAATGTGTTGATTCTCAAACTCATTGACTGAATTTTCTAGAATAGTTAGATAACTAAGAAAGCAGGAAGCACTGAAGCGTGTTGAGTTTGGACTTAGACAGTTATGAGCCACCTACTAGCTGTATGCTCTTGGACGAGTTATGTTACTTCTTTAAATCTCAGTTTATTCATCAGTGAAATGGAATAATATGCTTACCTCATGGGGTGCGGTGAGGATTCAATGAGAAAACCATATGAAGACCTCAGACAGTGCCTAGAGAATGAGGAAACACACCAATAATTAGATTTTAAAAAATTATTATAGACAATTATTTTGCCATAATAGGGATTGTCTTAGTGCAGGTATCCTATTAAACATGCTCTATGAGCATCTTTTTTTTTTTTCTTTTTTTTTTTGAGACGGAGTCTCACTCTTGTCACCTAGGCTGGAGTGCAATGGTGCGATCTCAGCTCACTGCAACCTTTGCCTCCTCGGTTCAAGGGATTCTCCTGCCTCAGCCTTCTGAGTAGCTGGGATTCCAGGTGCCTGCCACCATGCCCGGCTAGTTTTTGTGTTTTTAGTAGAGACAGGGTTTCACCATGTTGGCCGGGCTGGTCTCAAACTCCTGACCTCAGGTGATCCACCCGCCTTGGCCTCCCAAAGTGCTAGGATTACAGGCGTTAGTCACCGTGCCCGGCCTATGAGCACCATTTTTTAATCACCTTCATTTTGTAATTAATGACTGGATTGTTTTATCTGATGAATGACAGTCTCTTTCACTGAACTATAAACTTCACTGGACTGTGAACACCATGTATGTATTTATATCATCCAGTCTTCATGCCAGGGCCTTATTTGGTACCTGGGTGTCCCGAGGGAATATTTTGTGTTCCGTAATGAACAAAGATTGGACATTTTACAATATAAAACATTTTAAGGATAACTCTGGATATAGGAACATTAGTTTACAAAATCAAATTGGGGATTAATTCTGTGCCATTTGGAATCAATATCATCTGATGGGTGTTTTTCTGCTCCAGGTTTGGTTCTGGACTGACTGGATTTTACATCAGTGTCTCTCAGACCACATCTTCCCCCTATTTGCATTTGACCTTCCTCTTTGTCTGGGGGACCCCATCTGAAAAGTCCCCCCCAGCAGTGGCCCATGCTGTATTTCACCAAAAAAGATCTGTATTTAGAAGGAACATTTACACGTTATTGGTGTCTCTCTGAGAGCGTAAGGTGCTTACCATATAGCTTGGCACAGTTTTCATTAAAGAGAAGAACAAAGAGAGGCAAAACATGAGGAAATTACTAAATTCCAACATGAAACTGAGAAGATATGCCCCTACACTTGCCCTCATAAACATTAAGCATTTTTTTATGGTGACATTTTTAGCCCATTCTGAAATGTATTGATTTGTTTCCTGTGAGTCATTGTCTGTTTCTGCTTTCTATGTTAAAAAACATATTAAATATCAATGTGATGATATAAATATATACGTGTGGGTGGATGGGCGGGTGAAAGGAATTTTCTTTCAAATTCTAAGAAGGGAAATAGCTTTTTCATAGGTTCCCACATCATCCATCAACTCATCACATCCTCAGTCTACTGCATTTCCCCCCTCGACACAAAACTGAATAATCACTCTGGTTTTAAAGCTTGAGAGAAAAAGTTTCAGAAGGTTCTGGAGATGGCCTGTTATTTGGGAGACAGCTGAAGTTTTTGTAGCTCTAATTCTGGGTTGAGGGGACGTCCAGCCGCTATCTCCATTTTGAGCAGTAGAGGGCAGACGTCTCCACTCCCGCCTGCCCAAGATCACCCCGGCAACTTTATGTTTATGCAAACAGCCTTTGACATAATAGCTTTGAAACAGCTGAAAATTGAATTGTGCCTTGAGGCCAAACATCTAGACCACCACCTTTGTTATATTCATCTGCCACAGTAAATTGGGTTCACCATTGGCTCTGGGAGCTGCTTTTTCCTCGATTCTAGTCCCACATAACTTTGCGCAGGAGAAAGACAAATGCGACTTCCTCACACAAAACGTTGGCAGGGTTTCATTTCACAAACTCTTATCTGAGGGGCTGGAGATTGCTGTGTGGATTTCTCCAGCCAACTGAAGAAAATAAAGGGGAAACTGGAAAGCTAAACCAAATCCATCTAATTCTGGAATATCTCTGTGGGTTTCCATAGCTTTTTAGCTTCTCCACTTAATCTAATTAGGACTTTGCCTCCCGAAATAAATACCTAATAAAGAATGAACCTATTAAAAGACTAAATTTACTACACACACGTTTGTGCGAACCCTCTGCCTGTTTCCTTGAAGCGGTAATGCCGATGAAATTGAACGTTGTTTGACTGGGTAATGGTCTCCCGCTGTAAGACGGATTATAGAAAATAAACATGGATGGGGGGGTGGGGGGCGGGGAAGCCAGCCGCTTTATTGAATTCCGCTGATGATAATGCCATCACCTGAAATCGCTGCCTGAAAAGAGTGTCAATGGGGGAGAAGCAGCAGCAGCAGCCAGAGCCAATTTGCAACTGGGTAACAGTTCATTTTAGAAGTAATTTTATTCTGTTTTGGGTTCACTGCCCTGGTTTGGGGGGTTAACAGAAAGTAGATTTTTAAAAGAAATCTGATTGTGGGCCTCATGGATGCTTTTCAAAGGAGGGCATTTAGGCATTGACTAATTGATTGGTTCATTTGTTTATCAATAAATATTTCATAAAGGCCTACTCTGTGTGAGGCGCTAGTTAGGAGCTGGGGATTTGATAATGAGCAAAGCAGGTTTGCCATCACTCTACTAAAACTTAGAGTCAGCGCAGGAGGTAGAATTCATTCATTAGCAAATATTTATTAAGCACTCACTTTGGATCAGGCTTATAATCAGAAAATAACTATACAATTACAACCTGGATGAGTATTATGAAGGCTCGGCAGTGAGGTTGCTGGACTGGATGTCCACTATTTCTTTGAAGAACAGTTTTAAGGAAAATCATGTAATATCAAACAGACCCTCAGATCAGTATGGAGGTCAGAAGATTACAGAGTTTATTAGCATGTTTGTGAGTTCACTTAATGGGTTCAAATTCAATTACCAAACTTCTCTGGACCTCAGTTTCCTTATCTTGATAGAAGTTTCTAGTAATTCCTGTCCAATTTGCCCAATAGGATTGACGTTTGAGTAAAATGAGAGACTAGGCATGAAAGTGCTTTGTAGTTGTTGAAAATAAGAGAAATTATTATTAACGGCACGTGCTCTTCTAGGGTGTACCCACAGGATCTTACAATATTCTTGGGTAGACAAGAGGAATACAGGTTGATCAATGGTGAGTAATTCAAACAGTTTAGGGAAAGTGGTAAAGTATATGGCACAGAAGATATGTTGAATGAGGTCAGGGAGAAGTCAGGCCTGGAAAAATGGATGGGGTTTAGAAAGAGAAGAGCAGAAGTCTGAAGCCAGTTTGCATTTGGGGCTCATGGGATGCTGGTGTTCACACTGGCAGTTGGAACACACAGCTCAAGTTTAGAGTGGTGCCACAGGCACCGCCTATGATGGGAACTGATGGGAACATTCACATTTTACCCCACTTTCCTGAAAAGACAATGCTTAAAACCAGAACTTCTTAAACCTGTGTAATATATGGACTTTTTTTTTCTTTTTCTTTTTATTCGACACATAATTATTGTACATATCTATGGGATAGAGAGTGATATTTTCACACATGTATACAATGTATAATGATCAAATCAGGGTAATTAGCATAGTCATCATCTCAAACATTTATCATTTGTGTTGTGAACATTCAGAATCCTCTCTTCCAGTTTTCTTAAAATATACACTAAATTATAGCTAACCGCATTCACCCTATATTGTAGCAGAATATGGAAACTCTTTCCTTCTATGCAGTTTTGTGTCTATTAACTAGCATCTCCCTATCCTCCCCTCTCCCCCTCCTTCCCAGCCTCTAAAAACCACAGTTCTACTCTCTGCTTCTATAAGCATATTTTTAAAAAGTTTCCATGTAGGAGGGAGAACATGTGGTATTTGTCTTCTCGTGCCTGACACTTCACTTAACATATTGTCCGCTAGGCTCATACATGTTGCCACAAATAACAGGATTTTATTCTTTTTTATGGCTAAATTGTATTCCACTCTCTGTATATACCATATTTTCTTTCTTTTTCCTTTTTTTGAGGTTGGAAATGGAAACATTTTATTGTGGGATATACATACCACTATTACTGTTATGAAGACTTTTTTACGTAGTGACACCTTGTATTATGGAATCTATATAGTTCTATACTATAATCAAGACATTTATACAAAGTGACACTTTGAGATATGGTTGGCCCCTTTAGCTGGATACCAATGAAGACTGGCATCCACACATTCACAGGCATGTTTATTCTTCATCCTAGTGTTAGGGTTTCTGTTTATTCCGCTTGTACTTCCCTTGGCAGACAGCGATTACATTTTACCTCAGCACCATCTTGTCAGTGCCAAAGAACTTGCATTTGCCAAGGAATCAATCTCCTGGGATGCAATGTCATGAAGTGGAATGGTATAGTCTATTCGATAAAGTCATCATTTTTTTGCATTTCCTTGACAGTTTAATTTTTACCACTTTTATATCACGTGTTTTCACCAGAATTTTGCCATGTTACATAACCACAGGCAACCCAGGCTAAATGTTGACCTGGCTTCATGTTTTGGAGATACATTTCTCAAAATGTCTGGAATATTTTGTGCTTCTAGTGATTCCTTCATGGACTTGAGTTTTTGATCAGATGTGTTGTTTTCTTTATCTGGGCTCTTTCCATTTCTCCTTCACATGTGATGTTGATTTCTGGTACAGTATCTTGTCCCACTGCAGGGTAAGGCGATTCAGCTATGCAGTTCACTGCAATTTGTTTTAGAATAACTTATTCCACAGAACATTTGAGGTGATACTTATGTCCTTTTCCTGGGATATCCTCCGTGCTGGTTTGTTTGACTGTCTCCCTCAGAAATACCTTGTGGGGTGTCCCTTGCTGGTAGTTGAGGCAGATCACTGCCACCGAGGCTGCCTTGGAGGCTGGGTCATGGGTTCATGAAATTTCTATTCTTGGTTAGCAGTGACCATGAGTCTGCTCAGGCTTAAGGGGACCAGTAGCCTCCTACCCTGCTTGCTCCCAGGTTGCTGAGGCAGAAAAACTGTCATGCCTGGCTTGGGCTGGGTGTGGGAAGGATCACCCTTTTTTGTTTTGTTTTGTTTTTAAATATATGGCCCCTTTTTAAAGGAAAAGTATTATCTCGACTCCAGAGAAGACAACTGCCTCTTAGTTAAGAAACTTTCCACTGCAAATTGTCAGTGCTAAGGAGAAGTTTTGGCGTTACAGTCGCTGGAACTTTTTCTTTTCCTCCTTTTAAAATTATCGCTGAAGTAAGAATACATGATGAAAAAATCTTCTTGAAACTCTCAGGTCCTGGAGAAAGTGTATACAGAGTCCTCAGGACAAACATGGGGCTCAGTGTGAGAAGCACCACCTTAAACAAAGGCAAGTTTATGCATGTGATTTTAGAGTGCTGTTTCCGGTCCTCTGGAGAGAGATTTTGGGCCTTTCACGGTCTTTTAAATTAAGCACTGCAGCAGTCTCCCTACACACAGGGTCTCAGTTCCCCACTCACTTCCCCATTTCTCCATTATGTTTCTTTAGACAGCCAAGCAGCAATTTCTTTGATGACTGATGCTGGTGCCCCTCACTGGCCCTCATCCTATCTCCTTGTGACGACTCTTACTGAAGATGGACCTCAACCCCCGTTGAGAGGCGTGGTGGTGCCAGATTCACAGACCTGTTTTATATTTTGCCAAAAGAGAACTAGCTCATTTAGAAGGCTCCTGTGCTGTCTCAGAGGGTTGCCTCCACTGTCTGCCTCAGGCTTAACTAACATCCCCCCAAGCTTCATGGAGAAATCCAGTAAGAAGAGACGGCCATTTTGAGAAAATTATTTAGATTCTGGGCATGGAATCGGTAAGCTCAAGAGAGCATCTTCATCTTTGTGCGATTTTGATTGTGGCAAACCGTTCTTGCTCATGCCTTAGAATGTGTTTATCTTGGGCATCAGGAGAAGAAAAAGTGATAGAAACAGGCAAAGGTAGATCATAAAAAACAAAGGAAAAGAAGAGGTACACAACACGGTAGAAAAGAGATCAAGCCTGTAATCTCATCACTGCAGGTGGAGGTGGGAGGATTGTCTGAGCCAAGGAGTTCCAGACCAGCCTGGGCAGCATGGTGAAATCCCATCTTTACAAAAAAAAAAAAAAAAAAAAAAAAATAGCTGGATGTGGCGGTGCAGGTCTGTGGTCCCAGCTACTTGGGAGGTGGGAGGATCACTTGAGCCTAGTAGGTCAAGCTGCAGTGAGCTGAGACTGCATCACTGCACTCCAGCCTGGGTGACAAAGCAAGAGACCCTGTCTCAAAAAAAAAAAAAAGAAGAAGAAAGATATATCCACATGGTGCCATCAAAGACTTTGAGCAGTGGGACTAGTATGTTGGGCACCTACTGTCCACCAGCTGATTAACAGTGTACTCTGCAGTGTAATGGGGAGGAATCTTCACCCAAAAAATCAGCTATGTAATTCAACTGTAAGTCCTGCATTCCGATGGCTAGAGGAAAACATGACCCTCTGGGAGTTTAACTTTCCCTGCTGTGCCCCACCCCCTCACCTCCAACAGGGATTTCCCAAGATTCTAGACTTTTTCTTAGAGTCAGCTAGAAGTGTCCCCATTGGTTCATAGAGGTCAGCTCTCACTGCTTCTGTTGGCCCTTTAGTTGCTGGTTCTTGGGGTTTAGGACTCTTTGGGAGTCCCTGCATCCTGGGTTAAGACTCCCTTAGCCTGCCAGATATTTAGCCCGTGAGCTTTGCTGTTGGTGTTGCCAAAATGTCATCTCTTTCTGCTTACAAAAACTTTCCTCTTTCCTGATCACTCTCTTATTACCCTCAAACGCACACCTTCTCCTTCCCGTTGAGTCTCCTGCTCCAATCTCTTCAAAGTGCTGAGGCTTTACAAAAGTTGGAAAGAACCATTGACTTAAGCAGCTTGTGCTTTCTATCCTGCAAAACACCCTCAGGCAAGGAGTTATTAAGGGTCACAATACATATTTGGGAAAGAGAAATAGGGAAAAATAAAGCAGAATACTAATTAATATCTTAAAAATTTTCCTGCCTGGTGATACTACTCACATCCTGCAGGTCTAAACCTACCTTCGGGACCCTTTTAGAATATGATGAGAGGGTTTGAATATTTGTCTGATTTTCTTGCAGCTCATTAAAAAATATCTTTTGAATAGGTAGTACATGCCCATGGTTCAGAATTCAAAAAGTACAAATACATATATAGTAGAAAGTCTCTCTCCCACCCTTATTCCCCAACCACTCATTTCTCTCCACAGGTGACCACTATTATCTGTTTCTCAATTTTTCTGCCAGAAATATTTCCTGATACATAATCATATATGAATATATCATTTTGCACCTGTTTGGCTTAATATATATATTTGAACTTTTGTCTACATAATTACATAGAGCTACCTCTTTAATTTTAGTAACTTTGTAATATATTCTATTATATATATTTACCATAATTTTTTTTTTTTTTACCAGCCCTCTGTTGATAGACATTCAGATTGTTTCATCTTTTCTGTGAAAAGCAGTGATACAATGGTAATCCCGGCTATTGTACACATGTGTAGGTAAATTTCAGCATGAATCATTAGAAGTTTAGGTATTGGGTTAAAGGATATGTGCATTTTAAATTTTGATAAATATTGCCAGATTGCCTTTCTCAGAGATTAAATCAATTTACATTTCCATCAATAAGGTATAAGAATACCTATTTTCTCCACCTTCAATACAAGTGGCTACAAGTTTTTTTTTGGTCTTTGTCAATCTGATCAGTGAAAGATGGTATTTCAGTATAGTTTTGAATGTTCATTTCTCTTATTATAAGGAAATTGAGTAAATTTAATATGTCCATAAGCCGCTTTAGTTACTTGTGAAGAATCTATGTCCTTGGCAATTTTTCCTTCTGTAGTTGGGCTTTTTCTTATTGATTTTTAGGAACTCTTTGTATATTAATAAAAATACCCTTTGATCTATAATATGCATTGCCACCTAGTTTCCTCCAGTTTGTTATTTATCTTTGTTTCTTCTTCCAGTATTTTCTTTTATGTAGAATTTTGTGGGGTAAAATTCATCTTTACTTCATTCTGGCATCTGAATTTTGTGTTACACACAGACATACTTTCTCCATGATAAAATTATAACATTTCCCCCCAAGTTTTCTACTAGAACCTTTATGGCCACATATTTTCTGGTTTAATCTTTGATTAATCTGAACTACTTTTAGGTATAGGGAGTGATTTGGGAATTAAACATTATTTATTTTCCCAGACGATTACTTAGTTTTCCCAATGCCATTTTACTCATTTTGCAGTTCTTTAAAAATTTTTTGCATGTATGTTTTTTCTGAATTCTGCTTCTAGAGTCTGAGTGGGCATAGTTGGTAGGTAGTATGAATATCCCGGGCACACAAGTAATGAATGGCTGCCATTGAAGAGTCTAGAAATGAGTCTCATGGGCAGGGGCAGGGGAGGAGTCTATTTTCACTTCGTAACCCCTTTCATGGACGTTTACAGCCTTGAGAAGAATGGGTTGGCTTTAGATTTAACACCCTTGGGGCTAAACCTTGGCAGCAAAGGAAAACCTAGTTAGAATTGATAGTAAATAAGGTATAACGAGCCCATGTTAAATATATACTTTGCTATCATGTGGGAAGACCATTTGGTTTATAATGGCCTTTTTTTCCTACCATAAATTATTTCCCAATATTTCTAAAGGAATTTTTTTTTCACAAAAATATCTCAGAGAGGTGATTTTTATCTCTGGAGGCACTCATTCTGAACTGTTTCCTTTTTGTTTTTCTCCATAGAGTGATTTACTAGTTGCATTTTTTCCATAGTCGTCTCTGTTATACTGAAATCCTTTGTCCTATGTCACAGTCACAAATCATTTATCTTGGTTATTTTGGGGAAAAAGATACTTTCCAATAAGACACTATCATTCCACTGGACACTCCCCACATTGCCCTTGTCTCTCCCCGAGCCTATGTCTTCTTGAGACTCTTGGATCATCAATCAATTTCTGACTGGCCAGGTTATTGAGGCAAACCTTCTCCTGGTATTTTTGGTTGGGTTGAGCAGGCATTTGGCACTGTGTGGACACAGTAAAAGCATCTCTCAACAGATAATAATCAGATCTTCAGGAAGAATGCCTTGCTCTTAAGTCTTTAGATGAAAATATGTGTGACAAGGGAACCATCTGAGATAAATATTTGTTAGGAACTCTCACTTGGGAAGAGTGCATACTCTTGAAGTCAGTGGTTGTAAAAATGAATGAGTAGGAAAAGCACCCGGGGAACTTGTTAACCAGGCAGAGTGCTGGACTCCACCCTTGGGGTTTATGCAGTCTTAAGTCTTGGATAATTCCTAGGCATTTTTATGTGAACAAACTCCTCAGATGATTTTGATGTAAATTGTCCACAGAGGATACTTTGAGGTTCTCAATGAAAAGACTTTTATTTGGCAGTGCCCGTTTTCAGCAGAAGTAGAGTGAAGACCAGATTGGACTTTGGAGTTGCTCCTTTGTGCTCTGTGCATGCTCTCTTCTTGGTCTGGGGTCTCCTTTTGCCCTCAGTTGTACATCCTCACCCCAAATACCTTAGGCCACTACTTGGCAGTTTGTCTTTGGGCCTCTGATGCTTGCCATGGCCCTTCTCCTGATGAATGTGGACTGCCTTGTTTTTCAACACCTGAGAGCCCAGATAAGAATCTGAATGGTTAATTCTAGTGAACGCATCATTTCATATGTAATCAGTATTCTTTGAGTCCCCAACATGTGTTAAAATAATTATCCTTCATGTCTGTTTGCTAGGTGCTGGGGATAAGAAGATGAAGCATATAGCTTCTACCTTAAAGGTAGTCATGGTCTGGAGCTGGGATTTGCAAACTTTAAAATAAAGGCTAAAATTATAAAGCTTTGTGAGCTATATGGTTCTCTGTTATAACTACTAAACTCTACCACACAAGTGTGAAAGCAACCATAAAAATATGTAGACAAATGAGTATGGCTGTGTTCCAGTAAAATTTTATTTACAAAAATGGGTGGTGGATCGCTAGGGTGTGGGTAAGCAATCAGTTACATACATTGTGATAAAGTTGGAATAAAGGCCAGGACCAAGGGTAGCTATTGTGCATCTTCTCAAGAGCCAGCTCTGATCAGTTGGTAGTGACTGCTTAGAGCACTGGGTTCATTCATTCATTTGCTCAACAATACTTCCTTATTTAATGTGCCTATGTTTTAGATTTTGTGGCAAAAATTACAATTATTTATTAGCTTTGTTTTCCGTGCATAGAGAGTTACAGCATTAGGACTGTGTATTTGCCATCCATGAGCTATGTCTTAAAAATACAAAAACGAATAAAGAATATTCTACCTGTAAGGCTCATACATGCATGGAGTCCACAGTTTTGCAGTAACCTGTTAAAGTTGGCACTATGATGCCTTTTAAACAGATGTTAAAGGGATGTTAAGAAACACGGTAGCGATCACTCAGCTAGTGAGCTATAGAACAGTGATTTCAGCCCATGTCTCTTGCTTATAAATCCAAGACCTTTACACTGCACCCAAGCTGCTTTTAATAATAATGATTTATGGTACAGAGTTGTGGTTTGAACTGTAGTGTAAACCAGAGGTCAATGACCTTTAAAAAGTGGCTTGCCAAAATTCCAGTCTTTTTCCTTTTGACATGCCTGGACAAGGTCAGAATTGGAGCAGATCACGACAAGCTTGTCCCTAAAGGGTGTGGGAAACAGGGTTGTTGAGCTTATGCCGTGTGTGTGCATGTGTGTGTATGTTTGTGGGTGGGTGTGTAACCCTACTGAAGCCAGGACTCACATAGGCCAGTCTCAGAGCTATGTTGCAATCAAAGGACTTAGTTAAAAACCCCAAAACGTCAATTCAAAACAACTCAAGTTCTTTATTAGAATTGCTCCAACATTTTAAAAAAACATTAAACCCAATTTTATTTTGGAAAACTGTGCATATTTAATATATACAACTTGATGAGTTTGGGGATAAGTATACACCTGTGTAACCATCACCATCATTAAGGCCATAAACATATCCCTTCCCTCCTCAAGTTTCCTCTTGCCCTTTCCTCCTTCTCTTTCATCTTTGTCATCTCCTCTTTCTTCTTTTTCTTTATATCCTTTTTCTTCCCCTCCTGCTCTTTTCTCTCTTCTTTAAATTTTTTGGGATAAGAGTACTTAACATAAGATCTATCCTCTTAGCAAATTTTAAGCATGTAGTACCATATTGGTAGCTATAGCCACTATCCTGTACAGTAGATCTCCAGAACTTATTTATCTGACATAACTGAAACCGTGTGCACTTTTACCATCACCTTCCCATCTTCCCCTCCCCTCGGCCCCTCATAACCACTATTCTCTCTCTGCTTCTGTGAATTTGACTGTTTTAGATTCCACATATAAATAAGATCGTACAGTATTTATGTTTCTGTGTCTGGCCTGTTTCACTTAGCGTAATGTCCTCCAGGTTCATCCATGTTGCTACAGATGGCACCTGAATAATATTCCATTGTACGTATGTGCCACATTTTCTTTATCCTTTCATGTACCGGTGGACGTTTAGGATGTTTCCGTATCTTGACTATTATGAATAATGTTGCAATGAACATGGGAGTGCAGGTATCTTCTTGAGATGCTGTTTGCCTCTCCTTTGGATATATACCCATAAGTGGGATTGCTGGATCATATGGAAGTTCCACTTTTACTTTTTTGAGGAGCCTCCATACTGTTTTCCATAATGGCTGTACTAACTTACATTCCCATCAACAGTGCACCAGGGTTCCCTTTTCTTCACATCCTCACTATTTGTTATATTTCTTATTTTGTAAATAATAGTCATGCTAAAAATGTGAGGTAATATCTCACTGTGCTTTTGATTTGCAGTTCCCTGATGATGGTGAATGTCGAGTATCTTTTCATAGAACTATTGGCCGTTAGTATGTCTTCTTTGAAAATATGTCCATTCAGATCCTTTGCCCATTTTTAAATTGGGTTATTTGCTTTTTGGCTATTGTTTGAGTTCCTTATATATTTTGGATTATTAATCCTTTATCAGATATATGGTTTGCAAATATTTTCTTCCATTCTGTAGGTTGCCTTTTCATTTTGCTGATTGTTTCCTTGGCTGTCCAGAGGCTTTTAGCTTGATATAATCCCACTGTTTATTTTTATTTTTATTTTTATTTTTGCCTGTGCTTTTGGTGTCATATCCAAAAGATCATTGCCAGGACCAGTGTCAAAGACTTTTCCCCTATGCTTTCTTCTAGGAGTTTTATAGTTTCAAGTCTTAACATTTAAAATTTTGACCCATTTAAAGTTAAATTTTTTTTGTATGGTATAAGCTAAGGGTCCAATTTCATTCTTTTGCATGTAGACATCCAGTTTTTCCAGCACCATTTATTGGAGAGTCTGTTTCCCAAACATTAGGAAGGGGATACGTCTGCCACAAAAGCTCTTTTAAAAAATACCCTCTTCTCTAATCATCTAATTCCTTCATTCCTTGTGGCTTCTCCTTTTCTAGAATTTTATAAAATTCCCAGAACATGACATCTTCATTCTAGCCTTTGTTCATCTATCCCTGCTGCCTTATGTCATGAAGTCTAAGGAACTAGTCTGATTTTAGCAGAATTTGTCCCAAAGAGCTGGAGAGAGGAAGAAACCTAGTGAACAAAGCTAGAAACATTTTGGGGACAAAGAGGAATAGAAAAACCTGGAAATAGTAGATGCATAGTTATACCTACAGCTCTATCTGTATCTATTTCTATACTTTCTATCATCTATATTGATCTTTATCTCTCTACTGAGGAGGACACAGCTGAGAATCAAGGAAAACAGAGCTGGAGCCCTGATGGTACCACACCCAAATCCTGCATCACTTCCGAATTTCACCTTGCCTGAGCCAGTGACATTCCTTATTGTTTAAGCCAGTTTGAGTCAGATGTGTATCACTTGCAGCTGAAAGGATTCTAACTATTCCAAGGTATAATTCCAATCAGGTCTGGCCTCTTACCTCTGTTCCCTACCTATCTTTTTCAAAGTCTTTCCCTATTTGTGCCTTCCCTGTGATTATACCCTTCCTTCTCTCTGCAATATATTTTTTTCTGGACTTTGCTTTCTTCCTATTTTTAGAAGCTGCCCTCATCTGAGAGAGAATGTGATGTGCAGCTTCAATTACATTTTTTCCACGACGGACATGCCTTTCCTCCTATCTTTCAATACACTGGCTTATCCTCACTTGTCAGATCTACAGGGAGGCTCTTTGAGCACCCAATGTGACTGTGTTCTCTGACAAGCTTTTCTATTCCATGACTTTGTCTTCTTGCCTTCACAGCACTCATCATCAACCAATGACGGTACTAATTCATTTGTTTATGCATTTATTATCCATTTCTCTGCCCATTTTCTCATACACACTAGATTCTGAGTTCAAAGAGAACTGTCTTGTTTACCCTGTCACCTGGAATATAGTAGTTGCCCAGTAAATATTTGTTGGTAAAATGAATGAATGAATGATACAAGCTTAATGTGTTAAATCTCTCAGAACTTCTTGCAGCGTTATAGGTAATAATGCCTTGACCCAAAGGAATTTCTTTTTTTCTTTTTTAAATAAATACAAGTTTTTTTTTACTGCATTTTTATTTTATTCAAGCACTTTTTCCATTAACAAATTTTTTAAAAAAATTTTGTTTTACGTTCCAGGATACATACGCAGGATGTGCAATTTTGTTACATAGGTAAACGTATACCATGGTGGTTTGCTGCACCTATCAACCCCTCACCTAGGTGTTAAGCCCAGCATGCACTAGCTATTTTTCCTCATGCTCTTCCTCCCTAACCTCCACCCCCATCAACAGGCCCCAGTGTGTGTTGTTCCCCTCCCTGTGTCCATGTGTTCTCATTGTTCAGCCCCCACTTATAAGTGAAACTTATGCAGTGTTTGGTTTTCTGTTCCTTCGTTAGTTTGCTGAGGATAATGGCTCTCAGCTCCATCCATGTTCCTGCAAAGGACGTGAACTCATTCCTTTTTATGGCTATATAGTATTCCATGGTTTATATGTACCACATTTTCTTTATCCAGTCAATCATTGATGGGCATTTGGGTTGATTCCATGTCTTTGCTATTGTGAATAGTGCTGCAATAATCATACATGTGCATGTATTTTTGGAATAGAATGATTTATGACCCCAAAGAATTTCTAATATTGAGATATTAGGCACTGGTATCAGGACCATGGGGAAGATATTTTTGGTCATGGGACCTTCTTGGTAAACCTTTCATCAAATAGGCAGGTAGTGGAAGGATCTTGTTAGCGGTATACCTAGATTGATGTTAGTGTTTGTTGTACCTACACGAACCTCAAGAAGTTAGGACACCCTGCAGCTGTAGGCGGCTATTTTATGCATTCACATTCCTTGAAGAAAGATCCACAGCTTTTATCAGATACTTTTGGACTCCATGACCTTCCAGATTTTAAGAACTCCAGCCCTCAGTTACACTTGTATCCAGGATCTTTAATTAAGTTTCCTTAGGAGTCACAACTCCCTGGATTTTCAAAGGCGTTAGAACAATGATAGCTGGTGCGGTAGGTGGATGAGTCTTCTTGTCCCCCTTTTTTGTGTTCCTGCAAGTTGTTTATTATGTACTCCTGGTATTTGCATTTTGGCTTTTTCAAAATAGAAACTTAATTTTTTTCTTCTTAAGGTCTTGCTCTGTCACTAAGGCTGGAGTCCAGTGGTACAATCACGGCTCACTGCAGCCTCAATCTCCCAGGTTCAAGTGATCCTCTCACCTCAGCCCCCGAGTAGCTGGGACTACAGGTGTTTGCCACCATGCCTGGCTAAGTTTTTCTATTTTTTGTAGAGATGGAGTCTCACTATGTTGCCCAGGCTGGTCTCAAACTCCTGAGCTCAAGTGATCCTCCTGCCTTGGCCTCCCAAAGTGCTGGGATTATAGGTATGAGCTCCCATGTCCAGCCCTATTTAAAAAATGTATAATAATTACACACACAAACACACATATACATTTGTTGTTAAGAAACAACAAACCTATAACATTGCAAGTTTAAAGTAAAATTGTCCTTCTAATTCCATGCTGCAGAAATTAGTCCTAATACTCTGGTATAAATACTTTCTAACATCAACTGCAAAAATAATAAACTTATATTATTCATTGTAATAATAATTATTTTTTGAGACGGGGTCTCCCTCTGTCACCCAGCCTGGAGTGCAGTGGCACAATCTCGGCTCACTGCAACCTCTGCCTCGCAGGTTCAAGTGATTCTCCTGCCTCAGCCTCCAGAGTAGCTGGGATTACAGGCATACATTATCATGCCCAGATAATTTTTTATTTTTATTTTTATTTTTAGTAGAGATGGGGTTTCACCATGTTGGCCGGGCTCGTCTTGAACTCCTGACCTCACATGACCTGCCTGCCTTGGCCTCTCAAAGTTCTGGGATTACAGGCATGAGCCACCGCGCTGGGCCTATTCATTATTTTTATAGTGGAAAATAATAAAAATGGATGAGAAAGATATTCCTGTTGAATGACAATGAAATAATGCTTATTTTTGTGGTTACTTGTGTTTTTCAATATCGAGTGCAGTCAGGCAGTGACATGGAACTATAATTGCAACAATGGTTAACATTAAAGTGCTTACTGCCATCATGCTAAGTATTTTACTTGCTTAGCTTTAAGCCTTGTGAGAACTCTGTGATTCTATTATTATTATTATTATTATTATTAATTAATTTATTTTTTGAGATGGAGTTTCACTCTTTCGCTTAGGCTGGAGTGCAGTGGTGCGATCTCAGCTCACTGCAACCTCTGCTTCTGGGTTAAGTGATTCTCCTGCCTCAGCCTCCCGAGTAGCTGGGATTACAGGCGCCTGCCACCACGCCTGGGTAATTTTTGTATTTTTAGTAGAGACGGGGTTTCACCATGTTGGCTAGGCTGGTCTCGAACTCCTGACCACATGATCCACCCACCTTGGCCTCCCAAAGTGCTGGGATTACAGGCGTGAGCCACCGCGCCCAGCCCCGGCTACTATTATATTATTTAGCAGATCAGGAAGCTGCAGAGAAATGAATGAACTTGCTTGAGGTAAGTGGCAGATCCCAGACTTTCTGGCAGAAAAGCCCACTCTCTTGGATTCTGACTCCAGCTCTCGTAGAAGGAACCAAGGTAATAGAGGAGTAGTGTTGGAAGAGAAAGAGGCAGTATTTGCTCCTCCCTGGGCTCTTTCTTGTGTAAGGTCATCAAATATAGTCTTGGTAACCTTACTCCTGTCCCTATCCCCCATCCTCTGTCACTCGAGGAGGGAGCGAATTGAACTTAATGAAAATTATATTAATCCAGCTTCCTCAAAATGGCTGTCCAAAAAAACTCAGAAGGGGCTACAAAAATTGAACTGTGCCTCTCTGAAATTCTCATATCAAATTACTTTTAAAATAACTATGTTAATGCCTCCCCTGGCACAGGAACTTTCTGAGCAGGAGTGGGACCTGCAGCTAGCTCAGGGAGAAGGAAGTTAATGATGTGTTATGGTAGCCGGTGGAAGCTGGGACTTCTACTCAGATTATTAATGGTAGTAAGAAGGATGATGATAAATGAAGTATATTTGTTAGATTTCAACAAGGTCCTGATTACAATATGAACACACAGGAAGACATCCTGTTTCAAACAAAGCCACTGGTGTGTGAATGGTGATCACTGATTGACTACACTTCTAGTCTGAGTAAATGGAAACAGCTTCCTGTTATCTTCTTTGGGAAGACAGGTGAGCAGTCTAACTCCATGCTGAGAGCTTCAAAAATAAAAGGTAGTCTGTCAAAATGCCATTCTTTTGCAGCTAAAGTCCTGGGAGTTTAAGTATGAATCTGAGAATTTCCTAACTTATAGGATCTTAGAAAGTATCTTGTCCAGGTCCTTCATTTGCAGATAAGTAATCTGAGGCCAAAAAGCCATCCACTATGTACCTTTTCATCTATTCAATGCTTCCTCCCTAGCATATAGGGTATAAATTGCCTTGGACCATTGCTTCCATGGAAAACTATGCATGGTTTAGAGAACAGCTTTGCAAGTTGTTTGATTTGAGATTTTTACGGCCGTTGAATTATTTTATTACTCTGTAACTTATAGGTAACAAATAGCAAAGCAAAACAGTTCTGTTCAGTGAAGAGACAATGCTTCTCTCCTGTGGAAAAGTCAGTTTTACATCCATTCCCACATTCATTTCAACATTATTTTACTCCATATACATTTGAGTGTCTTTGGCACCTGCTTTGAACTGGTTATGTTATCTGCCTGGTTCACTCACTTCAGTAATGTATTAAATAATAAATAAAAAATTTAATGTTGTTATTTTATATGTGTATGAGTCATGATTTTAACCTTACTTGGTGGAAATGATTAAAACTATCATCTTCATGTTTTTGGACATCAAAGAACCATCTTTTACTTAATAACTTTGAAACTGATTAATTTAAAAATTCTTAATTTATTTTAGGACATTTGATATCTGTACCATAAATGGAAACCATTTGCCATAAATAGAAGTTAAATATAAAAATAGATGCAATAAAAATAACATAATGTTATTGAGTTCTAACTAGAAACTGTGGTTTCTGGAAGGCCTCTGAATGCAAGGCCTTCTTTATCTCTGTTATAAAGAGATTTTAATAGGAATTGGAGGTCATTAAGGACACACTAGTAGCAAAGTGAGTCTTTCTCGTTGTGGAGGTCTAGTCAGAAAGATTGAAAGAAAATGGAAAATGAAATAAACTATTTTACGATGAGGCTCAATGTTATTGAGTGCCATATCCGTGCATCATCCAAAATCAACTCTCATATCACTTAAAATAATCTTGAGTGTACAGGGAGTACTGCTTTAGATAATTAGCTTTTTGCTAATTTTGTAGATCTTCATGGCTTGCTTCATCCACTGTAGCACATGATAAAAAGTTGTTTATAGTTAAGAATTAGAATGCATTTTATAGTAGCATCCTTTTATGCAAAACCTTAACTAGCAAGAACATATCCATAAAATTGAAAATGGAAGTTTTCCAAGTTGCTGTGACAAAGGTCTGGCATTTGTTTTTCTGCAGGTCTAGCTACTTTTATGCCTTTACTCAGGTATGGCCAATTTAAAATAAAGGCAGATTAAAAAGAAGATTCCACTGACATCAGGGTGACAACTAAAGGCAAAGGGAGGAGACTTGTAAAAACAGAGTAGTCTGGACCATAGAATACAGGAGCAGACAGCTCTATGAACCCCTAGACCCCACCATCGTTTCAGCGGCAACTATCTAGAATGACTCTCAGATCTTTAATTTCAGTTCAGAGCTCTTTCCTCAGCTCCTGCTTTTTATAATTTATAACCTGGGAGACATCTTCATTGTGGGAACCCCATAGATGTCAACAACCCAAGAGGCCCATGTTCTTCCTCTTGAGCTTCTTAGCTCAGTGAATGATGTATCTATACTACTAGTTGCCCAAGTCAGGGAACTGATTCTCACATCCCTTCCATTACATTCAATTAATTATCAGGTCCTTTGGAGTCCATTGCTTTAAAAATTTTAAATGTGTTAACTTCTTTCCATTATTGCCATCATTTATATTGTCATCTTCTCTCATCTAGACATCTTCAACAACTTCCTAACTGGTCTCTCTGACTTTAGGTTTCCTCCTCTAGCTCAAATCTATTCTACATATTCCTGCGAATAGATTTCATGAAATGAAAAACCTGCCTGAAAGTTTAATGTGGCCTTGTATTGCACCTCAGAATGAAGTCTGAATTGCTTATGGAAGTCTATATGTTTGTATGGTCTCACTCTGCTTCCTTCACTAGTCTTTAATAGCTGGCCATCCTTCTCCTAAGCACCTACACTTTATCCGTCAGCCTCAGCACCCACTGACTCAGTTGCATGCCTGTTATAATAAATAAATGACTCATGATTCAGTCTAAGGCTAGTTCCTTCACTTGTTCCCTAGACCCCATGCCCTCTTGCCTACTTTTCCTCTTTACTGGATCATTTCCATCAGCATTCAAACATGTTGTTATTTTTCGAATCTTAACAAAAAATCTTAAAAAAATTGTTTTTGGTACAGGGTCTCACTCTGTTGAGGCTGGAGTGTAGTGAGTGCTCTGATCACAGCTCACTGCAGCCTCAACCTCCCTGGGCTCAGGCTCTCACCTCAGTCTCCCCAGTAGCTGTGGCCACAGGTGTGCACCACTATGACTGGTTAGTTCTTTGTATTTTTTATATAGATGGAGTTTCATCAAGTTGCCCAGGCTGGTCTTGAACTCCTGGCCTCGAGACCTGCCCACCTCAGCCTCCCAAAGTGTTGGGATTACAGGTGTGAGCCACCGTACTTGGCCGAAAAACAAACAAACAAACAAAGAACAAACCTATTGATTTCACTTTTCATGCCAATTACAACTTTATCTCTGTTTCCTTTGTTCTCTTTATTTTCTCCCCTTCCTTTCTCTTTTAAACCCTGCCTGATCAGACTTTTGCCCGTATATCAATCCATCAAAATTGTTTCTAAGTTCACCAAGCAGCCTCTACGTTGCTTAATTTAATGGTAAACTTTGATGACTCATGTTCTGTGACCTATTGACCATTATTGGTGTCCTCCTCCTGCTTTTTTGTTTGTTTGTTTGTTTGTTTCATTTTGTTTTTTTGAGACAGTGTCTCGCTCTGTCACCCAGGCTGGAGTGCACTGGGGCAATCTTGGCCCACTGCAGCCTCTGCCCCCTGGGCCCAGGTAATTCTCCCACCTCAGCCTTGCAAGTATTAATAGCTGGGACTACATGCATGGGCGAACACACCGGCTAATTTTTGTATTTTCTGTAGAGAGGGGGTTTCACCGTGTTTTCCAGGCTGGTCTCAAACTTCTAGGCTCAAGCAATCCATCTGCCTTGGCCTCCGAAAGTGCTAGGATTACAGGCGTGAGCCACCACACCTGGCCAGTTCCTCATTCTGTGATACTCATTCTTCCCTTGGCTTCCAGAACACCATATGCTTGCCTGGTTTTTCTCTTACCTCACTGGTTGTCCCTTCCAAATCTGCTTTGTAGCTTCTTTTCTTCCTGACCTCTCATGGTAAGAGTGCCCTGGGGCTCTGTCCTTAGACTTCTTCCTTCTTCTATCTACATTCACTCCCTTGGAAAGTTCGGCTAGTTGCCTGACTTTGTATGCCATTTATGTGCTGATGATTTTTAAGTATATATCTTCAACGTGACTTCCCTCCTGAACCTCAGACTCATATGTTCTACAGCCTACTCAGCTTCTTTATTGGGATACCTCATAGATATCTCAAGCTCAACTTGAATTCCAGATCTTCCTTTCTACTGCACTCCGAACCTGCTTAACCCACAGCCTTTCCCTTCTCAACTGATAGCATCCTCATCCTTCCACGTCTGTAAGCCCAAATCTTGGAGACATGCTTAAATTCTTTTTCTCTCACATTTGCAACCAATCTGTCAGGAAATACTGTGGACTTGGCCTTCAAAATGTATCCAGTATGCAATTATGTCTCCCCACCTCCATTGCTACCACTCTAGCCACTATCATCTCTAGCTTGGCTTACTGTCAAAGCCTCCTAACAAGTCTCTCTGTAGCCACCCACCTTAGGGTCTTTGCAGCCTGCTTTTATCTGCCTGGAATGCCTGCTGCTCAGATATCTGCCTGGCGATCTCCTTTATTTCCTTTAAACCTTTGCTAAATGTCACCTTCTCCATGAGGCCCACCTGTCCACCTTGGTTTAAAACAATAACCCTCTCCCCTCCCCTAGGCTGGCTGTGGCACTCCCTATCCCCTTTACTTCCTGTTTTCTTTTCCTTAGCACTTAGCACCTTCTTACACATTGCATACTAATTCATTTATCATGCTTGTTGCTCATAATGGGATAGTGTGTGGGATATATATGCTGTCCCTGCGATCAGCCTGACTCACGGAGGGGATGCCTTGCTCAAACGGACAATGGATGACGGGCTTGGGCTTGTGTTCCTCTTATCTTCTAGTCTATGGTCCCAGGATTTGGGAGGCTCCAGATCCCCTGGATACCCCGAGAATGGGTCAGGATAGTAAGTCTGGGAATCCATGTTCTGATTCATTCGTCTCCTGATTCATTGGGTAGCCTTAGATGACTTCCTTGACTTCTCAGGATTTATTTTCCCAGTGTAAGAATTCCTTTGTTAGGTAAATCTCTCTCAATCTTGAGAACATAAGCTTCCCTTCTGTTCTCATGTTGATAAGCAAATTCAAGAAAATATGACATTTCAATAAATATAGCATAGCAGAGACAAGCATAGACTCTATTATCAGGATGCTTGGGTTCTAATCCTGGAACTACCACTTAGGTCATTAGCTTCATCCTTTCTCCATCAGTTTTCCTATCTGTAAAATAAGCACAATAACAATACCTATTGCCAGGAGATAGACTGCCTTATTTTGGTGTGTATGGGTTGGGAGTGGAAGGATATAGGTGGAGACATTGAGGGAAGACCTCAACAAAGATTCCTTTCTTTTCTCGAAGGATCTGTGTCACTGGGAAAGTAGGGACAGCTACTCTTATCCATTGATAAAATGAGTTAGTTTGGGATTGACTAATTGGTGGACCCTGCTCAGTAAATGCTAGCTGAATGAGTAAATGAATGAATGTATCTGAAAAACAATACTGTACCTGTATCCTAGGACCCTGTGAAGTTGAATTAAATATCTAGGTAGGAGAGAAATTTGAATTTATATAGCCCCTTTTCTCTAAGTATATCAAAGCACATACAGTCAATTCCTGGTTTATGTATGTGTGGTTAGCTATGGTAGATTTTTAATGCCCTGCTGTCTTTGCAATGCATGTCAATTTGGTTTTGGGCTCCCTCTCTTTGTTCTCAGGTTGGGGGTATCGGTAAAGACACAGTAAGGCAATGCAAACTCATTTTAGTAGCAGCTTAAAAATAACAATGAAGATAAAACTGGGGGTTTGAAAATATATACTGAGTTTTCCAAAGCAGAATGAAAATGAGTTTTATATTATCTACTCATTTGTATTGTTTACATACCACTTCCTTTCCCACAGTGTGAATAATTACTGTGGGGGAGTGGAAAGAAGATGGGATTTAGAATTGGATACATCTGGGTTTGAGCCTATGCTCCCCCATTTTATAGCTGTGTTCCATTAAGCAAATCCATTAGCATCACTGCACCTCCGTTTCCTTATCTGCAAGTATAGTTATAATCATGATGTGGATGATGCTGATGACTGTAATAGTAGTTATAATAACACCACCACCACCAGAGGAGGCATAGTTTGTAGGTGTTAAGAGTGAAGCTTCTGGGGTCAGATTTAGCTGGGTTCATCATAGCTCTGATGTGTTAGAGCTTAGACTTTTAACCTATTCAAGCCTCAGTTTCCTTATCCATAAAATAAACATCATCCTAATGACATGGAGCAATGTCATAAAACATGATTGAGTTACTGTAGGTAAAAAATTTAGCACACTGCCTGTGTATGCCATGGGGCAGAGTATATGGTCCATACATATTAGTATTTAAAAATCATACTCAGTTGAACTACTTACTTTATAGAGTTCTTGTAAGGACCAATGAAGGTGCTGAGTAAAATTAGGTAGTTTTATTGATATAATCCAGACATGACAACTTTGGATGTGTTGTAAGCATTATTCATCTAATAAATAATGTGCTTATAGATACTCATAAACTTGCATTTTATGGCATCTCTCTGTAATTTTCCCACATGAGTCCGAGTGGTGGTAAATAGCTGGTGGCTGTGTTTTTGGTCAGAGCTACAGCAATTTCAGAACCACATCCTTTGGTTTCCAGCAGGCAAAGAGTTAAAATTACATTTTATTGCCTTGTATGACCCAGGGCTGGAAAGGGCTGGTTGTAAATGAATCCAAATTATATTTCCAGGAAGAGAATGTATAGGAAAAATATTAATGACAAAAGGGAACTTGGAGCCACAAACATTTTATAGCATCATGGGCTTAAGGGTCAGATTGCTTGATGCTTTTCCATCATGCCTGGGTTTATTTTAAAGATTTAAAAATATATAGCTCTTTATCATTTTTGTTAAGTTATTCTTAAGAACTTTACATTTTTCATTTCTATTATAAATGGATCTTTCTTCAACATGACATCTTCTAACTGATTTTTGCTGACATATAGAAAAACTATTAATTTTGGTTTGTTTATCTTGTATCTTGATCCATGTTGAACTTCTTTATTAATTCAAATAGTTTTTTCAGTTGATTTCCTTGAATATTCCAGGAAGATAATATGACTATGATTAATAATAACTTTGTCTTTTCCTTTCCGATAATTATTCAACATTTCTTTTTCTTATCTTACTGCATTGGCTAGGACTTCCTGAACAAATCTCAATGACAGCAGTGACAGTGGCATCTCTCCTAATTTTAATAAGGGTAGCTTTAGTGTTTCCCCATTATGTATGTTGGCTGTTTGTGTCTGATATACACTTTAAAAATCATATTAAGAAAGTTTCCTTTGATTCCTAGCTTAATGAGAGTTTACAATTTGATTTCTTTATATCCATTAGTAGAAGTCAGTGTTCTCATACGTTCAAACAAGGACCATTTTCCCATTCTCCCTGGCTTGTAAAACCAGGGATAGCAGGGAGTTGGGAAATTTGGATAAATCCTAAGCAGCCAAAATGCCTTGTATAGATTCTCCTGGGTCACGCCAACTAAAGGAACTTGAACTGAACTGATTAAATCAACCACTGAAAAAATGCATACTAATTTTTTGAACTCTCGAGCCAAACCCAAATGTTATTTTTTAATTGAGTGATGAATCAAAGTCCTTTTCTCTCTTTTTAAAACTCCCTAGGAAATTAGTTCAAAGCAGTGCCAAAGCCATATATTTTTGAATACTGTTAAAATGGAACAAAGTTATATGACTATAACCTGCTCTCTCTTTTTAAAAATATTCATTAATTTATGATGTCCCCAGTGACTATAATTTAACCATGCTAGATGCATGTTGGGGTTACATAGCCCCTGCAATTCATCTGCAGTGCCAAATGTTGATTGGTTGTCAATTGGTCTAACAGATGAAGTGCATTTTTTTTTTTTTTTTAAAGTGCAAGCTCCATCCACAGTCTGGTTTCTTTCTTACATCTCACTTATTTCATTGGGTGACTCTGTTAAATTTCCCTTGAACATACTTTGTACTTCCTGCCCCTTTGCCTTTTTCCTGAATTGTTCCTCACTAAAAGGTCCTGTTGTTCCTCAACTACCTAATAGTAACCACCATTCCAGATGTAGTTCAAATCTCCCCTCCTTTAGAAATCTTTCTGTTATAACTTAATTTCCCTCTCCTTCCAAAGAGAGCCCTCAGCCCTTACTCTCTGATACTCTGATTTGGTAGATAACATTCATGGTGTTGAATTTAGCTTGGTCACAGGCTCCATTCTCTGGGAAGTCGACTCTGAGATGGAGTTTAGTAGGCTAGGGTGTTTATTCTGGAGTGCCCTTTGGAATAACATCTGTGGAAGGTAGAGAAACAGAGAAGGAGTGGGCAGAGGGAGAAATTGACTGGAGATGTAGCTCTTTAGAGAGACTCCATTGATGGGGGGAGCTCTGGCTGGTCGGTGTTGTTCTGGATTGCCTGAAATGGCCAGGCTTTTACACCCAGACAGTGATCAGTCACTGGACATGGCCACCCTGGGCAGGTAGTGACCTTGGGCCAGGCAGCTGTATGTGAAAGCTCACTGCATACAGCATTCTCAACAGGGTGGGACAGATTCTTTCTAGAAGAGCAAACTATGTCTACCAGGAGCTTCTAGAGGCACAGACCATGTCTTATTTATCTGTAAAGGCCCCATAGTGCCTAGCCCCATGCTCGACACATAATCAATTCTCAGCACATCAATTAATGCTCAATGAATTACTCTCTATTTTCTGCCTAGAGGCTTATTTCTGACCATATAATGGATTCATTGTGGTCAAGAACATTTGGCCCTCTGGACCTTATTGCTGGGCCTCTCACATTATAGGCGTGATTGATTTGACTCTCTTGTAGAGCTAATGTAGAGGTGTGTGCTTCATCCCTGGGTATGTGTCTGTTTGAGGTTGGCTGGAGGCTGTAGGTTGTCAAGGCACATATGTCATGGTTGGGTATGTGTATGTTGGCGTTGGTGTGGGTTGTGGCTGAGGAAATGGGGGTATGCATGTGATTTGGCTGAATATTCATGTTCTGGGTATGCAGGCGCATAACTTGTTGTGGATACTGAGTTATAGGGGGTGTGTGTCTTGGTTGGTGCATGTCTTGGTATGTTATGAGTAGATGTATAAGTTGGCCACGGGTGATATGAGTGTTTGTGGTGGTTGAGCTTGGGCATGGAGATTGGGGGATGAGGGGAGATGAAGTTGTTGGAATGTGTATGTTGTGAGGGCTGTGTATGTGTGTGTGTGTGTGTGTGTGTGTGTGTGTTTGTGCATTAGTGTGCATATCCATGCTTGGTGTGAGTGTGGTGGCCAGAGTGCATCTGCTGTGCCCCAGGGTGCTGGTGGTTGCATGGTAGTGGGGGTTGACCATGGGTGGGAGCCGAGCCTTGAAACTGAAGGCTTCTCTCCTCTGGCATCTCGAGGGCTGAGCAGGTGCCATCCCCAGCCCTAGCAGCATGAAGTCCCTCCACTTTCCACAGACAGCAGTATCAGCCATAATTAAAGCTAATTATTCCACGGTGCTCTGCATGTGTGTCGGCCCCAAAGTACCCTGCAATGAGCAGGGAGGCAGCAGGGCCGTTTTTCTTCATAAAAACTTATGAGGAGCGCTGAGCAGATTAACAGCTTTAATGACAAAAATTACCGCTTACAACACTGACTTCAAATCAAAGAACAATATCCGCAGACAGATATTTTCATGGTTTTCATAACAATTCATTATAGGTGGCACCAAGGGATTACATTTTTATTTCCCCTGTGTCGTCTTTCTCAGACTCAGGTTCATTTCTCTTAATGAGGCGGTGGAAGATAAAGGGCAGAGACAGTGTCTCCATGGTGGCTGCCGAGCGAGAGGCATTTAGGGTCACAGAGCCATCAGAGCAGGAGGGGAGGGGCTGAGGAGAGAGGGATGGGAGTAAGAGGCTTCCTGCCATAATGAACCAAAATTAAGACATAAATTCTCCCACCTTTGTTCCGACAGCTCCAACTCGGGGATTCAGCTTTTTAATGAGGAATGGATCAGAAGCAAAAATTATTATCTAATTAATTGTACAGAGAACAAAAAAACATCTTGCAGGAAGGATTGGGAGTGGGAGCTGTCCCATCCCAGTCCTTCAGAAGCAGGACTGAAGGGAAGGCTCCCCAGCCTGCATGACGGTGTTGGGGAAGTGAGGATGCTGGCAGCGCTGGGTCCTGTTCGCCAGGCCGGCTTGGTGAGGTGGAACATGGTGGGGCGTCAAAGAGCATCTTAGGAAGGGCCTCCCATAATGCCTGCTTGCTGCTTTCCTTTGGATTTCCACAAAGTGGCATTCTGGCTAAGCCAGACATTGCAGAACCACTTGAAGAGTCTAGTGTTGTGTTTCTAATGGTATGGCTCCTGGCCCCTGAACCAGTGGAACAGTGGCATTCAAATTTAGGTGTTCATACAAATCACCCTGGAAGCTTGAAAAAGTGTAGCCTCCTGGCATCACCCCTATAGAATCTGATTCATCAGGTCTGGGTGTGAGCCCAGGATCGGCATTTAAAACAAACATGCTGAGTGATTTTGCTGCCCACTAAAGATAAACAGCCATTGGCCTAGTGCTCAGAATCAGGAGTTCTATTCCATTTCACACTGTCCCCAGATTCTGCATGTGACTTTGGGCTGTGTACTTCCCTATTTTGTGTCTGTGTCTTGCTTTCCTCGTCAGTGCACTGAGGGTGATAATACTAGCTGAGAAATTACTTTGAGATGAATGCCTCATTTGCTTTCATTGCTTGTAAAACCCAAATTAAATCTTGGAAATCTTGGCATACTCTTTATAATCCATTCAGATATCTAACAGGTTTATAAATAATAATAATTAAAATAGAAAAATATATTGCTTGTCATCAGTTTTTCACTTTGAGTTTGGTCTCTAGTTTTTTTATGACTATTTTCCTTGGTATTGGTAAGGTAGAGATTTTTAAAAGTTTTATTGTGGAACTTCAGAAATAGAGATAACGAAATGACTGTGGTGAAGTATGAGAAAAGGCAGATGGGTCTATAGTGCATTTAGAATGCAGCAGATGACGTCTGAGTGTCTTGATTAGAATTTTTCAGACTATACATCTCCACCTATCAATTTCAACAGGTCAAGGAACATTAACATGGCAACTGTCTGCGAGGGGCTAATGCAACTGTACACCATCATCTTTGTATATTAGGCAATAAACGATCCGGCACCATAAGGTTCTGATTGTAGCTTGACTATGTGCCAGACACTGTGTTAGGTGTTGACTCAATGGAGATAAATAAGACACATTCTTTGCCATTAAGAGGCTCATGGTCTAGAGGAAAGTAGGTAGAGGAACATATAATCATAACGCCTGTGGTCATGCATGCTGGATACCATGGGGGGTACAGAGGAAGGACACTTCACTCTTCTTGGGAAGCAGAGCGAGGCAATGTGGAGGCATTGGGAGAATGGCATCGCATTGGAAGGCAATTAAGGTAGATTCTAACTGGCGGGACCTACACTTGGCAATATAGTCAAATGGGTAAAGACTATGGCACATCCTCCATCTCTGGTTTTAACGATTTTCTTACTACTTCAGGTGCCTCCTGACCTCATAGAAACCCTGGAACTCAGATACCCAGGGATTCCTCTGCTGCTCAACACCACCAGAACATGATCCTCTCATCACTACCATTTGCAAAGAATGTCTCTTAACCACAAATATTACCTGTGCTCTGCCCTCATCTCTTGTCTGACATGATGCTTAGGGACAACTTTAACTCTTCTCTCTTCACCTATGACATTAAACCATCACCAACACTCCTTGCTTCTATCTCTAAAATATCTCTTGATGCTTTTCTCCCTCCCTCTTGCCTTCTCCATCACCCTACCTCAGGGTCTCATCATCTCTCATCGAGATTCTTGATAACAACCTTAAGACAGCTTTTGGCCTCTACTTTTTCTACCATTTGGTACATTCTTGACTTGGCCACATATAAGTTTATTTAAAATAGAAATATGAAGATTTATTCCTTTTCCTGTATTTGTTGGATAAGTGTAACCACTTCTATGTAATCTTAGAGGCCATGCATGTTCTGACCCAAATCCTATCTTTCTGGGATTAACTTCTGCTATGTTCTGGCTTTAGCCATGAGGAAGGCTCCAGTACTATCTCTCCTGAGCCACTTGGCATTTTCTGAGCATGCAGTATACTTCCATCCTTGGCTAATATGATCGCGTCTGCTGAGAATGCCTTCCAGACAAATTTATACACCTACTCCATCCTAGCAGAGCTGGAAATAAGATTGGATGCAAGTAGTATCTCCTCCGTCATGAGACCATGTGATGGATGAAGGGAAGTCTATATGACTTGGTCCACTGCTTGGTCTGAACAATTCAACACATCAAGTTATCTTTCACCACTTTATTCTAACCATGTCCACCCCTGGTCCTATGATCAAGTAATGTGTTGGGTTTGTTGAATATTTGCAGTTGCTTTTGTGAAGTGTTTGAGTCCTTTTGGGCCTCTTCTATCATGCTGTTTGAATTGGATGAGTTTTTAAAAACTTAAATGCTCAACTTCATTGCCCACCTATTACAAATTATAATATTACTCGTAATAATTATAACTTTATTGCAAATAAACATTTATTGAGTGCTTATGATGTCCCAGGCATCCTTCTAAATTACTTATAAGAAATTAACTCATAAAATTCTGACATTAGTCCTATGAGGTAGGTTCTCTTATTATCAGCATTAAAAAACTTTTATTTTAGGTTTGGGGGTACATGTGCAGGTTTATTATGTAGGTGAACTCTTGTCATGAGGGTCTGTTGTACAGAGTATTTTGCCACCCAGATACTAAGCCTAGTACCTAATAGTCATTTTTTCTGCTCCTCTCCCTCCTCCCACCCTCCACCCTTAAGGACCCCCCGGTGTCTCTTGTTCCCTTCTTTGTGTCCATGAGTTCTCATCATTTAGCTCCCACTTACAAATGATAACTTGTGGTATTTAGTTTTCTGTTCCTGTGTTACTTTGCTAAGGATAATGGCCTCTAGCTCCAACCATGTGCCTGCAAAGGACCGGATCTCATTCTTTTTTATGGCTGTATAGTATTTTATGATTATCACCATTTTAAAGATGAGGAAATTGGAACCACAGAGAGTTTAAATAGCTTGTCTAGGAAATAGTGGCGCCCTGGCTCCAGAAACTATACTCATGTATACTAAGCCCATAATTATGTACAGGTGGATAGATATCTAGTAGGGATATTAGGTAGGCATCTAGATTCTGTCTGGTCTCAGCCACTTCCTCCCAGTCCCAGCAAAGTTCCCAAAAGAAGTGTACCCACAATAAAGCCAGGCAGATGGACAGGTTATTACCAGCTTGGGCTTTAGCCTCCCACCTTAGTGTAGAACTCTCTGGGCCAAAGGGAGGGCATCCTCTTCCTTAAGCAGAAGGAGACCCAGGCCTAGAATCTAAGCTGGCTAAGTGGCCTCCTTTGCCTAATTTCTGAACCCTTGTCTCTTCGAATCTTATTGCCCCACTGGTGAGGAAAGGTCAGTGGGGGAAGGAATAAGATAGAAAAAATAATAACAAGCATTTGTCTTGCTGTCTAGAGCACAGTTGATTTAGTCTACCTGGAGATAGGGTCTTCTAGAGAGAATTTGTTTATAGTATAGTGCATGTTTCTTATTATTTAAAAATTAATATTCACATATTTGTCTTTGGTATTGCATAGACTAGAGAACGATACAGGGTTCCTAAGAGGTCTCAATAAATTTTTATAGAAATAAATTCCAGATTCTGTAAGTGAAGAAACATAGCAAAGATTTATACATAATGTTCATTGAAGGCATTGTGAATATTTTCTGAAGGATTCAAAATATTCATAATTAGGTAATATTTATGTAAATTATAGTTTACTCAGTAGAATATTTTGCAGTCATTAAAATTTCTTTTTACAAATGATTTTTAATGAAGTAAGAATTTTTAATGATACAATATTAAGAGAAAAATCAGGATGCAAGATTATTATACAGTGTGGTCTCTGTTATATAAAAATATGCATTAATAGTCATTTAAAAAGAATAAAGAGTATATGTGCTTTTCCAGGATATATATATATTTATTATTTATTTATTTATTTTTGGAGACAGAGTCTCACTCCATTGCCCAGGCTGGAGTGCAGTGCCGTGATCTTGGCTCACTGCAACCTCTGCCTCCCGGGTTCAAGCGATTCTCCTGCCTTCGCCTCCTGAGTAGCTGGGATTATAGACGTGCGCCACCATGCTGGCTAATTTTTGTATTTTTAGTAGAAATGGGATTTTGCCATGTTGGCCAGGCTGGTCTAGAACTCCCGACCTCAAGTGACTGGCCCTCCTTGGCCTCCCAAAGTGCTGAGATTACAGGCGTAAGCCACGGTGCCCGGCCACTCCAAGATATATTTTTAAGTGATAATGCAAGGAGCAGAATAAAGCCTATAGAATAATAGAATTTTATGCAATATATGTATTTCTGGAAGACCACACAAAAAAATCTTTACTCTGGGGAACCACACAGGGGGTGGTAGTGGTTAGGGTGGAAGAATAACTTAATTTTTATTATGCATTTTTTATGCTTTGGATTTATCATGTCCATACATTTTCTTTCCAATACTAAAAGTGGTTTCTTCTTAATACTATTATATATATATATGCATATATATAAAATATGCGTATATATATATAGTCACATACACACACACACACACATATGCCAGTTAGCGTTAGCAATAATGGCACTATGAGTGAGTTTGTGGGCAAATTGATTTTTCTTTTACCTTTTTTTGAGTTTCTAAATGTTCTACAATGAATATATCTTATTTTTATAATCAAAAATATTAAACAGTATTCGGAGCAGATTTGGAGCAAGGTGAAAACCTGGAAGGGAGCCAGGGACAGAATGATAAAAGTCTCTGTCCTGTTCTCATGAAGCCCTCAAGCATCCTGCTGGCATCTGCTCGGAGGTTGTCTCTTCAGCATGGCCTTGTCCTGAGCACTTGATCCTAGGTGGGCCTGCCCTGTTTCTCTCTCCATAGCATCCTGTTTGGTTTCTTTTATTGCATTTTCATAATCATTTTATTTATTGGTGTGTGTGCCTGTTTAGTATTTGTGTCTCTTCAGGGCTGCAGGTTCTGATTTGGGATCATGTCTGCTTGTTTGCTTGTTCACTGTGTTCCACCACGTAGCCCAGGGCCTGTTGCATAGCAGGTGTTCAGTAAGTTTCTTTTTTTTTTTTTTTTTTTGAGACAGAGTTTCACTCTTTTGCCCAGGCTGAAGTGCAGTGGCATGATCTCGGCTCACTGCAACCTCCGCCTCCTGGGTTCAAGCGATTCTCCCACCTCAGCCTCCTGAGTAGTTGGGATTAGAGGCACCCACCACCAAGCCTGGCTAGTTTTTGTATTTTTAGTGGACATGGGGTTTCACCATGCTGGCCAGGCTGGTCTTGAACTCCTGACCTCAGGCGACCCAACCACCTCGGCCTCCCAAAGTGCTGGGATTACAGGCATGAGCCACTGTGCCTGGCCCAGTAAGTATTTGCTGAGTTACTAAATGAAGGAATGAATGGACACATCTTCTTCATGACTCTTACATCCCAGAACCCAGTGACAATAGTTGTTATCGATAAGAGGAGCAACATCCACAATGGCCTTATTCATTAGCACGATGACATGGCTCCATCAGGGCAGTTAGGGCAGCAAGAGAGCAAGGTGGGCTGCATGAAATTAGTGGAAAGAAGAGAGGGGTGCCTCCTACTTAGGACAGCTATGTGATGCTGGCAAGTGGGCATTCTCCTTGGTATGGTGGAAGGTGTCAGTTTGTCAGATTTATGGTGAAGGCTCTTCTATTGCCACATGGAAACTAGGGGTGGAAGAGGACTGTCAACCATTATTATGAACCCTGGTAAAAGTCCATGCTTCCTCTGCAAGGAAGACTATGACATTAGAGGTACAGAGCGTGAAATGGTAGCAAGAAATTTGGAGAGCTAGGTTCTTGTAGACCTGGCAGATAGCCGTGTGTGTGTCTTTGTTGTAGACACTTTACCTCTCTGAGTCTTTGTTTTGTCATTAGAAAAGGGATGACATTGAACGGATTTCTGAGGGTCCCTTGTGTGTATCACTGAATAAGACTGTATAAAATAGGGGGTTTATAGGGCTTGGCTGGAGTAATGCTTTAATCTGATTTCCAGCCACCCTCAAAAGGGTCCCAACTTAAGGCATGGCACAGATTCACAATGTGGGTCTGTTTATGGATGAAAGGCTAATGTGGTGTGATAAAGGGTAATCTCAGCAGCTTGCCATAGGAAAGCATCAGATTCTCCCACAGCCAATGACATGCACGAAATGCTCATATACGTGCATAGGTAAATTCTAACTCTGCCATTTACTAGCTGGTGACCCTGGACAAGTTTCTAAGTCTCAGCTTTCTTTTCTATAAAATGAGGAGAATACTACTAATATATATATAGCGAGAGAGAGAGACAGAGTTTTGCTCTTGTTGCCCAGGCTGGAGTGCAATGGCATGATCTTGGGTCACCGCAACCTCTGCCTCCTGGGTTCAAGCGATTCTCCTGCCTCAGCTTCCCGAGTAGCTGGGAGTACAGGCATGCGCCACCACGCCCAGCTAATTTTGTATTTTTAGTAGAGACAGGGTTTCTCCATGTTGGTCAGGCTGGTCTTGAACTCCTGACCTCAGGTGACCTGCCTGCCTTGGGATTACAGTGTGAGCCAAATCCCAAAGTGCTGGGATTGCATACAGGTGTGAGCCACCGCGCCCAGCTGAATACTACTACTATTATAAGGGGTTCTCTAAGGATAAAATAAGAGGATGCATGAAAAGCACCTAGAATGCTGTCTGTTCCATACTCACTGCCCTATAATCATCAACCTTTATAATTTAAAGTTGTATCAGCTACAGTTACAGAGTGAAGACCATGTGCAAGGGTGGCATGGGTTAGCCATGGTCCTTAAAACAGAGTGTTCTCTGGAAGTAGTTGAGAGTTCTTTAAGGGGCTGCTGTCATGCTAAAGCGCTTCCTACTCGAGAGAAGGGCCTCTTGCCTCTCTCAATGTCCTTTAAAATCTAGGACAAAATAGAGGATTTGAATTCAACGATGTACATATAATTATTAAAGCCACCTGCCACCTTCTACATCCTTTACCTCCATCATCTCCTTTAAGCCCCACAACAACCTTTGTGAAGTCAGTTTTCTTCTTTGCCTGTGCAGCAGAGGTTAGGCAAGATAACCTGCCTGAGCAAGCAGCACTGCCAGGTTGGGCACTGAGGTCTGTCTGACTCCAAGCCCATTCCTTTAACTACCAGGCTACACAGTACTTTGTGACTGTTAGTTGACTTTCTCTAAGCTCTACATTCCTGTGTTTATATTCCTATTGTTTCTCTTCTGTGGCAGGTTCATGGGTTGCAGGGGCTGGGAGTCAGTCGTCTGTATTCCCAATGGATGTTCTGGGCCCCTCTCCCATCGGTTTCAGCTTTAGCTGCAAACCGTGTGTAGGGTCTTTATGAGTCCTCCTGATGCTTCCAAATGAGAGAAGGGACCCTGAGCTCAGGCCAGCATGGACTGGCCACAGAGCGTGGGAAAATTATCAGCAAGAGACAAAATAATTTTTTCTCCCTCAAGAAGTGTTTTTGCAGGGTTGCATTTTCCGATGTGTCCAGCACGTTTTTTGTTAATCTGCTCCTGGTGGCTGTGTCGAGGAGAGTGGGATAGGGATATTTTATCTACCCCAAACAATTCATCAAACAAACAGGGGGGGGATCAGAGATAGCCTCCCACACAGAAAAGTCAACAGTGTTCCCTTTGTCTTAGGCCACACACACAAACCGTGTCTGTGAAAGGTAGGAGAGGTCATCTTGATGTTCCATGGATGGCAGCAGGAACCACGTCCTTTCCTTTACCCCTTCCTGGCCCCCAGGGTGGCCTGGAGGTCTTCGAGGCTGGTTGGGAGGAATGGTGGGAACTAAATGAATGTCAGGGGGAAGGCAGAAGCCGGGCACGGGGAGAGTCTGAGCTTCTGTGGGGAGGACTGGCTTGGTTTCTGGGAAAGCATTGGAGAGTAAAGACAAGAAGGTCCCTCAAGAACTTGCCGACTTCCCTCTGCTTTGGGACAGAAAATGTCATCTTGATGCTGCCAGCAATGCTCCCTGAGCACTTTCAAAGTGCCAATTGTGACGCTAAAGGCCTACATACGCTATCTTATTTCATCTTCACAGTAGTCCCAAGAGGCAGGGACAAATTAAGGTCCCAATTTCTGAACTGGCAACTAAGACACAGAGAGGTTAAGTCACTGATGTGAGGGCACACAGCTAGAAAGCAGGGAAGGCAGGATTTGGATGTAGACAATCTGATTCCAGTCCTACACTCAGAGGCCCAGAGGACCTCTGATTTGCTCACCTCCTCAAAGCTAGTTAAGGGGCAGAATTGGAATTCATGCCTTCTGACTTTCCATTTTTCTCACCATGTCACATTGCCTTTTGATTTAAACTGTCATAGACATAATATATTAAAGGAGCAAAGCAGAAATCCAAACTAGTCTCATTCATCCAAACTATTCTCCCAAATAAGTGGACAAGCTTGGTGGTTTTTCTTAAACAGTTTCAAAAAGCAATCAAGGTGATTTTTTTTTTTTGTTAAACTCTCTTAGAATTATTTTTTCTCTGAATATGAAAGTCATACAAACCCATTGTAAAAAATTTGGAAAATAAAATGAAAATAATAATGACCCGTAATCCCGCCACCCAGAGATTTAGCATTTCAGCATAATTTAGAAAACATCATTGATATCAGAATATGTATTTAAGTCTTATATTTTATATCCAATTGGAAATTGTATTCTCAATGACAAGTAGGTTTTAATTCTAATGCCCATCTGAATGATGGGCATTCAGAAGGGTTCTGAGGCCTCATAGGCTTCTTGGTGTTGTGATTAACTAATGATGGTTGCTATTGTGTATGGTTGAGGATTGAATCAGGGGAAGCTCAAGGATGCATCATGGCTGCAGTCTGTTTGAAGACATTTTGATGCCAATTTTATTTCCAGGAATAAGGATGTTGAGACAAGCTAAAGGCTTACACTTTTATATTGATGAGGTTTTCCTGGTGGCCTGGATTAGAGACAGGATTTTCCTTGTTGCCAACACTCCATGTGTCCAAAGGATATGGGTCACCTCTTGATAGGTCTGTAGAAGTTCCCACCCCTGGGGCTGGAGGGGCTGGCTGCCGTTTTCATATACTCAGCCCAGGGTACTTCCCTCCTGGAGACTGAATAGAGTGCTTTGCAGAGTTTGTCAACCCCACCTTACACCAGCCCTTGTTTGTCTGGATGCTTGTTTGTCATCTTGCACATGGTCATCTGAATGATGGAGGGAGGAAGTGAATTGCTGTCTGAAGTCAGGCCTTTCCTGCTGTTTATTAGTTTTATTAAATCACTGAAGTAGTAGTCATTGGAGCCTTTGGTCTGAAAGGGACCTGCAGGTACATTTCAAAGCCCTTATTTTATAGAGAGGCAACCAAATCTCACATAGAGGAGGTGACATTATCAAATCATCAACTAGGGGTGGAGCCAGGCCTGGGGTCTAGTTCTCCTTCTGTGTTCAGTTCTTCTCCCTGCTTGTTGATTTGTTTCGAAAACCATGGCATTGCATTTTTTTTTAATAAGGAGAAAAAGACAGTGATGAATAGATTTGATGTATAGATTTAGAATGTTATAGAAATGATGTACTCACAGTCATTGTTGGGTAATTTATAGTTCACTTTTTTTTTTTTTTTTTTTTGGAGACAGTATCTCACTCTGTCACCCAGGCTGGAGTGCAATGGCATGATCTCAGCTCACTGCAACCTCTGCCTCCTGGGCTCAAGGGATTCTCCTGCCTCAGCCTCCTGAGTAGCTGGGATTATAGACACCCACCACCATGCCTGGCTAATTTTCATATTTTTAGTAGAAATGGGGTTTCACCATGTTGGCCAGGCTAGTCTCAAACTTTTGACCTCAAGTGATCCACCTGCCTCAGCCTCCCAAAGTGCTGGGATTACAGGTGTAAGTCACTGTGTCACGCCTATATTTTGCATTTATATTCTTCCACTGTGACCAGTTTCTAGACTAAAACTTAGATCATGCAGTCAAAGAGTTATTTGATTTATAAATTTACTTTTAAATTAGGTCTTATAAAGTTTTAAAATAAAATCATGTTTAGTTATGAAATGAGAGCTAACACTCATTGAGTAAATACTGTTTTAGGGTTTTTACATGATTTTACTTTTTCCACTACTTGTTAGGTAAGTATTGGGAATATTTTTACTCTACAGTTGAAAAAACTAAGTCTTAGTGAAATTAATGGACTTAACAAAAGTCAATCAATACTTGTCTTTCCAACTCAGAAATCCGTGATCTTATTCACTATACTACGTTGCTTCCCAGTTCATGTTGACATATACATATATTAGATATAATTTGGGAATCAAGTGATTTACTGAAAAGAATAGGACTACAGTTATCACTTGAATAGCAAGTGTTTGAACTGTGCAGGTCCGCTTATGTGCAGATTTTTTTCAACCGAACACCTGTCGAAAATACAGTATTCACAGAATGCAAAGCCTGCATATGGAGAGGACTGACTTATGCTATATTTGGGTTCCACAGGGCCAACTGCAGGACTTGAGTATCCACTGATTTTGGTATTCACCAAAGGTCCTGGAACCAATCCCCTGTGTATACCAAGGGATGGCTGTACGTTAAATTATATATATTGGGAGTATAAGGTTATAATCACCATGACTGAATATATTCTGATCATTGGTCCTGATTTACTGTAAAGCTGGTACCTGGTTCCAGGTCCCTCAAAATCAGATATAACAATGCTTAGGAGTCTTGATGCCACTTATGTATATTGTGATGGACTGACATAGGTTGACATTTGAGCTTTCCAGTGTTCATACTCTTACCCAAAGCACAGTCTCCATTCAGTGGGCTTTAGAGTTGATTGTATTCACAAAGGAGAGGGGTGAGGTGGCAGGAAACAGGGTTAACCCATTTTGAAGTCCCTTTTATTAGTTCAGGACTATGTTCCTCTTGAGGTGCTGACCATCTCATCAGAAGCCCTGGTAACTTAATTATTAGAATGAATTTGCTCATCAGAAGCCCTGGTAACTTAATTATTAGAACACTCCTTAAAAGACAGCAGTTCTATAACATTATTTTTAGGCTGTCTTTACTTGGTGACTCGATGTCTGGGTTGTGTCATAACAAGGCCAATTAGAAAGAAAAAAATGCACAAAGCCAGGGTACATCCCCTACCCATGGAATCAAGTTCATATCCCCCTTAGGATTTGCAAATCCGCTGTTCTTCTGGAGCTTAGGGCTTCTTGGGAGCCAGCTGTGCAGTTTTATGGCCTGTCTTTACCCCATGATGTCACTCGGTCATCAGAGAAGGTGCTATGGAGTTAAGGGAGGCTGGCTCCAAAGAAGCAAGCCCAAGGCACAGGGGAGCCGAGAGTGCATCCTGGAATAGCTGCAGGGAACTGGGGAAAGGAAGCGGGAGATCTTCCCAGGCAGGCTTTCCCATGCCCACAGCGAGGGGCCCCTTCTCAGTCCATGTGGGCAGATGGACGTGGCAGTTCTTCTCTCACCCACTGCTTGTACCTAAGCATGAGATCTGGCTGCAAGGAAATCCAAATCTCTGGGGAAAAAAAAAAAAACCCAGACACACATACAAGCAGCTATGTTGGCCAATAGACCGCTGAAAACAATACTGAAGCAATGTCCACTCCCATTTTTACTCCCTTTTCCATGTAGGTCTCACTGGTATACATAACACATGGGCTCGAGGCAGGGGACACTAAGGAATATTTCTGGTTCCAATAATGCTGGGAGATTTATTCTCCTTAGAGTCTTGTTCATTGTTATTATGGAAGTTTTTTTTTTCTTTTTTTCTGAAGATTTCTCTAAATATAATACTAAAACAAACAAACAACAGCAACAGAAAACCACCACTGCTCTATCAGGCCTATTTTCTCCAGGGAGTTTGGAATTCTATGGGGTGAGGAAGGAGGAAAGAGATGCTTCTGTTGGGCAGGATCACTACCAGAAAAATGATTGCCTATGGAAAAGGCACTGGGTTGGGAGTCTGAATGCCTGAGTTCCGAACCTTGACTCAGTCGTCAATTCATGGAGGCTGTTCTATAGATCTTTTACCTCCCATGGCTCTAGTTTACCCCTCTAAATGTAGAATTTGGGTTAGCTAACTCTTTGAATTCCATGTAGCTTTAAGATACCAACATTGATTTCTTTAGCCTCTTTATGATGTAATTAAATAACCCTTTCCAACCCTCAAGACCTCTGGGAAATGCTCTTTGAAAATATACATTTATCAAGCCACTAACTCAACAAATCGTTGTCAACTACCCTGAAAAGACTCCAAGGGTCACTGGGAACCACTGTTACAGATGAGTATCAAAACAGAGGTCCGGAAGCTGAAAGGAATTAGGGTTAAAGTAAAAACAAATAATAAAGCAGGCTGGAAGTAGGTAAGACCGTAGTCATTTGTTGTTAATAGAGGGACCTTTTCCAACCACCTTCATCCTTATGATATTTTCATCTATAGATAGTTATCATTTTTTATAAATGGAAATGGGCCAAAGTTTGTTTAAAGCATTTTGTAACCTTGAAAAATCATCCCCCAGACAACAAAGTCACATGTGATATAGACCAATATAGATATAGAGAGGGGAGTGCTTTTGGCCAGCGCTGTGCTTAATTTGCAGACACATTTAAATATCTTCAAGCTAGAAAACCAAACAAAATCAAATATAAGCAATAAAAAAAGTACTTTAACTCTGCCTCCCTCTCAAACCACTGCTCCATTTCTTCCTTTGTTTCCAGATGCTCTTTGGCAGAATAGACATGAAATGTTACCTTTCTTTCAGTCTTGCCCCACTTCACCCATAATTTTCAGTCTGTCCCCAGGACTTCCCTGGCTTCTGTCACTCCTGAGCCATTTGTTGCTGTAGGAACAAATGTTCCTGTGCTGTTAGCTCTTATCTTAGTGCCCTCTCTAAAGCCTCCAGCATCCTTGACAAACTTGCCTCCTTAAACTCCTTCCTCTCACACAAGTTTCCAGGTTTCTTTAAAAAAATTATGACTAAAAACATAATCTTGGTTCATGGTAGAAAATTTAGAAACTGAAAGCAGAAAGAAATATAAAAATTACCCATAAGCTGATGACCCAGAGAGAATCGTTATTAAAATGTTAGCGTATTTGCTGGCATTTGTGGGTGGAGAATAGAGCGAGGAGAGAACAGCAAGTTGAGGCCAGAGAGAGGGAGGGTACCAGACATGGGGCCATGCAGAGGGTGCTGGGGAGTTGGGACTTTGTCCTGAGTGCAATGAGAAGATGAAGAGGGATTTTAGGTCAAAGAAAGGTCATCTTTGTGTTTTACAAAGATGACGAAAGCCATGGCAGGAAACAGTTGGTGTTCATTCTCAATGCCCCACCTTCCATCATTTCCTGACTCTGGAATATTCTAGACTTTATGGCAACATTTTCCTTCCCTGAAACATTATGTCTCGTGCTCTTTTCTATGCACTCCAGACACTCAATGCAAGAACTGAAACCAGCTTTATCCAAACCCTGTTGTTCCTTCAAACAGCTTGAAGTGCCCACTTATTCCACCTATTTAAGCCCTTCTTGATGTCCTTCTTCCCCAAAGCCCTACTCATGAGGCCACATTTTACCAGCTGCTTCATGGGATATAACCCCCAGCTGCACTGGGACAGGGCCATCATCGGGAGATGAGTATGTATATTTCCATCTTTGCTTTCCCATCAGTGTTCCTTGCGTTATTCCTTGAAGCTATCATGCCTGATGAATTAATAATAAAATGTAAAAAAAAAAACTATATGACTCCTCCCAGCATAACAGCTTTTTACAAACTTCAAATGTATACAAAAATGAAGAGGATAGTATATTTAACCCCTGTATACCACCAACCAACCTCTCTGCTAATTAACGCAAGGTAAATCCTATTTCATTTGCTCTCCCACTCACTACATCCTACCCAGACACTGCATATAAGAAATTGCATTATAATAGATGAAATACATTAATCCCAAAGAATGTATCTTTCAAGGGGGGAATTACTGGCATTTTTCTTTATAATACATCATGATGTTCAAGACTACTGGCATTTTTTACTGAAAGACAGGGAAGAATAACTTTTGTAGGTGACTCTGCTGGTTTAAAGTGTGGCACTTCCCCCTTTGCTTTCTCTCTCCTGCTGCCACGTAAGATGTGCCTTGCTTCCCCTTTGCCTTCTGCCATGATTGTAGGTTTCTTGAGGCCTCCCCAGCCATGGGGAACTGTGAGTCAATTAAACCTCTTTTCTTTATAAATTACTCAGTCTCAAGTAGTTCTTTATAGCAGTGTGAAAATGAACTAATATAGTGACTGTTTAAATGATCATGCACCCAGTTCAGTTCTTGCATTGAACGGGGAATATATAAAGGAATATGAGACACATAATGCTTTTGGGAAGGAAAATGTTGTCAGAAAGTCCAGCACAATTTTCTGGGGGATTTGAAATAACACGTTAAATAGAGATCAAGCTATCCTTTAGAGAAGAAGTGCCCAGAAGAGGAAAGTATGCCACACAGAATGATCTTCCACCCTCAGAGATATTTGGCAACAGGAAATGTGCTGGAGGAGTCAGCATCCTGAAGTATACAGGTGCTTAAAGTGCTGAGGATGATGCTGGAAGGTAGTATGCAAAAAGGCAAGATCTTTATTTTTTTTTTCTTTATGGAACACAATTAAATGATAATAGTACCATGTAGCACAGTTTTATGAAGCAATAATCCAGTTCCCAAATGGGTAAACTATAAACCTGATGGCCAAGTCATTTATCCCAATGAGGTGTCCGATTATTGCAGGGGAAAGCAGGGGCTTGCCCTGTTATAATAATTTTGCTATATGAGCTTAAATAGCTCTAAGACACTCAGCGTGAATTCTTACCCTGAGTAGAGAAGCTGGAGCTTTGAATCCAGGAGGAAGGTGGAAACAGGTGGAGGTGGGCTGGGGAATGTGTTTGGGGAGTGCTCAGGGAAGGTGAGACCTTGCAAAGGAAGCTAGATGGTAGAAATCACCCTGCAGGGGTGGGTGAATTTAGTTATCGTTAAAAAAAAGAGACCATAATTCCTTATAATTCCTTATACTTCCTTGCTTGTCAAGCAGGAAACTAGTTTGTAAGGAAAATCAGGAAAAGAAAAGTACTGTGAATTTGGCGGCTCCAAGTATTTGCCAGCATTTTTATATATCTTATCTCATTTAATCCTTGCCACAACCCTGTGAAGGACAGACTATCCTCTATATTCTATAATTCAGGAAAATGTTGCTCAGAGGTTAAATCATTTGCCTAGGAACGTAGGGCTCCTGTGCTGAAGTCAAGATTCAAACTTGCTCCTTTGACCATACTAGTTTGCCTCACCAGGAGAGTTACAAGGAAGAGCCTCCAGTGAAATCTGACCTGGTACTGAATGGAGACTCTCCAGGGTCCACTTAGTGGTTCCTGATTACAAAATGTTCTTATACTCTGGGCAGTAAAGAAAGAATGCTGAACATATTTTTTTGTTTTGTTTTGTTTTCCTAATGGGATCTCTGGAGCCAGGAAGGCAGCCTCCCATTCCTCATAGAACCCAGATCTGTCCTATTCCTGAGCATTTAATGTTCTCCTGTAAAGCACTCATTTTATTCTGCCAAGCACCCAGCATATTGCCAGGCACATGATGAGACATCAATACATATTGCACAGTAAGTGGACAAATGAATGGAAACATTGCCTGCATGTGTATCTCTGCCCATAGAGAGAGTAGTATTCTATTGTGTTGCCATATTCTTTAGGGTCAAGTTCACAGTTATTTTTCCTGTATTCCTAAAGCACTTTTTGTCCATGCCATTGTCAAAACTCATATACCATAGTTTTTGTTTTTCGTTTCTTATGTAAGAATCTTGCCCCTCCTTTTACAGTAAAGCAACTTAAGGTCATGGACTGTGTCTTAATATTCCTCCCTAGAGCACCCACCACAGCATTCCATTAGAAGGTGCCCAATGACTGTTGGTTGAACTGAAGAATCTAAATGAATTTGAGGAGGCAGAAGGCATAGTGGTTAAGAGCACAGGCTTTAGAGAGAAACAAAACTGTATTAGAAACTGGCTCCGGTGTTAGCTAAACTTGAAAAATGTTTTACATTTATTTTTGAGTACCATCTTCCTCATCTGTAAAATGTGGACAACAATGGGAGCTGCCTTGCAGGTTGGTGTAAAGATTAAATGAGGCAGAGCATGGCAAGTACTAAGAACAGTGCTTGGCATATGGTCAGTGCTCTGATAAGTGGTAGGGAAAAGAAAAAGAGGAATGTAGACAGCAAGAGAGCTGACCTCAATTTTCTGACAACAGAAAGGGGTGTGGATAGGGATGAGAATGCAGGGAATCACTTAACTAGATCGAACAGTGATAACTTTCGAAGGTATGGATTACTTGCAAAAGCCAACTGGTCTTAGAAGTTGTAGCCATTGTTATTTACTCTCTTCCCATTACTTTGAGATCTATTAGTCACCTCTGTCTTCTATTGCTTGTTGGAGGACAACAGGTCAGACCCACAACTGGTACATCTCTGCTGATCTCAAGTCTCTGAGAAACTCCAAGTAATTCTTCCTCACAGTGATTAAGGAATCTTGTCTAAAAACACCACCTGCGCCCCCCCAACCCCCAAGCAAGAAGAGGAAGAGGACAGTGCAGTAAAAAAAGGGAAGGGGAAGCAATATTTATTGAGTGCTTCCCATATGTAAAGAATTTATGGAGATTATGCTATACTGCATTTTTTGATATGTCAAAGATCCTTTATATTTTTTTTTACTTTTACCTATAAAATATATATTTTTTATTTTTCTTTGTGAATTTGGCGGTCCCTTCCCTTCCTCTTCCTCTTTCTCTTTCACTTTTTTTTTTAAATTTTGAGATAGGTTCTTACTCTGTTACCCTTGTTGGAGTGCAGTGGCATCACCATGACTCACTGTAACCTCGAACTCATGGGCTCAAGTCATTTTCCTACCTCAACCTCCTGAGTAACTGGGACTATAAGCATGAGCAACCATGCCTGGCTAATTTTTTAATTTCTTTGTAGAGATGGGGGTCTTGCTTTGTTCCCTATGTTGGTCCTGAACTCCTGACCTCAAGAAATCCTCCTACCTCTGCCTCCCAAAGTGCTGGGATTACAGGTGTGAGCCATCACACCTGGCCGAAGTCTCCAATTTCTACTATTCTACTCTTACACAGCATTTTGTTAACTAAAGTGGGACATTCTGGTGAGAAAAGCAGGCAATATTTAATGTCAGGTAGACAAGTGAAGAAGAAAATAAAGTAGGGTAAGGGAATAGCAAGTATTAAATAATAAAGGTACTGTTTTGGAGAATATGGTCAAGGGAGGCTTCTTCGGCAAGGTGACATCTGAGCAGAGACATGATATCCTGAGACTGTGAGTCACACCAATATCTAAAAGACATTCAAGACAGAGTAGCCAGCAAATCCCCTGATGTGCTCACCGGGGCAGTTGTGATTGAGAAACTGCAAGAAGACAAATCTCATTGGATGGACATGATGGAAGAAGAGGGTGACAGGAGACAGGTTGGAGAGGTACCCAAGAGCCAAGTCATACAGGACATTGTAGGCAGTATTGTCCTTAGGTCACGGCAAGAACTTCAGAAGGTCCTAATCCCAGAAAGCATACATTTATTAACAAACACACGGGCCTCTATTATTTGTGATTCAGAGCTCAGTGTTGACACTGAGCAACCCATAATCCTAAACATCTGTTCTTGTGACTAACACTGTTCAGGCTCCAGAGGAACATTTCTCCACATCTCTTGCCCTGTGTCCTCAAAACAAAAGGCCACTGCATCTAAAAGCTGTCAAGGTTTGACTGAGGGCTATGCTGTTGCCGACCCTGGAAACTAACACAGCTTCAGAACGTGGGAAGGATTTGAGTAGATGAAGTATTTAGGTAAAAGGAAAGACAAATAATTTGATAATTCTTCTTCTCAGATATCAAAAAAATTTTGCATAATAAAGTGTTAGTTTCTAGTGGAGTCAGTCATCCATTTTCTTGCTTCATCTTCCAAAAGGTGATTGTGAAAGTGCTTATGAATTCAGTTGCGTATAGTGGCTGAGGAACATTTTAGTAAAAAATTGACATTACTTCTAAATTTGTGTATGTATTTTTATGTCTAGTGGTAAAAAGTATGAAATATGGTACTGAGTCTTTATATTGGCAACTAGATGTTCTTTCAAACTAGAATTATGAGTAGTTTTATTTTTATAAAAAGATTTTAATGTGTTTTAATTAGATTTTTAAAAAGTAAAGACATTTCAGCTTTATTTAAATAATTTGATTTAAAATATTGGTATTCATTAATGTAATTAGCCTTTTGTTTTAATTTTAATAGATAAAATTAATATTTTAGAATAAAACAGCATTTTTACAAACAGGAAAAATAATTTTAAGTGTTTTGATTTTGTACAGTTATATTAGAATTTTTGATAAAAATTAATTTTAATATGGAGTAATTTGAATACAGTTAACTTTTAGTCTTTTGGATGATTATTGTCAAAAGAACAAATTATGTGAAAGTCTTACTTATAATAACATTTATTTTGCTAAAATAAAAAATTTGGATGAATGATAATTTGCATTATCTACATACTTATTTTATCATTTATCCAAGCTTTGCTAGCCCATCAACAAAACACACAAACATGCATAATAATAATTATTAAATGGAACAATCTGATATTTTGCCAACTTTCGGACATTTAAAACCATAGATTTATACTTTTTGTCATATAAGAGCCATGGATTTACATATATTTGTAGGCTTCACCATTTTGTATATTTATCAAGTGGATAAACAGAAAATATTTTTTAAAGTTTTTTTTTTATTTAAAACTTAAACAAATTTTGTTCATGGAGCTTAATTTGAACTCTTGTTCCAAACTTTGTAAAGGTTGGTAGAGGCCAGCCAGTAGGCTATGGCTAAAATTGGGTTTTGTTCTGTGTGGTGGAGAGCCACTGGGGGCTTTTGACAGGGAAAAGCAATGGCCCTGCTGATGTTCTGAAGGGGGCTGTGCTGGCTGCTGTGGAGACAGCGGATGTCACTAGGGGGCAAGGACACTGGCTAGCAGACTATTGCAGTGGTCCAGGCAGGTTCGAGGGCTAGAGTGGTGGAGGTAGAATAGGTGAGAAGTGAGTTGGAGCTAGTTTTTGAAGGTAGAGACAAGAAGACTTGCTTATGGATTGGTGTGGAATGTAAGAACAAAGATTTGAGAATGACTTCGAAGTCTAAGCCCCTGGCAAGGGATGGTGTTATTTACTTCTTACCTCTTAGGATTCTTGTGAGGATTACTGAACTGAAATGATATATGTAAAATGTCTAGTATGTTGCCTGGTACGTAATAGCGGCTCAATAAATGGTAGCGGTGAACATTTCATTATCTTCTCATTTGTTCATCTCTAGAGCCATGCAAGATACTGACATTATAATTTTCTTTTCCCTAGAAAAGAAATTAGCAAAGGAGTTGAACATCTTTGTCAAGGTTAAACAGCTAACAAATTGTAAAAGCAAGCTTAGAACTAGAGATTTCCCCATGAGAGACGCATGCAGAGAGCCTTTGAGGGCAGCTAAACCAGAGCAGGAGTTGGTGTTTGCCAAGTGTGGTTCGGGAACCTGGAATTTAAACTTCAGTGTACTGTAGGTATGTTTTTTAAGAGGAACAGGTAAAAATACCTCTTCATGGAATCAGGGGTCAGGATTCTGAGTTCCCGGGAGGACTGAATCAGCGATGAGGCTCAGTCATCAAGACATTAGCAGGCTTTTCTCAGAGTCAGCTCACATAACTGCCGTGTCCTTCCTGTGCCTGTTAGTTTCAGTGAGTTACAGCCAGAGTATTTAACAGCAGACGCATCCAATGTCTATTAAGTATCATATTTCAGGCATCATTCTAGGTTTTTATATGTATTATTTTTCCTTTAATTCTTACAATAGCCCTGTGAAGTAAGTAGTGCAGTGATCTCTAGTTTACAAGTCAGGAGATTGAGCCACACTCTGGTTAATTAACTTGCCCAAGGTTATGTATCCAATAAGTGGTAGAGCCAGGGTTCAAGCCCAACCATCAGATCTTACCCACCCTCAAACCATTTCATTGTAAAGATTTTAAAACCAAAGCTTAGAGAGGTCAAACACCTTGCCTAAGATCACACAGCTGGTTGATGGCAGGACCCAGAACCCTGAAGCCCGAACTCCAGTCCAAGTCTCTTCCGCTGGCCCAGGCTAAAAGGATCTTTTGCTTGCCTTTTGGAGGCTTTGACCTGTTTAGGGAATGGGCCCCAAATCTGGGCACAGTGCCAGATTTTTGTCTAGATGGTTTTGAAATTATGGTTTCTTTTATCTTTTTCAATCTTATTTTATGAACCTGGTGTGGAGAACTTGTTCACAGTTCTCTGCTTGGTTTCCCTGTGTAATCAACAGCAGACTGTTGCAAACAAGTCAGTTCCAAAAGTTCTCTTAAACATTAGAACTGCAAGAAATTTTGATGGAGTTAGGACATCCCTCCCCCTTTCCTCCTTCTCACTACAAAACTAAAAGAGAAAGAGGTTACCAGCATGAATAAAACAGAGTAAGTCCATTTCCAATTTGCTTCTCTTTAAAACTCACTCCCCAAATGAAAGACAGCTAAGACAACTGACCCTTTAGGCTTAAGGAACTCAACTGCTTAGAGGACAGGAGGAGGAGGCTGAAAGGTGACTCAGAAGGAATAGGGCTTGGCTGGGAGGGAATAGAGAAGTCAGATCTCTAATGGACATGGTCTCTAACCTGCAGTGAATTTTCAGTTTCCCTGCCTTTCTTTCTTTCTTTCTTTTTTTGAGATGGAGTCTCACCCTGTTGCCAGGCTGGAGTGCAGTGGCGTGATCTCAGCTCACTGCAACCTCTGCCTCCCAGGTTCAACTGATTCCCCTGCCTCAGCCTCCTGAGTAGCTGGGACTACAGGCTTATGCCACCACGCTTGGCTAATTTTTTTTTTTTTTTGTATTTTTAGTAGAGATGGGGTTTCACCATATTGGCCAAGATCATCTCGCTCTCCTGACCTCGTGATCTGCCTGCCTCAGCTTTCCAAAGTGCTGGGATTACAGGCGTGAGCCACCGTGCCCTGCCGCCTTTGTTTCTTAACATGCAAAGGGCCAATGAGTTACTTCCTAAATATTATTCCTAAGTAATTCAATTGATTGTTTAGAAGACAAACAACACTTGCTTCCCCATATCCAAACTGCCATAGGTTTTTACTGAGCTTTCCTGCTGTGTTTTGCTTTAACGAGTGGTGAGATTGAAGAAGCTAATATTTGGTATAAACTGTTTTATTTCTGTAAAATACTTTCATTTGTTTTTAGATCTCCAGAACACCAAAGAGGATTACAAACAAAAGATCGACGTTTCAGTTAGGAGAATAAACTTCCCTAACCAGAGTTTCTGGAGATAAGAGGAAACATGTCTTTTCCTCTTTGCAATGTCTGTCAAAAGGTTCACTCTTGTGGCTTTGCCCTCAACAAGCCAGGCTGAGATGGTGTTATGTCTTGTTAGGTAAATGGCAGGCCTTGTCCAAGTAGAAATTGAATTTTAAATAAAAATGCTAGCGCTTCAAATTTGCTATCTAAAGCCCCAGTGGATGTGATTGCATGCTGGGGACATAAGATGGGGCTAAAAACTCTCCAAAGTCACTCTTCTAGGTGTCTAAACTCACTAAGATCACAGCAGGCACCACAGACATCACACCTGGAATCTGGAATGAGCATTATAAAATTGGCAAGGCTGAAAAGGCATTAGTAAACATTATTAAGAATTCCTTGCAGGCAATTAGACTCCTACAATATCTCTGGAGAGGGTGTTGTTTTTTTTTTTCTTTTCTTCCTTTTTTTTTTTTTGCATCTTTATTTCTAACTTGCTAATGAGAGAGTAATGAGGCACATACTTGTTACCTAGAAGGGATATCTCGGCAAAGCTCTAGTGAACTTAAAAACAGTATTTACCAACTGATTATTGTTTGCATTCATTATAAATTTTAAATTAGAAGGAATTGTAATAAAGAGAGCCAGGAAACGAGCTGTTCCTCACTCAGAGGTTTCATGGTCCCTTAAATGGTGATATGCTGAGATTTCTGCCACTGACATACTGGCAATGGCAGGGGCCTCTTGAGAGACTGTGTTTCACAGCTCTGGGCTTGTTTCTTTTCCTTGTTTGTTTTATAAAATGCGATTGGCCTAACCCACATGCAAGACAATGATATCTCGTATGTAGGGTCAAAAGATCTGTTTTCTATGGAAAACATATAAGACTTTTTGCATCCTCTTCACTAACTCACACCACTCCATCCCTTCCTCTTTTTTACATATTCATTTCTTTCCTGAGCTCCCTTCTCCAAAAGAGGGAGAACATTTGTGGGCAGTTGACCTTGACTGAGACTCTCCCCTGTCTTCAGGAGATAGGTTTTCCACCTACCTGCAGAGACAGGACAACAAACATGCCTTCCCAGCAATGTGGCCCCATCACAGAAACTCCATCGTGAACCCAGGTGCCCCTTTAGCAGGGCCAGGAAAAGATAAATTTCATTTCTTCTCTCGCTTCTCTTCCCTTTAATTTCCCATATTTTTTTCCTTTGGCTGTGACAGAAAAACTGGAGAAGTGCAGGCCTGCCATCCATGATCACTTTCCCTTACTCCTTGGCCTGCTTTATATGGTTTTATTATTCTTGTTTTGGTTTCGCATCTGTGTGTTCCTCTCATCTACCTGTGGAGGCCAGTCTGTGTTCTCCCAGTAATTTCAGTATTCTCACTTTTGGGGCAGGCAGACAGATGACCACAGCTGCGTGGGGAGTGGAAGACCATAGGGAGGGTGGGCACCTGTTCTGTTTGGCCTGGGGGCTCCGGTTTACAGGTGTTGTAATGATTAGTGTGCTCCTTTTCACTCTCACGTGGGCTCCGGTTTGGATGATAAGTTATATGAGCTTCCTAGTCCAGTGGTCTCACTGTGTGGCCTCCGAACCAGGAGCACCAGCATCACCTGGGGATTTGTTAGCCTCGGGCTTCCTCCCAGACCTACTGAATCTGAAACTCTCGGGGTGGGGCCATCCATTTTTAGTTTAACAAGCTCTCCAGGTGATTCTGATGTACGCTGAAGTCTGAAAACCCATTGACCTAGCCAGGCACTTGGCTAAATAGTTTACTTGCATTATTTCATTTGATACTTGTGACAACTAAAGAAACTGAGGCTTAGAGAGGTTAAAAAAAATTGATGGAGCAGGGGTTTTAATCGAGGAGGTCAGACTTCTGAATACCTGCTCAAGTGTTAATTGAATGGAAACAAACTCTCTTAAATGCTGTAGATCATTTCTCTAACATGAGTGGATTTATTCAAATGCTTTCTACTCCAGAGGGAACGTACTGATGGGCAGGAGTACTGAAAGAGGCAAATGAGTCTAGAATGGGAAACATTGGGTTCTCAGTGTTGGGTCTCTCTAACCAGAAAGCAAGTGAGTCCTACTGAATGAAAAAAAAAAATCTCTAACCTGACTTCCCCTTTATGCAGAAGATCAACTTGCATTCAGTCCCCATCTTTGAGGTGTACTAAGGTAACTTCCCATTCTGTAATCTCTAACCGTGGCTGTGTGTGAATGTGCATGGGTTGGTGATGAGGGAACAGTTGTTTTATAGGACATTAAATCAAGTTGCCATGTGCCACAAAGGGTGGGCACAGACAACTTGCTCTGCATGTGGTCCTCCGGTGGGAATGTGCCTGACCTGGGAGTCAGGAATCTGTCAGTGATTACAGGAGAATCTGGTGAATCAGGAAAAGTTGTAAAGCTTTCATTCTTTTCAGAGAATAAAGAAAACAAAATCTCTCTTATTGTAGAATACAGCATATCTGTTAAGAGCATAAGTTTTAGAAGACACACATAAGATCTCATTTAAATCTCAGCTCATGTGATCTTGGGCACATTTCTAACCTCAGTTCTACCATTCATTAAATTGAGATGACATTTTTATATATCTTACAGAGAATTAAATTAGAGAATTTAATGAAAGTAAGATGCTTAGTCCAGTGCCAGGAATATAGTAAATGCTCAAATAGGTGGCTGTTTTCTTTGAACCCAAGAGAAGGTTCTTGCTGATGATACAAGGATATGACAAGAAAGACTATTTCAAGCTTTAAAGGAGTACATATGGGACTAATTTGAAGGGCAATAAGAATCACTGGGAGGCAAATAGAGGCAAATGAGAGAGCCATAGGATTCTGGGGAGTAGGGGGAGAAGGTGTCTTCTAAAGAATTTCTATCAGCAAGGCAGCACCATCACTCCTGGGTCTAGTACAGAAGTGGCCTTAGATCATTTCCATGTATGAAAGGAACAAGGGCTGAGAGGTTCAAGGCATACTGCAGATGTATGGGGGCTAGCCTAAGAGGTAGACAATAGGGAGTCTGAATTTCAGGTGAATGCATCCGGGGAGAATATAAAGTAAAGCAGACAGAAGCAGAAATGAATGCGACACACACACACACACACACAGAGAAATGAGACTTCACATTTGTATGGTTCATTATGCTTTCTTAAGTACTTTCACATTCATTACCATTCTGTAGAAATGGACAAGCTTTGAGTAATCAGCTGGGTGAATAGAACCCTGTTAGGCCTAAGAGGCAGCCACAACTTTAGGAAATAGGAGATCCTTAAGAACAAAGAGCAAGTAAGGAAGGCAGGGGACCAGCTGTGAAAAAACTAGCATCTACAAGGTTAATTTGAATCAAATTAGTAATTTTGTCTCAGTTTCCTCATCTGCTAAGTGGGAATAATTATGATGTCTGGCTCAGCAGGTTGTCATTAAGATTGCATGACACAGTGAATGCCAGGTGTTTAATGCTAAGTAAGTGCTTATGTAGTTGTGAGCTGGTCAATGGTGAGGAATGTCTGGGGTGCTCAGTGAGAGAGGCGCCTGGAAACAGTTTCTGAGAACAATGAGAGGAGAAAGTGGGGAAGGAAGGTGAACAAAAATGAATTGTTCTGCTTGGTATTTTTGGCCTAATTTTGGAATCAGCAAAGCTAGAAGCAGGACTCCTTGTCCTGTGTTTTTTCTCTTATATCAGACCCACTCTCTAATTACTGAGCCTAAGTAAGAGACCTCTGTTTTCCCATAGACTGTGTGTGGCACAAAAGACATCTATCTGGGCTCTGTGTCAGTGAATTCCTAACACAAGACACCATGTTCTTGGTATGTCTTCTCAGGTTCCTGCGGAGGATTAAGCTGAAACATCCTATCCCTCTAGTTAAGAGAGAAGGAGCCGTTTCTGCCCTTTTTCTAAGGAAGTTGGCAGTACTTTTTGGAAATATTGCTGAGTGGCCAAAGCTTTGGCCAGGTCTAGGAGCTCTCTCTGAACAGTTCTCTTAGGGAATTAACTTGTTCATTATTTTAGGCCTTACTAGATTTCTGGTAAGGTATCCTTGTCCCTTAGCTAGGGGACAGCACTCATTGGCAGTGTACTCAGCAACTTCTGATTGTGATCATCAGGGTGCCCAGGGTTACCCCTTTATCCTTTCTACCTCTAGAACTCTCTTCCCTGAGATCAAATCTCAACTGTTGTCTTCCTAACTCACTGACTTCCCATCCATCCATCAACTCCATTCAACACTAATGTCTACTTCATATTATTAGACTTTGTGCCTGGTTCTGAATAACTCATACTCATGGTTTCCACTGCTAACCCATATGGACTTTCCAAATTCCCTGATTCTTTAGTATCTTCCAACTCCTTTCAATTTAGTAGATTTCTGGATCTCATCCACTTGGTCTTCTCTTATTTCATGGTTATCTAGGCTTATGGTCTAACAATGGCACCCTGAATTTTCAGGAGTGAGGCTTCTTGAGAAATGAATGAATTGCTGAATTTTGGAAATATGATTTTTTGTAGGGAAGGAAACAAGCAGCTTGGTTATCTAGTCTTGAGAATGCAGCCTGACAACTGTGGCTTGATTGGTCTAGTCTTTGCTACTGGCATGTACGGGAAGAAAGGAGGCAGAAACTTCTTTCTTGTTGCACATTTCTAGGCTCCATTCTGCAGTCCCCACACTATAACACCTTCCTCAAAGGGGCTTGTTTCCCATGTGAAGAAAGCAAGATAATCAACCAAGTTATTGAAAACAACAGTCATTTCAGCCAATCAGTTGTTTTTTTTGACTGTAGAATAGGTGCTAAAGAATTTTCCTGTGACTCCCAAATAACCAGACCCTGTCATGAGGGGCCAAGGAAGGAACTTGACCTCTTGGCATCCAAACAACCCTTTTTTTTTTTTTTTTTTTTTTTTAAGATGCAACCTTTATTTGTGTTCAGGAGCCTGTTAATTCATAGGCAGAGATAAGGTCGTTAACCACAGATTCTTACCTCATCCTCTAGTGCCCTATCTTAAAAAAAAAAAAAAAAAAACCTGAACTGTATGGTTACCACAAAGAGATGTCTAATTTTAGGAATCTCTTGATTTTGACACATGCCTCACAACGCCACTGACTCTTGGCAACATCCAGGACATCGTGAAGAGAAAAGAGCCTGACAATCCCAAGTCATTCAGTTGTGTTCTGGTCACCATCTCTTGACAGGGCTTGGCCCCAAACCCCAGTGTGGCCTTCCCACCTGTTCCCTGGTTTTCCTGCTTCGTTTGTGGTTCTCATAAAGACGGTAAGCAATTAGGCTGTTCAGTTGTGGCACATGGTAGTGTAAAATTATGGAATTTAGGATTTTAATGAGTTCAGGTGCCATACAAAAGAACTCCCCCCAGTTCCTGCCCCCACCCCCATCCATAAAATTATATGGCTTTAGAATTGGGTCTTTATGCAGCCTGGACTAAGCCATTTTATTTAAAGAAAAAAAAATTGACCAGGAAAAAAAAAAGAACCAACACAATTATATGCAGATTTGTTCATAAATCAGGCACTGCAGCAGCTGTGCGGCACATGTTGGCGATCCCGAGTTTGCTGCTGGAACTTGAAAGATAAACATGAACCTGTTTCTACAGAGGAAAATCTGTTCACAGCGAGGGGCTGACCCTGTTTTTTAAACAAGGCTCATGGTGTGGCAGCCTGCTGTGCCCTGCTCCGTGTTGCTGTTTGGTGGTGAGGGTCACATAAAGAAGGGACCAAAGAATGAGAAGCGATTTGCCCAGAGTGCAAAGGAGTCAGCAACTGACCCCACACAATGGGCAGAACCTGACTCTCCCACCCAACATTCTAGGGTCGCATTAGCTAGGTCACTGGGGCAGGCAGATTTTTCATATGTATTTTCAGAGGTGAAAGATCTTTTGCCTTGGAGTCAAATTATGTAGAAAAAAAAGTATGCAATTTATGATAAAAGGGTAGTTTGAGACTTATGTCCTTTTAAATATATGCACGTGTCTCCAGAGTTCCTGCTAAGCCCTGTGCTTGCCCTAGGTGTGGAGAAAGGAAGGACAAACAGAGGGGATCCATCTGTTTCAGGATTCACTGCAAGGCTGATTGCTTTTGCTCAGGCCCCGTGCCAACAGAAACTCATTGTAAGGTCCAGCTGTTTCCTTGGCCCAGGTATTCCTTGGGGGATGGAATGTAGTGCAATATATTTCTTAGTTGGCTTTTTGTGGAAATGGGTACCCTGGGTCGACCTGCCTCTGTCTGCCTCAAATTGAAGAGGCCCTGTAAGTAAGGTGAGGGTTGCTTTGTGGCAATATGGTGGAGGCTGATACATCTGTGAGATCAGTTAATTAACCAGGGCTCATGGTGATAGAAACTTCCTGAAGTAGACATGACCAACCTCCTTTCTTCTTTTACTGAAAAAAAGAAGCGAGTTTTGGAGAAAGTCTGATTATCTTCTTTTCCTGTTGCTTTCTCCTTGGAACTGAGCTATCTCAGTGCTCCATTGAGAAGAGTTAATAGTAAGGAGAACCCTTTAATGATTCAGTTTAAATGCATGGTTCTGGGCCTTTCAAGAACTTTACCCCAGCACAGTCCTCTGTGCCAGGAACTGGCCAAGTGAAAAGGTCTGTCAGCCCTAGGTGATTTCCTTAACCTGAGAAAACGTTAATGATTCCAGAGGCATGGCTTTTCATTCTTTCAGATGACTACTGTTTAGTGTCACCCACAAGAGTCTAAAAGAAATCTCATATACTCAAGACACTCACACACAAGCACACATATACACCAACAGATACATACTCACATACAAGTGATGCATTATGATTAATAAATGAATGGAGCTATTTGTTATTTATTATTTAAACCTTCAATACTGGCTGGCCTGAGTGATACATGAAATATAGCCAAGTAATTTATTTATTAGGGAAAATAATGATTTTTTTCCCACAGCATAACCTCCTCTGACCCAAAACAGCAAGAGCTTTATCAAATACAAATACGATGGCTTGTAATTTTAGAGTCTTCCAGAGCATTGTAACTGACAACCTTTTTAACATAAGTACATTGAACAAATAATTTATAGACATATTCTGGGAATATTTTAGGGTGTTTTATTACTACTTTTGAAAGCTATGGCATATTATTGATTTTGGCATATTAATATAACCTAAGAGGGAGGGCACATGCTCAGCTCCTAATCCACATCAGCTTTGATGGCAAACAATATATTTCACTGAAAGGAACCTTGAACCAAAGCAGCAGAGGTTAGCAATTACACATCATAGCCCAAAGTTTAAGATAATGAATTTCACTCATTAGAGAACTCCCACTTTGGGGACTGAAACAAGCTTTCCTTACTTGGGGTTTCATTCCAAATTCTCAACCACCATTTGTCAGCGTGAGCTTCCCTTTCCTTATCTCCATTCAACTCCTGCCACTTCCTTGGGATTTTTAAAGCCTGCTTCCTGCTGAAGAAGTCACCATTACCCCTTTTTCAAAATATGTTTCCAAAAACATATTTTTAGAGTGGGTTTTGGGGACTTGTTTAAAAGAGCTTATTATGTTCTTCCTCTTTGTATTTACTTGCTTTTTCCAGGTAGTTTCTAGGCAATTAATCCTTGAGTTATCAATGTTTTATTAGTCCACTTTCACACTGCTGTAAAGATATTACCCGAGACTGGGTAATTGATAAAGGAAAGAGGTTTAATTGAGTCAGTGTTCCGCATGGCTGGGGAGGCCTCAGGAAACTTACAATCATGGCAGATGGGAGGCAGCAGGTGAGAGAGAGAGAGAGAAGAAAGAAGGGGGAAGAGCCCCTTATAAAACTAAAAGATAGGCCGGGTGCGGTGGCTCACGCCTGTAATCCCAGCTCTTTGGGAGGCCGAGGCAGGTGGATCATGAGGTCAGGAGTTCGAGACCAGCCTGCCAACATGGTGAAACCCTGTCTCTACTAAAAATAAAAAAAATTAGCCAGGTGTGGTGGCAGGTGCCTGTAATCCCAGTTACTCGGGAGGCTGAGGCAGGAGGATCACTTGAACCCAGGAGGCAGAGGTTGCAGTGAGCAGAGATGGTGCCACCAGCCTGGGCAACAGAGCAAGACTCCATCTCAAAAAACAAAGAAACAAACAAAAAAACAAAAAAATCTAACAGATGTCGTAAGAACTCATTCACTATCATGAGAACAGCATGGGGGAAACCACCCCCATGATCCAATCACCTCTTTCCCTCAACATATGGAGATTACAATTCAAGATGAGATTTGGTGGGGATACAGAGCCACACCATATCAAATGTCTTCTTCATATATTTTAAAATCATCCACCTCTTCATTATGTTTAGACAGACCCTGAGCTTATTACAAAGACTTCATTGTCCAAATTCCTGACCTCAGTGTTTAGAAACCTCTCCAAATTGTGCCCACTATGTGCAGCCTTCAGCAAGAACTCGGTGCTTAAGCTTCACTGGCCTCTTGCTGCATCTGAAACCTCTTTATCCTTGCTGCCTTTCTGCCTTTGATTCCATCTATTTTTTATGTGAAGATTTTCCTGACCATTCTGATATATAGTCATTTTCTCCTTCGCTGAACCTCTATACAATTCAGCAGCTTTCTCTTATAATTTGACACTTTATCAGGAGCGGCCTTGAATTAGTCCTAGTTTCTCTTTCACAAGTATTGTTGATCCTAGATGGACTACAGGTAATTTGAGGAAAGGAGTCATATAGGTGACATTTTCCTTGTAGTCTCACATCACTTAGAATGCAGCTGAACAGATAATGGCAGCTCAGTATCTATGAAATTCAGTATACACCAAATTTAAAATATAATGAAATCTGAGAAAAATTGACAACAATTTTGAAAGTATGGCATGGCCCATCACCTTCTAATGGTTAAAAATTGCAACGTGATCTGAAATTTTATAAAATTCTTTTGGGCTTAATTGTAGGGGATGAACTTTCCTTTCCTTTATTTTTTTAAATTAAAAATTTCTTATGATAAATATTGTAAATGTTCCCATTAGAAATATCTGAAAATTTGGAAAAGCAAAAAGAAGAAAATAAAATAATCTATCATATTTTATAGAAGGTTCCATTAATAGCTTGGTATATACTCTTTTATACTATTTCTGTGTATATATATGGATTTATGTATATATACACACACCTGTGTATACATTGCTATTACCGCCTTTATTAATTCCTTAGGATAAATTAATAGAAATAGATGAAACATAAAGACATTTGTAACTTATAGAAACAAGTGTGTGTGTATGTGTTTGTGTCAGTGTAAGTACTTTAAAAAAGTATCACACACTATGTACTGTTTTGCAACCTGTTTCTCCACATCAATAATGTAGCTTTAATGCCTGCATAGTAATCATTGTATCTTAATTTACTTAACCAGTTAATTTGTATTGAACATTTTGGGTTTTCAACTTTTCACTCTTACAAACAATGCTAAAAATGAGCTGTCTTGTACATAAATATTTTGTACGTTTTTCATAATTTCCTCAGGATAGAGTCCTAGAAGTGGAATTTCCAGGACAACAGGGCATGCGTATTTTAAGACATCTAAGGCACCAAACTGCTTTTCAGAAAGATGGCACTCATTTATAGTACTATGGGTGGTAATTGAGATGACTGATACCTTGTTATTCCAAAGTTATTGCACTCGAACTTGAAGAACCATGGTTTGGGTTTACAACGAAGGAAGTGAGCAACCTGCACTGTTCTATTACAGTGTTCTTCCCAAAAGACAGACCTGATAGGCCACTTCTGTGCTGAAAGTCTCCATTGATCTCTGATGCCTGAGGAACCAAGTTTCAACTCCTCAGCCAGGCCTTTTGTAACCTGTCCTCAACCTATGGCTGAGCTCCACTGACCTCATTCTCCCATATCTATGCACTTTAACCTCTTTCTGTGCCAAGCATCTCACCTTGGCCGGAACACGCCCTCCCTTCTGTGCCTCTGCAGCTCTATACCTGGGGCAATGCTCATTTACACAAAAGCGGATGCATATAGCTGTGGATTAGTCAAAGTTCAAATAATAATGGCCAGTGCATTTATCAAAAATGAAATAACTCACAGTTATAACTGTATGATAAGTCTCCATTGCTTCTTGTGACATAAATAAAAGAGTAGCTAATGTTACCCCTGAGCAAAGTAGAGTGTTGTGTGCTTTCGTTGGATTATCATTTTTAGGTGTGTTATACCCATGTGACAGATGAGGAAACTAAGATTCAAAAAGATTAAGTAAATTGTCTAAGGAGATGACTAGAAAGTGGCAGACTTGGGAACTGACAACAGGAAGCATGATTGTGATAATACTCTAAACCTCACCAGACCACACTGTCTATAAGAGATGCTGAGGCCGGGCGTGGTGGCTCATGCCTGTAATCCCAGCACTTTGGGAAGTTGAGGCAGGTGGAACACTTGAGGTCAGAAGTTCAAGACCAGCCTGGCCAACATGGTGAAACTCCACCTCTACTAAAATACAAAATTATCTGGGTGTGGTGTCATGTACCTGTAATCTTGGGAGGCTGAGGCATGAAAATCGCTTGATCCTGGGAGGTGGAGGTTGCAGTGAGCCAAGAGCCAAGATAGTGCCACCGCACTCCAGCCTGGGTGACAAAGTGTGACTCTGTCTAAAAAAGAAAAAAAAAAAAAAAAGAAAAATGCCTCTTTGCATGTCTTGGCAGCCTGCTAGTTTCACACCATCAAGTGTCCACAGAATAAAGATGTGCCTCCTGGCTTAAAAAAGGTCAAGGACCTCATGTATCTCTGGAATCCAAGATTAAGTTGCACAGTTCAGGCTCTAAAATGAAAAGTTAAAAGGTCTAGTTGCAACTTTAAGTTTACCTTATCCATGTAGATCAGGGCTTCTCAACTGTGCATGACTGACATTTTGGACTAGAGCATTCCCTGTTGTGGGGGGGTGGTCCTGTGCATTGCAGGATGTGTAGCAGCATCCCTGGATTCTACCCAATGGATGCCAGTAGTATCCCTGCCTCCAGTTGTAACAATCAGAAATGTCTCCAGACACTGTTGAATGTTCCCTGAGCAAACAAAATGGCCCCTAGTTGAGAGCCACTCATGTAGAGAATATATTTTGTTTTGTCATGCCCAACTTATTATCCCCTGCTATGTGCATGGATTATGTATAATGAACAGAGCGAGGGAAGAGAGAAACTAATATAGAAAGAAGGAAAAGATACTTGGAATATTGGTGATGCTGACATCTCAGGATCTATGAGAACTGCAAATTGGGAGATATATTCCCCTGAATGCATGTGAGAGGTTCCAAAAATGCCTTTTGGGAGAAGAGCATTGGCTGGCAAAAAAGGAAATTGAGTAGATGGGTCAACGTCAGAGGGTAGAGGGGACAGCTGGACCACAGAGGAGTTGTTCACAGGGAACAGCAGAAGAAGGGTGGAGTTAGGAGACAGCATAGCCTAGAAGAAAGATATCAGATTTTGGAGTGAGACAGACAGTAGCTTGATTTCTAGCTTGGCCCCTTATTTGCTGTGTGACTGAGGGTGAAATACCCTATCTATCTAAGTTTCAGTTTAACCATCTGTAAAACAGGACTGTGTCAAAAAGTTAACATGTGGATAAATGAGATTAAATGTGGTACACATGGAAAATGTTGAGCGTAGTGTTGGACTACAGTAGGTGCTCCGATAATGATAAACAGTAGCTATTTTATAGGCTTTAACGAGATAATGGCCTGTAATGCTCCTAGACAAAGACTGGAACACAGTAAATGCTGTTATTAACTCTTAGGTAGGAATAGATTTGAAATCCAGACCTAGAAGTTTAAGTGGATGGGAAAGAAGAGATTTAGTGCATTTGAATAATAATAGGAAACCAGGCAACTGTGATTTTAGGAAGATGGGGTGGGTAATGGCCTTGGGATGGACTCTACCAAGGAGAGACTGAAATGAATCATTCAGGAAGTGCATGCAATAACATAGGCAGGAAGAAATGAGGACTGGGTCAGATTTCTGGTCTCTGTCTTTGCAGAGCTTTAGTATAACTGGTAGATGGTATAAGCATTCCTGAAACAAACGTGTGAACACTAGAAAATAGGGCAAAATTATACACTACTAAACCTCAATTTTTAAAGAAGCTTAATATAAAGAATTCAAAGACCTAGTCATTGGATTTCTCTTAGGTCTGTTGTTGGATTTCTCTCAGGCCCACTCTACTTTCTTTTGGGTCCTTGAGAACAGGGGTTCATCCCACGTGTAGGTGGCTATTGTTTTTGTTGGCTCAGCACCCCTGTCCTGCACCTGGGGCTAGTGGATGGTGTCCTCCCGGGTACTCTGCCTGCCTCAACCTGGGGGAAGGCACATGATCTAAGCCGGGTCTATCATAACATTCTATCCTTTGAACACAGTGATTGTTCTAGGGATTGGCATGTGACCTAGGCCAGGCCAATAGAATTCTTCCCTGTGATTTCACACCTGAAAATGGGACCGGGAAATCCTAATTTTTTCTCTGATCATAAAGTGGTAAGAATGTGATTCCAGAGCTGTTTTTTTTTTTGTTTGTTTGTTTTTTTTTTTTTTTTTTTGAGATGGAGTTTTACTCTTGTCACTCAGGCTGGAGTGCAGTGGTGTGATCTTGGCTCACTGAAACCTCTGCCTCCTGGGTTCAAGCGATTCTCATGCCTCAGCCTCCCAAGTAGCTGAGATTACAGGCACCTGCCACCAGGCCCAGCTAATTTTTGTGTTTTTAGTAGAGATGGGGGTTTCTCTATGTTGGCCAGGCTGGTCTTGAACTCCTGATCTCAGGTGATCAGCCCACCTCAGCCTCCGAAAGTGCTGGAGTTACAGGTGTGAGCCACTGATCCTGGCCTCCAGAGCTGCTCTTGAAGTCTGAGAGAATGAAGCTGATATCAGTGACAAGCAGGGATAAGAAGTGAAGGGGAAGAAGGTAGGGAGAAGAATTGAGAGAGGAAAGAGAAGGAGAGGAGAAAAAGGACATATAGAGTCCCTTGTCCCATATTTCTGTGGAAATGCCCTTGTCCACAGAGCTTTTCCTTCAGTTTTGTAAGCTAGTCCACTGCCCTTCTGACAGATTGCTTCACTTTTGACTTAGGTGAGTTCAATAACTGAAATCTGACAAATAAACTCATGGCTTGGACATCTTTAGTGTCTGATGATGTCCAGAAGCCCTATAAGGATTGCTTTGCACCTGGCAATGTTTGTTTAGGAATGTAATAAATAGTTATTGAGCATCTGCTATGTGCCAGGCACTAGGCTAGCTGCTGAGAATATAACAGTGTGACAAATGAGATTCTTGCTTTCTGGGTGCTTTCAGCCTAGCAGGACAGACAGCCAAGTGTGACAGGGAGAGCAGATAGTGTAAAGGAAGAATAGTATCAGGGCCACCTTATGTAGTTTATGGAGAGTGTTCAGGTCAGAATCCCCACAGCAAAAGATGTTTAAGCTGAGGTCTGAAAGAAGAGTAGGAATAACTCAGGAGAAAGGGATGAGGAACAGGGTCTTAAGTAGAGAACACAATCTGGAGGAGAGAGGGGATGGGGCAGGAGAAAGGAGATGGGGAAGGAAAGAGGGGATAGGGAAGGAGAGAGGGGATGGGGCAGGAGAAAGGGGATGGGGAAGGAAAGAGGGGATAGGGAAGGAAAGAGGGGATGGGGAAGGAGAGAGGGAGGGAGAGAGGTAGAAAGAGAGAAAGAGACAGAATCTCTCCATGGAAAGAACTGGAGTTTGGAGTGGCTGGAGCAAGGTTTTTTTGCATCTGTAGCTTCAGAACCATATGGGGGAGGTCTCCCAGTTACACTTTCCACAGACTATACTCAGGACCGAGCAATCTGCCTTGGGGGCCACCAGTCCCCTTCTGTGATAGTGCAGCTTGCAAATCACGCCTTGTGCTCTGGGGCCATCTCATTGGAGTCAGGGTTGAGAAGGGAGGGAGGAGATTAGAATAGACATTTATTTTTCATTTTGCATTTAGCTTGGGGTGGGCTGACTGCTTTTCAGGATCTGATTATTCCCCTTCGGAGGGTCCTGTGGTCAGGCGCCAACTGTGAGGATCTGTTACCATGGGTGACATTTTCATCCAATGGAGAGCCATGCTGCTTGTTTGCAGAGTGGCAGATGGAGCAGCTAATCGATGCAGTCTGAAAGGTAGGAGTCCCCCGCCCCCAGTGGCCCCAACACACAATGAGAGCTGGGCCCCAGGGGCTTGTGGAACACACGCCAGTGACTGAGCCTTTGATTGGAAAAGACCTTGCTCACCAGGGGTGCTGGCCCCAAACAATGCCCTGTTCTTTACCAAGACAGCCTCAGCACTTGCAGGATTTTTACAGCCCTGGCCTCAGGCAACACTCCTGGGAAAAGGTACTGCCAAACCCAAGGCAGCTCTGTGTGGATGATACTGAGTATTTCATTCCAGTAAAAATCAGCAGGCATTTGTTAGGATCATCTGTGTTCAAGCAATATCCTGAGTGGTGGAAAAGAACAAGCTAGCGTCTTCCTCCCAGGACCTTATGATGATGCAATTGGGAGCTTTCAGTATGGTCACAGAGTAGCCACTCAGCCAACCAGCCAACTCATTTATTGAATAAACTTGAAATGAGCATCGACAATATGCCAAGCATTATGTTGGGAGCTGGGGATGCAAAGAAGGCTAAGAGATGGTTGGTGGCCCCCTGGTACCATATTTAACTCTGTGTATGATCTAACAATAGCAATAGCTAGGACTTACTGAATTTTTCCTCTGCACCATCTCCTTAAACATTTTTAACTTTATGAGATAGGTTACCAATATTATCTCTGTTTTTGGGTAAGGGAGCTGAGGCCTAGAGTAGAACAGTGATTTTTCCATCATCACCCTGATTAGACTTTGAATTTAGGGCTACTGCTGACCTACAGTTTAGTACCATTTCTACTGGTGTCACAGTGCTTTAGCATTTATATATTTTATATATATATATATATATTTTTTGGCAAAAATGTATATATATAAATTTTATTGGTAAATATACTGAGTGCCTAATAACATGTCAATTCTTTTGGATAGCTTAAGATCAGGTGGTGAGAAAAAAATTGTTCATTGACTTCTTAATCCCAGTGGATGAGGTTTCAGGAAACCTGGGTCCTCATAATTGTGAGTGAGGTAGGTCAAGGCCATCCATCAAACTGAACCTCAACTTTGTCATCCTCAAGTAAGAATATTAAAGTTGACCTTGTGCCTACTTCCAGGGTTTTATGATAACCAAAGGGAAACCATAGAAAGATGTAATCCGTGGAACCAATAGGATAGCACATCTGGCAATCAGTTATCTTCCGGGTGTTGTGTTCTTCCCAGAGCCAGTTGCTGTTACCATTCATGGTTTCTGCTGTTTGGGCTGAGGAGGCTAGCAGGTAAGAAGTTCCTGGAGTTGGAGGGGGCAGATCGCTAAATAAACAAGGAGATCGCTCTTCCCTCTACTTGCTCTTGCAAGAAAAATGAAATGAAACACAGCAAAATTTTTGTTTCCCTCCTTCCTCTCTTTTTCCTTGTAGTTTTCTAAAGTCTTATCCTACAATACTGCCCCCACCCCATTGGTAATTTATTTCTCTAAGCCACCACACACATGAGCATCACTATTTTAATTAGCAAGAAACAAACCGAAGAAGCTAGAAGGCACAGCAAGGAAGCCCACCACTTGCACTCTTTAATTATTCATCGAGGTAAATAAAATCAAATATTTTCTCAGCAATCCAGAGTGGGATCTGAAGTAATTACACTGTCAAATTCATCAAAAATTCTCTCATCAAAATAAAAACCTTGATGTCATTTAATAATTTATAATACAAATACACAGAAATTGTAAAATATTATAAATAGAAAACTGCAGGGTAAGTGAACATGAATTAGTTAGGGGTTATGTTCTCGAAAGAGGCTGTCATGAGCTGTATAAATTTTTAATAAGAAATATTTTTGAGGCCTAATTTAGAGTACGGAATCTACCAGGAACTTCAGAATACAAAAAGCACAACCAAACACCACCATCAAATTCCTGCTGCCTGGAGATTTGTAAACATTGCTTTCTGAGAAAAACTGAGGGCTCAAAATGATTTCAGGCAGAAGGAAGGGATGTTGTCTTTGATGTTCCAGATCACCTGTGACACCTTACATGCTGTCTACACGGGTTACAAATGAATTAATTAACCTTCGTGTAATGACCATGAATAGCAAATGGGAAAAGTCTGGTTCATTTCCACCAAGACAGAAAAAGGCCATTTCAGCCATTGTGCCTTGTAAAACAATGTGTGATTCTGGGAGCCAGATGGTTTCATCCCAGTTTGAAATGGTTTTGATCTGTTGAGTTTCTGTATGGAAAAAGCCTGAAGCAAAGAGAGGAGACCAGATTTTTCTTTTTCTAACTCTACGAGAGAATTCTCATACATACTTGTCGTGCCCTGATTTACCAAACCATCTCTGGGGACTTACCTGTTCCCAGACAGATGAACAGTGGGCAAGGATTTGTTTCACAAGAATGAATGGGGGGGAAGTAGCCCCATTGAGCAGAAATGAAAAGCATGCTTTCAAGACAGTTAATGAGAAAAGAAGCAAGGTCAACTTTCATTCAAGAATGTCAGCGATTAGCATGAACAGTGACATGGCAGTCAGAAAGATCTTTTCACAAAAAGGTAAAACTGAGGACAGGGCTCTTCCCTTAGCCTCTCCAGCTTCCTTGAACACATGCTCGGCACTTTCTTTCTCCTTCTTTGCTGGACAATGTCTTTCTTATACTTCAGGACTCAGCTTAGATGTTTCCTCTTCCATGAAGCCTTCCCTGATCACCAGATGGCATCAAGTTGGCTTATTATATCTCCCTGGCACTTTCTGTCTTCCCTTTATAAACTTGTCAGATCTGTTATATTTAGAATAAATTGCCAGTAATAATGTCTTTATTGTCTCCCATAATGAATAGAGTCTTGGTGAAGGAAGCAACCATGGATGTCAGTGATCCTTCTTTTGGCTCCCACAATAAAACCCTTTATGATCTTGATCCTTCAAGATCCTGATTAAGATCCTTTACTCTGACCTCCACTCCTGTCCTCCCCAAATTGTCCACTTAGATTGGCCTCTTCCCTGTTCCTGACCTGCTCCTGCCTCCTCTCTCTAGAATTCATGGCATATCCGGATATCTGCATGGCATATCCTTCACTTTCACCTCCACCTTCACCTTCTTCAGGTCTTTACTCGAATTTTATGTCCCCAGTAAAGTCTTCCCTTTAAAAAATTTTAATCCATTTCCCACCTCCCAATACTCCCTATCCCCCTTTCCTGCTTCTTTGGGTTCTTGTTGACATTTAGCTTCAGCTAGCCTGCTGCGCATTTTACTTGTTTACCTTGCTTATGGCCTGTCTTTACCCTCTAATTTAAGCTCCACAGGGCAGGGATCTTTATCTGTTGTTTGTTCCTGCGTCACCAGTGTGTAGAACATGTCCTGACACACAGTAGGCTCTCAGCAAATATTTATTGAAAGAAAAATGGAAGTAACTATCTTTAGGTGGCAGGAAAACAGATGATAGGCGAATACCTTCATGGGAAATGCTTTTATGAGAATGCTGGGGTTTGGAGGAGAGGATGCTGTGGTAGGTGTGGTGGGGGGTGATGGAGAACACTCAACAAGGTGAACTCAAGGCCATAGGCCTTGAGATCTCATCCAGGCCTGTGTGAGGTCTCAATGCCTACGGCTTCTGAGAACGACTCATGCTTGGTGAGGCAATAGGTGATCCTATGGGAAAGAATGCTTGGCGAGGAAATGACTCTCTGCTGCTGTAGGCCAGGGATGACAAATGGGCTTCAATAGCAGTGCCAATTCCAATTGATTGGTAGTGGGTGCTGGGAAGGCTGTGTTGAGAATTCTGAGGCTGTTTCTGGGCCTAGTGGAAGAGTGTTGTGATGAACTGGCAATGTCAAGAGCTTGGAAGGGGCGTGTGGTAGCATTTGTACCATGCATTTGCATACTGACCTCTAAGCTTGAAGTTGGTTCTGTTTTTTTCTCCTGAAAATCTAAGCTTACAAGGAGACTAATAATAACCCCATAGTTTATTTGTTTTAGATTCTACTGAAAGCTAAGTGTTTTGTTTGTTTGTTTGTTTTTGTTTTTGAGACAAGGTCTCACTTTTTCACCCAGGCTGGAGTGCAGTGGTACAACCACCACTTACTGCAGCCTCGACTTCCAGGGCTCAGGTCATTCTCCTACCTCAGCCTCCTGAATAGCTGGAACTACAGGCGCACACCACCATGCCTGGCTAATTTTTGTATTTTTTGGTAGAGATGGGGTTTCGCCATGTTGCCCAAGCTGGTCTTGATCTCCAGGGCTCAAGTGATCTGCCCTCCTCCATCTCCCAAAATGCTGGGATTATAGGCGTGAGCCACCACGTCTGGCTAGAGCTAAGTGTTAAGGTACTTGTGAAGACCCTAAGAATCTAGACCCTTCAGGGATTGAGACATATTCTTTGGGTTGATTGATCTAGTTTTTACTGCAGGGGATAGAATGGCTTTGCTATGTTGGGGGTTTATAGCTTAGGAACTCAGATACGGAGAGCAGAACTCTTCTAGTCTCCCTTCTTTATGTTGGCTGTTCATACCAATCCTCTGTTGCTAAGACAGTTTGCAGTAAAATGACCCAAGACAGATGGTTATGTAAAACCTTGGCCTCAAGTAGAGGCTCTGACCCTAATGTCATTAGCTCAACATGCCAATCCTGTGAGCTCACCAGCCCAGAGAAAGCTATCCCCTTTCCTCCCAGTACTGCCATCAACCTCATCTACACCAGCTCGCTTCCGAGCTTCAGCTCCTCTCCTCTAATGGCATTGCTCCTTTTCAGGAAGCCTCCCCGGTCCCTATGTGGGACACCCTTTGTGTCATCTAATGTTCCCTTAGCTTAGCTTATCTGCTTCTTTGCAGCTGTCTCAGTGTCTGCCTGATCCAGTTTCTTACACTATCTCAGTGATTTATGTGTTTTTAGTATTTTCACTTGTCTCTTCTCTCTCCCTCCCTCCTTTTAAGCTCATTGAGAAGAGGGACCATTATAAATATGTCTTTTGTGTCTTTTATCTTGACTACATATAAAGATCTCAGCACATACTTTTGTCTGAAATGATCACCACCTGACACACTGTTGGCTGGATTCAATGGGTCCAACAGTCCAATGGTACAATTGGTATAAGCTTTTTGAAGGATGATTTGGCAATATCTATCAACATTTTGAATGAGCATATTTCTTCTCCCAGCAATTCTACTTCTTGGGATTTATTCTACAGATATATTCAGAGAAGTGTGAAAAGATCTATATTTTTATATAAAAGGATTATCCAATATAGAATTTTTTGTGATGGTGAAAACTAGAATGACCTAAATATTCATTCCTTGGAGAGATTATGATATAAATGATGTATTCATAATACATTATCAAAGTAAAATACTATGTAATTGTTAAAAAGGAAGAAGTAACTCTCTATATATTCAGAAGCAAAAATATTCATATAGGGATCAAAGCAAAGTGTAAAAAATTATGTATAATTTTATAAAATGATTTTTTGGTCATAAGTCCCATATATATGTGTGTGTAGATATGGATAAATACACACATACATGTACAGACATGTGACTATACATAGAAAAGGATAAGAACATGTCCCAATTTATCAGTGATTTATCTATAGTGGATGGGATTATGAAAGCAAGGCATTTCATTTTATTTTTTAAACCTTTACTGTTTTAGAAAACAATTTAATGAATCATTCTATGATGAAAAGCTATTTTAAAGAAGAGTTAATTATAAAAGGGCATGGCAGTTTTTCTGTTTTCATAAAATATCCTAAAGTTCAGGGGTGTTTTCAAAACAATTTAGCAGCCATTTTAGTTACCTCTATGGTGCTTAGCTTTTTCTTAGAAGCATTAAATGCAGACTAAATGTGGTGTTTTATAAGGAAATTGTTCTCCCTTTTCTCATTGAAGTTCTGGGACTATGTGACTTGCTCTGGTTGATGAAATGAGAGTGAAAGTGATACTGTCATTTCTGAATTAAAGTTTTAGGAGCCAGTTCATGGTTTGCCATTCTCTCTTTTTCTTTTTGTCACAAGACGAGCAATATTTCAGGAGAGTTTCTCTATCAGTCTCGGTTCCCGAAGCAGAACTTTAGCCAACCCTGATGGACATGTTCCATGAGCAAGAAACAGAGTCTTGCTCTTGTAAGCCACTGAAATTTGGGAGTTACTTCTTACTGCAGCATGACCTAGACTGCCTCTGACTGATGGAACGGCACACAGACTTCACCAGTCCCTTAAACGGAGACTTTCACTGACCTGGGAGTTATGACATTTGTATTCTAGTCCCAGCTCTGCCACAAACTTTCTGTGTGATTCTATCAACTAAGATGCTTTAGGTTACAAGAGGCTAAAAGTACAACAAAACATGGCTTAAACAATACAGGATATATTAGCTCAAATGACAAGAAGTCCAGAGTAGCAGCTTCATGAACTCATCGAGAACCTGGCCTGCCATCTTTCTACTTAGCCTTCCTGTCATGATTATACTGTGGCTATAGAAGTTTCAGCTGTCATATGCAGGCAATATAGTATTCCATGAAGTACAGAGGTGTTTTGTTCCATGTATTTCCTTTTCTTCTTGTTTTTAATTAAGGAAAGTATTTCCTGAAAATTCTCCAGCAGACTACCGTCAGATCTCATTGACCGCATTTGGTTCCATATCCATGACTAAGTCAATCCCTATTATGGACAATGAGACCACTATAATTGGCATGGATTTGTCATGATTCATTCCTTCTGGGAGTGGTCCAGGGCCCCTTTTCTGAGTACACGTCTGTATGGCAAGTGATTACCCAAACAAAATTGGGACTTTGTCATCAAGGAAGAAGAGGAGGATAGAATTAGAATCTATTTCAGTGACCTTAAACCAGTATATCTCCTCCTTGGACTCTAGTTTCCCATTGGTAAGCTAAGGATATTGGACATGATGTCTTCTATCACAGGGATTATTTTCACAGAGTCCATGGATCTTGTCCCCTGAAGGGATGAAGTCCAAATTTCCTTACAGGGTCTTGGGTGGGGAAAGCCATTGTCTATGCTGTAGGGTGCCACTGGCTTAGGTTATCAAAAATCCTATTTCAGCAGCTTCCTGACAAGCCGACCCATTATGGGTTTCAGTTACCATAAAACTTCGCATCTTGGATTTTATATGCCCAGAGTGAATGTGGTCTAGGTAAAGGATATGTATGTGCTGTTTCGTAAGCTTTTAGTTACATATCAGATTGACTTTGAAAGTGCTTTGAAGACTTATAAAGTGCTTTGTGCTTGAAGATTTTTCCAATAGCTCCCTCTTCTCCCATGCTCCATGCTCCCAAATCTCTGCATCCCCTCACAATCTGCCTTGACTCAGGCACTTTATTGGCCAATTTAAAATAAGCCAGTCCCAAGAGCTCTTGAGCCATGAACTTCAAAAATAATTTATCATCATCATTATTAAAAATAATAGAAATGATTTGGGGGCAGGGACCTACAATACCAAGTAGGTAGAGCTTGTGGGATTGAGGCTGATGTCTTCACTTCTCCTTTCAAGTCATCAGTTCTCCCGTATCCAGGCACCGGTTGCAAGCTGCCTGGGAATGAGATGGGCTCATCTGTGGAAAGTGCTGGGCTTTTATTTTACTGGGCCTGGGAGACACATATGCAGCCAAGGCCTGTGCAGCAGTGGAGGAAGGCTGGGTAGGGATCTGTAAAAATGGATATAGCTGAAGTCATCCTATCTCTCCCGTCTTTTGGGATCCTTTTAGCAACCATCTCCCCCACCCCACTGCATGCCCTGAAAGGGTTTTATGACCTGTTTGTAGCTTTGCCACTTGGTTATAACTGAGAAAAGGAGTCCTAAATGGTGTGTGATTCCTTGACCAGATTTGATAAGATCATTTTTTAAAATCTTGACAATATGCTGGATGCTAAAGTCACCCTCCCATTCCAAATAGCCACACTACCACCACAGTCTGGTATACAGAGGGGATGACTGTTAAAGAGAATGACTTCAGCCATCTCGAGCTACCAGTCCTATGTGCCACCACTAGGAAATAAGGCCTACTATTGCTATTGGGCTTGTACTCATGGAGGACCTCTTAGAAACATTGCTTTTGGGCCAAAGTAGCCCTAAGAGGTGTCAAGGACAGAGCCAAATCACCAGATTAAAATGGACACAGCCCATTACATAGCTGTTAATATATCTTGACATTTGGCAGTGTTGGAATGATTGGCATAACCTCTTATAATGTGTAAAGTCCTTCTCAGTCTCAGGTACCCATAAAAACAAAACAAAACAGAAAAAGAATAGGTTGCTCATTCTGCCAACCTTTCATTGTTACATCAAATGCGGATACAAAAAGTCACACAAAATACTTGTATAGTTTGATGAGTTATAAGGCAATACTCTTATAACTACCATCAAAGTCAAGGTTTAAAACCCCACCAGTCATTCTAGAATGCTCTCTAGGTGGCCCTATGCAATCTTACCCCTTCACTTTCCCCAAAAGTAATCCTATCCTGGCTTTCCTAGTAATCACTTCTTTGCATCCATTACAATTTTATTATCCAGGCGTGCCTCCCTAGACACTCTACTTTAGTCTTGTGCATTAAGAAAATTAACACGTCTTTCAAGTCTCTTTTAATGTACAGTTTCCTCATCCTTTCTTTTCTTTTTCTTACAATTTACCTTTTGACCTATAGTTTTCCTACAATATAGATATTGCTGATTGCATACTCATTGTACAGTCCAACATGTTCCTCTTTATCTTCTGCAAATTGGGAGCTACATTGGGATACTTGGTTAGATTCAGATTCAATTGATTTGGTAGGTGGCATTGAGTTCTTTTACTAAGAGGCACACACTATCTGATTTTTGGTCTTTTTAAGAAATGTTAACATTAGCCAATGCTCAGTGCTTGGATTCATTAAATCACTGGAAATTGCCAGATGGTGATATCTAATGCTATCATTTCCTTGTCATTTATTAGCTGGAAAACATAAATGGATGCTTCCCCTCATCTACTTTTTGATTACCCCGTGGTATTGTTCATATAGGAGATATAGGATAAATGCTTGATTCTCTTCCTTTATTTACTGGTTTTAAAGATAATGAATTGCTTCTATCATCCTTTGAAGGTAATTAGTTTTTTTTAATCATAAATTAAAGGACTGGCACTTCAATTAATGAGTTTCTAGACTTGCACTTTTAGTCTACATCTCAGGTGTCTTTAGTGTTCTGAATATACGGGTCAGTGCTTATACCTGTGAACTTGGCTATTCTCCTCCTTCCAGATCACCCTGGAAGGAAGCAGCCACACTCTCTATGGACTACTCAAAGGCCAGTGAAAGAAGCTTGATTTTGGTTTTGTATCTCTTTATTTTTGGTGCTAGTGCCAGGTGAGGGCTAAAATGGCCATGAATGTAAAGTGTTCCTGCTGAAGGACTTAGAACATTTATGGTCCAGTTGGCATATCTTTGTCACTGTTAAGTATCCCATTTATCTGGCCTTTCCCTGCTGATCCCAGAGCACCAAGCCCCGCTCTGATCCTACATCTGGCTTTCCGTTCAACTTGACAGCAGGAAGAGAATGCCCAGATCATACTTGCACAAATATTTTCTTTTTGCTCAGTGATTAGATTTTTCACTAGAAATGAGTAAATTGGCATTTTGTTCTAAAATCGTATTTTATGTTCTTTTCCAAGAACATGTGATCTCTAGAAATACTTTCCTTTTAACCCTGCTTTTTTTTTTTTTTTTTTTTTTTCCAAAAGGCTTTGTCCAGTTTTAGGATGACTCTGTACTTGACTGGTCCTTTTTTTTTTTTTTTTTTTTTTTCTCAGTTTCTTCCAAGGGAGACACTTACAGTCCTTCTAGGTAACTGAGAAAAAGCACATTCTTTTTAACCTGGGTCCACTCATCCACATGGCCCTGAGGCTGGCCATTGAGTCCTCTCATTCCCTCACCCCAGCTAGCAATGAGGTACTGCTGTTAGAAACCAGGTACCTCTCCTTGGCAACAGCAGCTGCTAACTTACAAGCAGGTCATTAAGTAAGGGTAATGATGGATACAACCAGATTGCCTGGCCTTAAAAAAAAAATCACTCCTTACCAAACTTTCTTTTCTAGAATGAAAGAGAATGCCAGTTTGAATCTCGAGTCTGTAAGTAAGCATTTAGAACCCAAAGATGACCTAAAACACATTCTTACCCCATCTCTCGACAGGTGAAAAAAGCCAAAATATGTGTTTTACTTTTTGCTCTTGCTCTGGACATACCTAGGCCCAAGTTAGAAAATCGTTCCCCCGTGACAATAAATCTGACGTTTTCTGTTATCTCTGGGGAACTGGTTTGTAAAATTTCACAGCCTTGTTCTCCTTGACTGGCTGAGTCATATGGAAAATAAAAATGAATAAAAAATAGCAATGAGTACTATAGCCCACAAAGCAAAGTCTAAATTAAGCAACTTCACTTAAAGCTTTGGTGTTAGAGACCTAATTAATTAAAAACACTGGGGTTAAACAATTGCCCATCCATCTTTAAGTTGAAGGGAAGGACAGAGTCCATATGATGTTCCACTGAAGAATGAACAATGGCATGGGTCCTGGGTGTTCCTGATTTCATAGAGCACTGTGGAGACTTTTTAAATGTCCCCTTTTTCCTGAGACATATGGACTCTACACCATTGTCATACTTAATCGCAGAAATTGGGTTCCCATGCTCCTATTTGTTTGTTTCCTTGCTTGAGGCCTGTGGCTGGGGCCTTGTGTGTTTTTAGCAATTGGAGTCAGCTTTTGTTTGGCCTTTAAGATGAAATAAGACAAAACCATACACATGTTACAAAACATCAGAATATAAAGGGGATTATTGGTGCTGTAATTAAAGAACTAGGAGGTCATTATTCCAGTTGTCCCTCCACCCTCCCACCACATGGCTCTCTGCTAGCCCAGGAACAAAAGAGATTTAAAAATCAGACAGCCCTCAGTTTATTTTAATGGCAGCCTCTTAAGTCTGGGCATAGTTGGAGGGTGTTTAATTGACAGATGACAGTTTGCTCTGTCTTGGGGGTCTCTCAGACTGGAGAAGCATCAAAATAAACCAATCCCAGATAACCAAAGAATCTGAGCTCTTGTTATGCAAACCTGTGAGTATGTGACAAAACATACCTACCTACCTATGTGTATATCACCCTAATAACCTTAATGTCCAGGCCCCCCTTCTGCTCTCTTTTCGGAAGGCTGACAGCTGGATGTAACTCGTTTCTCCAGAAATGAGCCGTCCATCACCAGAGGTGTTTAACTGAAGAGCTGAGAACCATCTGTTTGGGATAGTGCACCAAGGATTCATTTACCTACATTCATCTACACCGGGTAGATGTTTGCACAAGATAACTCTTAAGACACTTTCCAGTTCTGAGAAGTTGTGTGCTAGAGTGCAAACATGTAAATTTAAAGGGAGATTACGTTTTTAAAACTATAGCAAGTGTCTTTCTAGGAAATATTTCTCCAGTGGAGTGAGTATGAAAGAACTGCTTTTGGAAACTAAGATAAAACACAAGACTGGAAGCAAGTGTGGGTTTTATTGGGAATCAGGTGGCCACTGAATTACCTAAATTTTAATATTTTTGTGCACTTCCCATTCCCACTAGTTTCTCTCACTGTATCATGGCCATTTGATAACACAGCCTCATCTGACCTTCAATGAAAACAGAATAACTGTACAAAAGAGCTATATCTGTTGTAGCAATCTGAATGATCTGGTCTTGTCTCCCAGGGAAAAGGGAGATAGGAAATGCAAGTATGCAATGCATAGCCAAATGTTTATTTTTCTACCCTTTTAAGCTCCCTTGTTTATTAAGTTAAGCAGAGAGATGTGATATCTTTTTTAGACATCCAGAGTTCTTTCAGGATGCTGAGGTTTCTCATAAATTGCTCTACATAGCACACTGGTCGGAACTAGTTGGAACTATCCAGTTAGTAAATATAAAACATCATTTCTTATTCAAGAATATTTGCATGCTAACAAAATCCAGGAATTTATTGGAACAATGTCAAATTCTCTGTTAATGAGTATCCCAAGTGGGTTGTTACCATAAAAAGGTGTATAGAAAAGATGGAATGAACCACAATATGTCCTGGAACAAGAATGGTAGATATGTGTCCTATTTCCCTACCTGTACCACTATTTCCACTGTTTCTCTATACCACTGTTTCCCTATCTGCACTCAAGGCAGCCATCACTAAGCAAGCACAGCACTCTTTGAACTTGGACTTAACTTCTGAATCCTTTCTCAGCATAGAACTCCTGGCAATCTTGTCACTTGCTTGGAGTTCCTCTCCTGTCATTCTCTCAAGAACTGTTCCATTCAGGCTTTCATTTTCACTACTGACAAACAATTCTTTCTAAAGTCGTTGGTGATTTAATTCCATATTGCCAAGCCCAAACATCAATTCATAGGCTGCATCTTACTCAACCTACAAATAGTTGATCTCTCTCTTTTTCTTATTATACCTTCTTCACTTGGCTTCCAAAACACCATACTCACTTGGGTTTCCTCCTACCTCAGGGCTGTTCTACTCAGTGGCCTTCCTTGGCTCCTAATCACCTTGGTTTCTAAATATGACTGGAGTGCCCTAGTGCCCTGACGTCTTTGTCTACACTCGCGCCCTTGATGATCTCATTGGTTTCACAGCTTTAAATCCATCTTTCTGCTGATAATAACCAAATTTATATCTTCAGCTTGGACCTCTCTCTTCTGAACTCTAGGCTGCCAACTGCCTATTCAAAGCTCCATTTCATTGTCCAATAGATGTCTCAAACTTAACATGCTTACAATTGAGCAACTGAATTTTATCTCTCAAACCTATTTCTACCCATAGTATCTTTTATTTTAGCTGCTTAGATAAAATCTTGGAGCGAGCCCTTCCTTCCTTCCTTCCTTCCTTCCTTCCTTCCTTCTTCCCTCCCTCCCTCCCTCTCTCCCTCCTTCCCTTCTTCCCTCCTTCCCTTCTTCCCTCCTTCCCTTCTTCCCTCCTTCCCTTCTTCCCTCCTTCCCTTCTTTCTCCTTCCCTCCCTCTCTCCCTCTCTCCCTCCCTCTTTCCTTCTCTTCCTTTCTCCCTCCCTCCCTTCCTCCCTTCCTCTCTTTCTCACACCTTCCCTGCTTCCTTTCTCCCTCCCTCTCTCCCTTTCTCTCTCCCTCTCTCCCTTTCTCCCTCCCTCCATTCCTTCCTCTCTTTCTCCTTCCTCCCTCCCTCCCTCCCTCCCTCCCCTTCCCCTCCCTCCCTCCCTTCCTCCCTCCCTCCCTCCCTCCCTCCCTCCCTCCCTTCCTTCCTTCCTTCCTTCCTTCCTTCCTTCCTTTCCCATATCTAATCATCACCAAATATTGCCACTATCTTAAAATATATATCTGGAATCTGACTACTTCTTACCACTTTTATAGCATTATATCTCTGGTTAAACACCTAACCAGACAACTCCCTTCTGACGAAAACAGTCCCCTCCAGCTGTCAGTCTTCTCAAATGAAGGTTGCAGGGGGACCTGGACATTTGATCATGGGTGGGGGCGGGGGTGAATATATACATAGGTGGGTGCGTTTTTTTTGCATAACTTACATGTTTGCATATAACAAGATGCTCAGGTTCTTTGGTTATTTCTGGCCTGATGACTGCATTAACCTCCTAGCTGGTCTTTATGCTGCCACCCTTGCCCTGGGCCCTAATCTATTTTTCACATGGCAGTTAGAATGGAAATTTAAAGACAGAGTAAATACAACTTTTTCTTCCCCTCTCTTAGTCCAGTCAATCTGGCCTCCTCACTATTCTGCAAATGTACTAAGCACACCTTCTGCTCAGGGCCTTCCTCTTGCTTTTACCTTTGGCCAAAATATTCTTTCCTCAGATATTGACATGCTTCACTCACTTCGCTCAGGTCTCTGCCCAAATGCCCCATATGAAAGAGGCCTGCCCAAAAGAGGTGTTTGCAAATAGTACCCCTTTCATTTTCTCTTCTTTATTTGTTTTACTTGTCTTTGTAGCATTTATCATGACCTCACATATTTTTATTCGTTCCTGTTATTCTTTCACCCCTACCTTTCACCAAAAGAACATAGTGCCATGAAAATTATGTTTTATTCATTGCTAAATCTATGATGCCTAAAATGATTCTGTCTTGGTTGGGTATATTTCCTGGAAATGAGACTTGTGACTAGAGTGCAGGAGATTTCCTGAGCACGTCTGCAGGAGTACCATCTGTGAGGATGTGAGGATGCAGGATTGAGCAGAAGTAGCTGTAGAACTGAGTGGTAACTGCAAGTGCGTCTGCAGCCTACAGTCTGGGATAGCCCTTGGGTTGCCCTGAATTTAGGCAAGGGGCTAGACCTTTGTGCCCAGAAATGAACAGTCACTGGATCTGGGCTGCTACTGGAGAAGAGGCATAATCTTGGACCAAGGCAGCTTTCTTCTAGTGAGAGGAATTCTTGGTGAGGGACTCAGCTTAAAGGCTTGGGTAGCCAATACTCCCAGTGGCTGTGGGAATGAATGAGCCAATCGTGAAGGAGGGATGCGAGTGGCATTCCACAGCACCCCCTATAAGTGCTTGACATGTGGTTGATGTTCAGAAATCTCTGATGAGTGACTACATATTGGAAGCCCGAATGCCATCCTGGCACTGATGGTGCTTCTTGGTCTGAGGTGTTCCTGTGTTACGCCATCACTTTTAACCCTGAGCACTCAGCGTGTCCTGTGCTTCCTGCTCACCACCAACCAGCCACTGCCACAGCTTCCCAAGGTTGGGAGCTGCAGAGGGGATGCAGAGACCATAGGCAGGGTCAGCCCCAGAAATCAGAGAGGGGCTTTCAGCTTTGGAAAGTTGGCACCAGACATAAAAGTGGCAGGCATCTCTGCCCTGTGTCCTCTGGAACGAGATGAAGAAGCGAATGTTTCCTAAGAAGGTGACACATTGCTTTTGTGCAGATCTTACCTAGAGATTCTTGAATATGGAGAAGGAACCATCAAGCTTGATACAAAGCAGCTGAAAAGCTTTTAGAGTCTGTGATTCTAAAAATTATGCCACATCATAAGCTCAGCTTGCTTTCAGTGTCTCAAGCCTACAAGATTTACGTCCCTGGAACACCAGAAGCAACATAAGCAAAGGTGCCATCATTCATTTACTCATTTGACAAGTTTCTGTTAAATGCCAGGGTGTATCCTAGGTGGGTGGTAAATACACAAAATATAAAATACTACTAACTGCCTTTTAAATAATTCTTACAATGTGCTGGGCACTATGCTAAGGAGTTTACTGCATGGATTACCTGAGTCCATCTCAACAGCAAGTCCATAAAGGTACTATTTTCCTTATTTTATTTTTTTGTTTATAGTTAGATTACATGACTTGCTCAAGGCCACATGACTAATAAGTGGCAGAGTCTGGATTCTAATCAAGATGTTTATGTTTGTAATAGACTCTAATATAGTCTCTCTCCAAATAAAAACAGCAAGACATACTCCCTGCCCTCAAGTGGTTACAGTCCAGTTCAGAGACAGATCAATAAATGAAATCAGCCTTCTAAGTGAGGGAGCCAAGATGTACTTCTAGGTCCAAGTCTCAAGGCCATGTTCTTTCTTCTCTACCTATTTGCATACTTTGAGATTAGTAGATTTTCATATTTCTAGTGGCTTAGTCAGGATTCTTTCAGCTGCAAGTCACAGAAGAGCCATTGGAAAGTGGTTTAAACAATAGAATTACTGCACATAAGAAGAGCTCTGGAGGCAGGTAGTACCTGGGTTGGCTGGTTTGGTAGGTCAGTGGGGTCAGGCCTTTGAGTCGGCTTCTGCATGACACTTTCCCAATTCTGCACTCAGCCATTCTGAAGGATGGGGCTCCATACATGGTGGTGGTGAGTTTTATGAGTCACAATAGAGAAGACCCCGTATCAAAGACCCTGTACTATATAGGGCTGGGTGAAGATATACACAGGAATCGAGGGGGACCCACTGCCTCAGTTCACTTTGCTTTTTACCTAAAATCAATCAATCCCTCCCTCCCTCTCTCCCTCCCTCCCTCCCTCCCTTCCTTCCTCGCTCTGTTGCCCAGGCTGGAGTGCAGTGGTACCATCTCAGCTCACTGCAGCCTCCCCCCACCGCCCCTGTCGGGTTCAAGCAATTCTCCTGCCTCAGCCTCCTGAGTAGCTGGGATTACAGTGCCCACCACTACACCAAGCTAATTTTTGCATTTTTAGTACGTACGGGGTTTTGCCATGTGGGCCAGGATGGTCTTGAACTCCTGACCTCAAGTGATCCTCTTGCCTCAGCCTCCCAAAGTGCTAGGATTACAGGCATGAGCCACTGTGCCCGGCCAAACCTCCTCTTTTCAAAAATATTAACTGTACCCCAGCCCAGTGAGTCAGGGTCTTGGGGGCACCAGGCCTAGGTTTAGGTTCCAGGTGGATGGGCTGGACGTAGCCCAGGGGTTGCAGAGCAATCGTAAGGGGAGCACCTGAGGGAACCCAGATTGAGGGCCAAGCAGAGAGGTTGACCAAAACCACAGCCTAGGAGACCAGGAAGCAATGCAGAAATAATGAGAGAAATCCAGGAGATGGAGGCCAAGTGAGCCAGCATGCAGTGGAGGTAGGAAGTTGTGTCTGTGGTCACTCCTGGAAGTGCTTGACTTAACCCACATGGGACTTTTTATGGGACTTTCTTGGCCAGGTTCCCTTCAACAGCTAGGGGAAAAGCTGAACTAATTGAGGCACAAATAGAGGAAAGAAACAAATGTGGGAAAGAATAGCAGGGATGCTTCCCATTCCCGTGTCCAAGTAACTGTCTAAGGGCCTGGGGGAGGACGGATGATGCTACCTGAGTTTTGTTCTTAAAAATGTTCAGAATTGCAACATTGATTATCCACTGCTGAGACATAGTACTTTTAATGGGAAAATATTTTTGGATAAAATCTAGAGGAATATGAGGCACTAAAGCAGTCTCCCTTGTTTTGCAGGGTCTTGATGGAGAAGGCGACACATTCGCCCGTTAGTCCTGTAATCAGTGCACCACACACTGATTCTGGTACTCACTCAAGGAAGTCGCCTTGTGTTTTTTTCTTCCTGGAATAAAGTGTTACTTACTACTGTGAACATCTTTCACTGGGTTCATGAACAATGTAGCAGAACTGAGTGATAAACAGAATGCTGTCAAGTATATATCTTCCCATAATAGATCCTATACCTTAAAATGCCTACAGGGAACCACTTTTTAAAGTCTATAACATGCAGTAGTTTTGATACGACTGGTTGAGCCATGCAGAAATGATTAAAAAAAAAGAGTAATAAATTCAGATTTTACACCAGGCACCAAGCATTAAGCCAAAATGAAACTACCATACTCAAATCTTCTACAGCTTAGAGCTAATTAGATCTACATTTCCGAATGGCATGAGCATCATGCGATGTGGCAACTGTTATAATAACTATATTCTCATTGAGTGCCGGGTGGTGATTTACACCAGCAAAGCCTGCCAGGGCTAACGGATGTTCTATGAGAAAATCTCTGGGGGCTCTGAAACAAGAATCGGAGTCTTACCTTTGAGCATCTTTCCTCACTGGACTCCTAGTGATTGCATTGATTATTTGGAAGGGCAGAGATACAGCCCAGAGGTCAGCCACATCCCTGTGAATTTTAATTACTGCTGAAACACAGTGTTTCAGATAATGACTGAGTTTTACATAGATTTGGGGAGATGTGATAGTTTGTACTACCTCTTGGGATTGCTGTGAGGATCAAGTATGACTATGTCTATTAAGTTCTTACCATAGTACCTAACACATAGTAAGCACTCAATAAATGGTAGCTCTTGTTAAAAATAAATGCCCCATCTATGGGTTGGAATGTATAGTTGGTCCTAGATTGACTTTGGCTCTAAAAGGAGGCTGTATTTCAACGGATGCTGGGTAGTTAGTGATTTTAATGCCCTGGATTTCCCCAGAAAATTACATAAGCAAAGGTAATCCAGGGTCTCTGTTTGTCCTGGCTGATGTTCCACACGTGTAAATATGCTTAGCTCTCGCCTGAGAAATACAGGCTTGATTCAGTGGGAAGTGTGTCTGCACTTTTCAGCCCCCACTCCTCCTTTATGAAGAGAACCTGTGTGCTGGTGGGAAGAGCTCCAATTTACCTGCAAACCAGGCATTGAGAGCACAGAGCATTCCTCCTGGCTTGCTGGAGGCCAAGTGGAATGACAAGAGAGGATTCCTCACAAATGCCACCCAAAGACATGATCTGAGGAAGAGTTAGAGTGGACTGTCTTCCTAGGAAACCAGATTGCTATATTATAATGACAATGACAATGATATTATTAGTACTTGCTGAATTCTTCTTAAATTCATTATTAATCTTTTAAATGAAACTCAGATATAACGAATGCTGCTTCTCTGCCAAGATCTGGGCCAAGCCTTTTATCTGTTTGATCTTTTCTGATCCTCTCAATGACCCCGTTATGTGGATATTATGCTCCCCCACCCCCCAACACACACACACACACACACACACACACACACACACACACACACTTTTTTTGGACAAGGAAACAGATTCAGTATGGTTACATGACCTAGCCATTAAGGTCGCTCAATTAATTGGTGAACTGGAGACTAACCCAGTTTTTTCCTGACTCCAAAAGCCATGATCTTGCCATAGTCCCATGTTCCCTACTGGGAAGGTTGTGGGATTGCATTTGTTCAGCTTCCTTAGATGCTCCCAAGTTTTCAGTACATGACCTCATGCTTCTTGGCTACCAGTCAAGGAATGAATCAGTCCTCCCCCAGCCTTGATTGATCCCCTGCCTTGTGTTGCACCACACCAGTTAGAATGAGGCATAAATTAAAAAGCATGAGACATGGTCCTTGGCTTCAAGGAAAGAGCTCCCTTGAAGCATTTAGTGAACAGCACAGTACAGTATACAATCAAAGCCTAGCATGGCAGCAACAGAAGCAGGTGCCAGGTAGCTCACAGCACCAACTTCTTGCATCCCCTGCCAGACATCTCTAATTCTTTACGGCACTCTTTCCTCATGATTCTGGATATGGTCTCAGAATCCTTCTCAACACAGCACCTCAGGGAATCACAACCACTGGAGCTAGTCACACACTCTCCTCTAGGGGTTGTTCTTATTCAAAGGAGCAGATAGCTGGGGACCCATGAGGCTTTAAGAGGAGTCCATGAAGGCTTTAAGAAGATGATGAGTTCAAGCCTAATCCAAATGAAGGGGAGCATTTAGGTGTGAGATTGTAAGAAAGGATGGTATTCCAGGCAGAAAGAAGTGCGTTAGTAAAGTCTCTGAGTTGAGAGTGAGGGAACCGCCTCCTGGGAACAGGGAAGGGAGTAACTTTCCTAATGTGGATGCTCTTGGGGCAGGAAGAATGAGATCGAATAGGACTTTTTTTTTTTGACTCGCTTTTGACCTATTTATGCACATCATAGTCTTTCTCAGAGATAATAAGATAGTAAGAATATTAACTCCTAGGTATTGAGGTTATCATGCCAGTCATACTGCTTACTGCGTGCATGCATTGTCTTGTCCTCAGAACATCCCTGCAAGGCAAGTATCAGTATTCCCACTTGGCAAAGGAGAGTAACTAAAGCTTAGAAAGAATAGGTTGTGTAGCTAGTTACATAGCTGGTAAGGAATGTTACTGAAATTCAAAACCATTTTAGAGATGTTACCAAAAAATATCTGATACTATCGACTTTTTCTTTCCAGCATATTCCTCCCCTGCACAAGTGCACAAACACATGCACATATAAACTCACAGTGCACATACATACAGTCTCACACACATAGACTCACCTATACATATACCACATATAGATGCATCCATGAATACACACATATGCACATGGCATACACACATACATATCCACACACACTCATACCACCTACATACATAAACACCATTCTTCTGGCAATAGTTACTGCTCTTTGATCCCCGGGGTAAATGTATGGCCCAGAACAGGACAAGCCAGGTTTTCTCCCAGCATTTGGATCTTGAGCAGAGACACATAGAGACAGAAGAAAGCAGAGTTATCTGATAGTAGCATTCTTGAGAGAACGCCATGGGTGACCAACATCCCCGAGCTGACTCGTTCTTGTCCTTCTTATGCTTCGTTAACCAACTTTACCTTTTATTCTACCAGCCACATTGTAGACTTCCAAGAACTGCTTTTTTACCCCTTAAGTCAATTTCTGTTGCTTGCCACCAAAGAGACCTAATTGACATAAATCATCTCTTCAGTTCAGCCAATACATGTTACTGCAATGAAGGGGTCCATTCCCGGGAGAATTGTGGTCTGTGAAATGCTGAAGGCAAGGAAGGAGTGTTTTGTTGCTTTGTTACAATATTGTCCGTGGGGTTAGGTCATGATGTAAATGAAGCTGGCATATGAGGGCCTTCTAGAATTTAGAGTAATAAACCATTTATAGAGGAGATCAGGACAGATTACTCTTGTTCTGAATCCATGAATTATGAAGTCTGATCTGATGTTAATTTTCTTGGTTGTAGCTTGCTTTCTGTTTTTCTTCACCCCCTTTCTTTCTGGTACTCATATGGTGGTTAAGTAATACATGACTCCTTCTCCCTTCAATACTTTGGAAAGTATTTACTGGAGCATTCCATGGAATGGCTGATACTCTGGGGAATACAGAAGTAGCTCATAATGCAGAGACAGAAATTTAGAGCTGGGAGATACATTTAAAATAGTGTGGTCTAACCCTTCTTATTCTTACAGAAGAAAAAACAGAAGCTCAGAGCAGTTCAGTAACTGAAGTAGGATCACAGAGCATAGTAGTAAGGCTATGACTACCTACGTCTGAATTTTTAGTTCAGAGATATTTATGGTTTCTGATCGGACCCTTGGAATCTAGATGTGGAGATGGGGCATGCAAACAGGAAGAAATTAGTAAACCCATTCCTGCAGCAAGTAACCATCTTCCTGTTCAACTGTGTGGTTCTGCAGAAACCAGAATGGTCTCTAGCCTATGCTGGAAACTTGATGCTTCCGGATGCTTTCCTTCCACAGCATCATGACTTATCTCTCTCTTTCATTCCAAATTTGGGATTTTGAAGGTGATAATCACCGAAGGAGAGAGGAAGGTCTCTTATGTCAATGGTACCCCAATGAGGTACATAAAGTATACAGAACTGCCTCACACCTGTAGGCACAGAGAAACCCAATGGATGAGAGAGACAGGTGCCAGGTATAGAGTGACTTTTAGTACATTAATTCTGCCTAATAGAAAAATGTGGATGTCAGTCTCTTGCCATCTCATCAATCAAATAATGAGTAGCTGTTAATGACTACCTTAGGTTTTCTTGATCTCTGAAGCATAAGACACAATGGACCATTTTTGATTTCTCAAAGTTTAATTTGTCCTTGACTCCTGTGATATCACAATTACTTGCTTTCCTTATTTCTGGTTGTTCCTCCTCAGTATATTCTATGGCTTTTTTTTTCTCCTATGGTTCCTTTAAATTTGGTGTCCCACAAGGTTTTATGTTTGATATGTCTCTCTTCTTGGTCTGTGATCTCCTTCTAGTCAACTTTATTATGGTGACCATCTTCTGTTTTGGCTCACTTAGCATCCATTCCACCTTTCTTTTTTCTTTTTTTTGAGACAGGGTCTCACTATGCTGTCCAGGCTGGTTTTGAACTCTCAAGCAATCCTTCTACCTCAGCATCCCAAAGTACTGGGATTACAGGCATGAGCCACTGTCCCCAGCCATTCTACCCTTGTTTTAGTATATGCAAATTGATTTGTGTTGGTAGAACCAACAAAGCCTTTACCACTCTTAGTGTTCTAAGATTCTGGTGTGCTAGTAAGTGTTTAAAAACCAGCATTTGGGGGAGGGGAGGGGAAAACCATAATTTGTAGCATTCCACTGGCATCAATACTCTCATCATGGACAAAATCTATTAATTCAACATGTATTTATTGAGCACCTAATACATGCCAGGAGGTACTGTTTTAGAAATCAGGAATCCACAAGGTGAACAGAACCATGGATTTTGTATGCTCATGGATTTTATATTCTCATGAATTTTATATGCTCATGAATTTTATATTTTATATATGGAGATAGATAAACAAATAATTAAATACATATATTAATAAGATAATATCAGATATTAATAAGTGCCATAAAAATAAAGTAGAATAAAGGGGCAGTGAGTGATTGAGGTAGGGCATTATCTAATCAGTGTGGTCAGGGAGGTCTTCACTGAGAAACTGACATTTGAGTCAAAATTTGAATGAGAAGTGAACAGTGTAAGAGCTGGGGAAACAGTCAAAACTTGCAGCCTGGAATTTCTGCTGGATTTGTTTGGAAGGAGGTAGTATTTTTTCATGGAGGTTAAAATTTGTAGGATGTCAGCCTGGAGGTGCTGGTGGCCATTTATGCACCTTGAAGGAAGAGAAACACTGAGATAGATGGAGAAAGACTGATTCCTTATAGTAATATTTGGACGTTTAAACATTTGGACATCCTCAAATAGCTGGGTCTAAAGCCAGCACATCCCTGCATTTTTTAGATACATGAGCCAATAAATACTACCTCCCCCACCTCTTATGTGGTTAGGAGAATTTGTGTCTTAACTAATGTCTTTACTAATATGCGTATCTATCCCCATGTCTTCAAATACTACTTACATGTAAATGACTGTAAAATCTCCACCTCCACCCCTCTCAAATCTAATTCTAAACTCCAGGCACATATATGCAGCTACCTATTAGGTATCTTCACCTGCAGGATTTAATTCAGCATTTTTCTTCCCCAAACTGCTCACTCTATTTTCTATTTCTACTCACCAAGCCAACACCCTACTGACACTCTGTATTATTTTTCTCCTTCAACCTCTATAACAAATTAACCATGAATTTCCATGGAATCTGTCTCATAAATATCTCAGGAGCACACCCTCTTCTCTTCATTCCCACTACCTAAGTGTAGACTAGATTATAATAAAATAGTCCCTTTTCCATGTCTCCCTGAATCCAGTCTTCCTTCCCTATAATTTTAGTTTTCACTGTGTGGCCAGAATAAGCATTCCTTTTTATATATTAAAACATTTACTTAATAGTAAATTTGACTTTAGGCCTTGTGTCAGTCAAGATTCCCCACAGAAACAGAATCAATGGAATATATGTGCATATATATGTAAAAAGAGATTCATTTTAAGAAATTGGATCATGCAATTGTGGGGGCTGGCAAGTTTATGACTCTGGAATTTCAGGCAGGACTTCTGTTACAGTCTTGAGGCAGAATTGTTTCTTCTTTGGGAAACAGCCTTTGCTCTTAAAGCCCTCAAATGACTGGATGAAACCCATTCATATCATGGAGAATAATCTACTTTACTTCAACTCAACTAATCATAAATGCAAATCACATCTACAAAATGCCTTCAACAGCAACACCTAGATTAGCGTTTGACCAAACAGCTGGGCATCATGGCCAAGCCAACACGTAAGATGAACCACCACAGGCCTAGACCAGCCATTACAGACCTGGCTGCCTCCAGACATTGAAAATTCCTGGATTATTTCAAGAATTTCCTCAGAAGGCAGGCTGAGGTAGCCGAGGGCCCAAGGCATAGTTTAGTTGCAGGAGAATCATCTGGGTCCTTGTTAAAAATGTCGGTCTCCTGACTTTATTCCCAGGGGATTCTGATTCCAAGGCCTAAGGCTGGTAATGAGATTAATTTTATGGGCCTCCACTAAGATTTAAGTCAACTACAAAAGATTGCAGAAAGTGTCAAAGGGTGTCTCGTGGTAAAAGCAAGTATTACTTGAGTGACATTTTTTGTTTCAGTTATGAGAGTGTGGGAGACATGTTGTAAAATGTATTTCTAACTGTGGGTCAGAGTCAAGGCCAAAGTAAGTTCGACAGCCTCTGGTTGGGGATATGATCTGTATTCACTCTGGTGACATGAAGTGGCAAGCCACTCTCTCCTCTTTTATTACATGGACTTCTATTGCCATGGACCACAGCACCCTTCCTTCCTTGGGCAGTTTCTTCATTGTCTCGTCTCCCTGAGTCCTGTGGTTATGGAGTAATGAAAGGACAAGGGAGCAAGGGGACAAACAAGGATATGAAATCTCCATTTCAACACCCGCTTCCCCCGCCCCCAGCATCCTCCTCCTACCCACCATCTCCTCTTCTGTCATCCCTGGAGTCCCTCTTTGCAATTTGTATGACTTTCTGTTGCCTGTACTGCAGGGACGGCAGAAGCCTGAAGTCAGATGTAGGGTCAAGCACCCTGCAGAGCAGATAGCAATAGCAAAGTGTACTTTAATAACTCTCAGCTCCTGAGCAGCTCTGGGAGCCAAACTCGAGATTTCTAGTGCTGTTCCTCCTCGGCTTGCTGGCCTGAGGGGAGACCTGACTGATGGCTTTGAATATCCATCAACAAATAATAAATAATAATAATAATCTGTTTGCCGCAGGGTTTAGGAGCCAGGGAGGCTGGGTTTGCTGATGCTTTCTCCCTTCTTAATACAACCTTAAAGTCAATTTTGAGCAGAAACTATAGTAGCTCTGGGCCACATGCATTTCTTCTTGCCACCATCCTTAAGTCTGATTCCCCAGGTTGGGACTCAAGAGGGTGAAGTTGTGACATGAGTGGTGTGTTTGCGGTGACCCTGGATTCCCAGGTCCGGATGCCTGAGGTCTTCTTTCCTCAGAGGTACCGTATCTCAGGCAACTTCATGCTCTCAAACATCCCCATGTCCTGCTCCTCTCCCAGATTCTGGTTTGAAAAGACCCAGGTTGAGTCAAGGTCTTTGCGTGTGAGGGGGTAAACCCTCAGTAAAACATGCCCTCCATCTTGATTAAGACCTTGGGCTTTTCAGTCAGCATCCTTGGCTTTGAATGTGAATTTCTGCTCTTCCACTTCCGTGTGTGACCTTCAGCACACGACTCAACTTCCCTGAGCCTCAGTTCCCCATCTGTCAAGCAAGGATAATATTGATAGTGGTCATTATAATAGCAAGCATTAATTTAGTGCTTACTATGTTCCTGGCAGTGTTCTAAGCACTTCACCTGCCTTGTCTCCTTGTCTCACAGCAACCACATTAGAGGCGGGTAATATAATTGTCTTTGGCTTACAGATGGGGACATTGAGGCCGAGGGAGGTTAAGAAATGTGTGCTAGGCTACACAGGGGATAGGGGTAGGGCCAGAATTGGATACAGAACTGTCATGAGCTGAGTCCAAGCCTCTGTTTCAGATCTCCTGGATACTTAGTGGCAGTAAGCATGGGCATTATTATATCCAGGCTGAGGGGACAGGGGCAATACTTTCCTTTTAGAATATTGAATCAAAGTAAGCCTTTTTAATTCTGAACATTCAGGTCCAAGGAGATGGTTCACGTAGATAATTATCCTAAGGCTGCCCCAAGCTGCCACGGCCATTGCCCCTCCTCCACTCACCGTGCAGACCAGCACTGCCCTGGAGAGCCAGGCATGGAGTTTGCCTCTCTCAAGTGTCACCCCCTCAACAAGAGAGACCTGTGTTCTAAGATTCTTCATGGCACCCAGGCACATTGAAAAGCTTCTTCTTGATGCCCAGAGAGTTCAGCATGGTGAATGGACTCTGGGTAAAGTGTGATCTATCCATTGCAATGCTCTTTTAAATTTCAAATGCTTTTGACTGGGGAAAACTTTGAGACACCAGCTCCTTAGTGTGCCTTCATGTATCAAATTGCTTTCTTTTCAATTGCGAGTGGACAGGCCCCTCATTCACAGGAGGAGAGGCTGGAGTTAGGGCTTGACTGTCTGAGTTTGCCTTGGGCCAGCTGCTCTGGACTGCCCTGGATCATGAACTTCACTTGCAGAACTGTTCTGGGCTGTGGCTGGGAAAGGATATTTCTTTCTCAGTTGTGGTCACTGACCAAGGGGGCCCTCCTGTACTTTTTTTTTAGTTTTTTTGTTTGTTTGTTTGTTTTATTCTGTTTTGTTTTGTTTGAGACGAGATCCTGTTCTGTCACCCAGACTGGAGTACAGTGGTGTGATCACGGTCATGGTTCACCATGGCATCGACCTCCTGGGCTCAAGGATCATCCACCTCAACCTCTCAAGTAGCTGGTACCACAGGCGTAAACCACTATGCTCGGTTAATTTTTTTGTTTGTAGAGATGAGGCCTTGCTATGTTTCCCAGGCTGGTATTGAACTCCTGGGCTCAAGCGATCTTCTTGCCTTGGCCTCCTAAAGTGCTGGGATTACAGGCATGCTGACACTGCACCTGGCCTTCCTGTACTTTTGACAAGCTGGGAACCACTTGCTGTTTCTGCAGACTGCCTGCCACCTTCTTGCTCATTTCTGAGCCTCTTGGAGATGAATAAGTTAGCTGGGGTAGGAAGAAAAGTCCCCACAATCTCATCTCACTTCGTTTGGGCTTCCTGTTTGGCAGCTAGAGATAGAAGGGGAAGGGAGATTAACGGAGAGAGCCCATAGCCTATGATATGTCTCAGCTTTATGGTCTCCCTCATGAAGGAAGTGTGCCAGTGCCAGGCACAAAGTGGCCAAAACCCCAACCGTGGGAAGCACATTCCAACAGGACTTCTGGAAAATGATTCAGCTGCGCTCACTCCTAATCCAATTTAATGATCCTATTTTGATAGCATTACGTATTTATTTGCTGGTTAGGAGAAAAACCACCACCTCCCAAGGTCTCCCTGCAGGTGCTCTGAAAACAGGGCTACTGGAGGAGCCACTCTTCCTCCCCTCCATTCTGGGCTCAGGTCTTTAATGTGAAAATGTGGCCTTCAGACGTGCTGGGATATTTGAAAGGGCAGGGACCAGGGGTGGGGAGGGTGGCAGTGCTAAAAGTTCTAAACAAGCCAGCTGGGGCGGGAGTGTGGTCGTGAGGGAACATTATCTGGTGTGATTCTTTGTTTTCACGGTATCACCTCCTATTTCTCAGACCAACAGAATCACCAAGCTGTAAACGGCACACCTTACAAATCAGCGTCCCCTGACGTGGTTGGAGCGTTCATTACCAGCTGTAAAGGCACACCAGCAAGAGAGGTTGCTGTTCTGTAGCCCAATTTTCCATCGCAATAACCCAATTAACTGGTGTGTGTGTTTGTTTTACAAAGCTCCAAGCTACAATAAACCATACAGATACGCGGGCTGCAGAAAGCTCTGTAATTAGGACAAGGTGTACAAATTAAACTACTCTTTTTAAACTTCAAACCAGCTAACTTCTGACATACTGTACTGCTGGGGCTTCTGGGACTGAACCCAATTAACATCTTAGTATTTTATAAGCATCGTTTTAATTGCATTTGTATGCAATCTTCTCTCCAAGTGCCTTTCAAGGTGCTAGTCCTTGTTCAGCTTTTATTACTTTGGTGATTTAAATCTTCTCTCTCGGAGGTTCCCGTTAATAATGACTACTGCTACCTCAAATGCTGGTCCAACATAAAACTCGTCTCTCGGAATAATTATGCTTTAAAACAGTTACATTTAACTTTATTATTACATTTTTAATTTTTTTCTCTGTTTGAACATTATGCCCTTAAACGTTTTATCAACCTGTCAGCTCTTGGAAGGGCTGGAAAGGAGATTCTCTTTGAGAACTGGGATCATGGCCTAAACATTTTTTTTTTCCATTCCTCTGCTCACCTTTAGTCTGGAGTAAAGGTGTTTGGTGCCATGGTGATGAGGGGGTATTTGAATGAGTGAATTTGTTTTTTTTTTTTTTTTTTTTTTTTTTTTTTAGTGTCCTTGTGGGTTTTGGGGCATCTTTGTCTATATTTCGGGCATTTTATTCCTGTACAAAATCTAAGGTGGCACCAAACAAAGCAAGGATCAGGATAATATTTTAATGCGATATTTAGAAAAATAAATAAAATCAGGAAACTCTGATCTACAGGCCAGCTGCCTATTTTTGTAAATACAGTATTTTTGGAAACGAGATCATGGTTGGGGTGAGCAGAGTGAGGCATCTTGCATCAGTGCAGAGTAGCTAGTTCCTGCGTTTAGTTAAAATTTTGAAATTGTATTTGTCATAGGTTGTTTTGTGCATTCACTTCTATTTAAAAAATATTTCATTACAATATTATTTATCTTGATTCCTGAGTTTTGGGTGCCCCCTTAAATTGTGCACCCAGATGAGTATCTCATCTGCCTCCCCCTGGTCTTGGCCCTGCTATCATAAGTACAAGGAAGGCTTTAAAAGGGATTTCAACAGACGAAGAAGCACTGAAGGAAAAATTTCACCCAGTGAAAAAAAATGTAGGGAAAAACCCAGCCATATGTTGGTTTATTTCCAAGTACAGTGTGCATAGAAGTCCTCACTCCCTGCTAAGAAGCACCCAAAGCACTGGAGATGCCTGAGTTTATGGGAACAACCCAATGACAAACTCTCCTCCTTCGTAACCCCGAACCACAAAAGCAAGATGTTTTCATAATTTCCCGTCGATGCTTCTTATTGCAAAAAGGAGTTAGGAAAAATGAGTACTAATGCTGTATTCAATTAGGATTTCTGTTATCTGGATAAAAATATACAGTCTTGAGCAGGCAGTGAGATCCTCCTGGAATATTTTAAACCTTTTTGCTTGATTGAGTGTCTTGTCAAACAAAACTGGCAGCCTCTCTCCCAGAGCTGCCTGAATCTATGCAGATATGATTTCTATCATGCCTTTATTATGTGTAGTCTGTAATAAGGATGAGCACATATAAATCATCTCTGGATGGCAGTTAGGATGCAATACTCAAAGGGGAAAGACATTTCTGCTTTCAAATGTCTAGCGATTTCAGATATAATATAGCAAGTCTCCCCTGAACTGCACTATCTCAATTCTACTCAAGCCCTTCTGTGGGAGAATGAGACTTTCATATCTTTCTTTGCAAGATTCACTAGTGAGATAAGAATTGTGTCACTAAGACCAGAGTGCTGTATCTTTTTGGTTAGTCTGATATCAAAGTTGCATTTGAAAAGAGGATCCTTTCGTAATTTGATTCAAGAGGCTGGCATTGAGGGTGTGTGGAGAGACCTTAGGTTTTGGGTCTGCTTTGTGCCAACGGGGCACAGGTCTTGAAGTGGGGAACTAGCAAACTGATGATCTGAATCTGCAGCAAGGAGCAATTGCCCTTCTAGTGACATTTCAAAGGGTCATTCTCTTCACTGAATCAGGAACTGAGTCATAAATATGTCAATCTCCTATGACACAAAGGGTAGTTTGGCAGGAAAACAATAATGAAAACAAAACAGCACTGCACGGTGAAACTTGAGGGCTTCTGACATGGCTACTAATATTGTTAAAATGAGGACTTATTAAACAATTAAATGTTAATATTGTTAAAATGAGCACTTGTTATGTGCCAATTAAAATATTAATATTGTTAAAATGAGCACTTATTTTGTGCCAAGCCATGAGCATCTCCTTGTATTATCTCATTTAATCTTCCATAGAATGCAACAGAGTAGATATTCTTTATTTTTTTTTTTAATTTTTTCGTTTCCATAGGTTTTTGGGGAACAGGTAGTATTTAGTTACGCAAGTAAACTCTTTGGTGGTGATTTGTGAGATTTTGGTGCACCCATCACCTGAGTAGTATACACTGAACCTGATTTTTTGTCTTTTATCCCTCACTCCCTTTCCAGCCTTTCCTGCTGAGTCCCCAAAGTCCATTTTGTCATTCTTATGCCTCTGCATCCTCATATTTTACCTCCTACTTACAAGTGGGAATGTATGATGTTTGGTTTTCCGTTCCTGAGTTACTTCACTTAGACTAATGGACTCCAATCCAATCCAGGTTGATGTGAATGCCATTAATGCATTCCTTTTTATGGCTGAGTAGTAGTCCATGTAGATACTCTTTAAATACCCACTGTACAGATAAGGGAGAGGAGGCAAGTAAAGTGGTCAGCCTCTGGTCACAGGTTTAGTAGGTGATGGGCCAGAATTCCAAGCACACTGGTGCCTGCTCTGACTTCTTATCCACCCTGTTTTTACTTACTGAGTGGTCTTGGGCCACTTCATGCCTCAGATTTCAAGAAAACCAGGACAAGAATGAAATAGCAGGCTTGGAAATCAAAGCAAGTAAATGCTTAGAGGGTCCCAGGATGCCCCTTCAGTTGCTGTTAAAAAGCAGTGCATAGGAATTCTTTGGTTGGACTGTGGCATGTGTGGGTATGGACAGTGGGTGGCAGCAGTGATAGGGCAGTAAGATAAATTCCAGTCATATCAAAAAGTAATATTTGCCTGCAGGACTCCAATTCTCTGGTTTGGGGGTTTTCTTTCCCTTTCAGTGTCTTCCCCTCCTCTCTCTCCAGGAGCCTTGGATTTGGTTGATGTAGGTCCATTAGACCAGGACCCAACCTTTCTCATGGTGCAGCACACACAGTAATGACAAATGAGGACCTCATGGTGAGAGGGAAGCCCTGGTGCCTGCCACCCAGCTGCCCAGAGGACCGAGGGACTCAGGATCATGGCACTCCTATAACAGAGTCACAGCAGCTCAGTATCAGACCATGAGTGCTGTGAGGCCTGGGGCTGTGTACCCCTATGCCTAGCACCATTGTTGACTGGATAAATACGAACCCACTCCTGATGTAAAGGAAGGCATTCTGATAAAGTAATTCCCGCTAAGTCTCTAGAGTTTTAATCAGTCAACATAGAGTGTGAGACTGCCCTTCATTTCGGGTGTTTTAGCCACTGGGAGATCTCTGGGGGCAAGGGTCTCTTCCCAGTGCCTGTCATCACACTGAACAGCTTCTTTGTCCTGCCAGTGAGAGGTGAGAGATTAGGCCTGGCTTGCCTGAAGGAGAGGGAGCCGTAAGATAAGGGAGGAGGCTTGCGGGGAGAGCAAAGAACTTAGAGAAGACAAAAAGGCAGGAAGAGGGGAGTGTTTCATGACTGGAGTCTGTTTCAGTAGGGCCGAGGGGGAATGGTGGTCTGAACACAAACCCAGGAAGTTGCTGTGACATGCACTATCTTCCTTCTTATCTGCAGGCAGCTCCAGCTAGATAAGCACGTCACTGTGATTTCTCACTCTTGCCCGCTATGGCCTGAGTGTCTGTGTATGGGCTTCCCTGGGCTTTCTCAGAAATCCAAATGGCTGGCACAAAGATTCAGACCTTGGAAATTGAGTAGCTGAGAGTTGAGGTCTCGGCGGGTAAGATGCATGGTTCTCCATAGCTGGTGGAAAAAGCACAACCCTGTAAGAGTTCCAAGGTCACAGTTCAAGTCCTGTCTTGGTCTTTCACTGGCTGGCTGTGGATTCTTCCCCCCTACCCCACCCCACGCCACTTTTTTTGGGACAGGGTCTCCTCTGTTGCCCAAGCTGGAGTGCAGTGGTGCAACCTTGGCTCACTGCAGCCTTGAACTCCTGGGCTTAAGTGATCCTCCTACCTCAGCCTCCCGAGTAGCTGGGACTACAGGCACGTACAACCATGCCTGGCTAATTTTTAAAATTTTTTATAGAGACGGGGTCTTGCTATGTTGCCCAGGCTGGTCTTGAACTCTTGGCCTCAAGTGATCCTCCTGCCTTGGCTTCCCAAAGTGCTGGGATTACAGATGTGAACCACTCTGCCCGGCCTGGCTGTGGGTTCTTGATTTTCTTCATTTCTAAACTGAACATGGTAATTTCTCCCCAAACTATTTTGCAGAATTATTAGAGGTGATTCAAATCTCCATAAAAGTGTTTTGAAAACTGTAAAGTCTATACAGGCATAACACATTATTATGATTCAAGGTAGCAACAAAATGTCAAATTGGGAAGAGTAGTCCAGTATAGAGGTCAACTGGGCTGCCTCTTTGTCTTGATACAAGCTTACCTGCCTTTAAGCAATTTGGTAACATGAGTTGCAAATCGTACTCCAAAGCTCTCTAGGGGTGGTGGACACTCCACAGCTTCATTCACTTTTATAGTTGGGATGTCCTTATTCACACTTAACCTAAAATTTGCCTGTTGCAATGGGAGTGCTTATCTTTTTTTACTTTTGATACAGATGGAAAAAAGTGAGTCTAAATCGTCTGTAGTGGGATGTCCCTTTTTGTGCTTAAAGATCACTCTGAATGCCTCTCATTGACTTCTTTTCCTTAGAGCAGAGGCCCCTGCTCGAAGAAGTCACCTCACTTCCCAGTCTTCTCTCTTTTCCTTCAGTCATTTGAACTGTTCTTTGTGGATATTCATGGTCCAAGCCCTCATCTTCTGTCATAACCTACAGCCCAGGGATGAAGACACACCTGGCCCACTCATGGGAGAGAGGAGGTGTGGTTCCTGTGGTCAGCACTTGGTGATGGAGGAGGGACAGGCCATTTTGAGCAATTGTGTGGCTGGCTTTTGACTTTCTTAAGACCTAGTGGCAGTCCCTGGCCAGATTTAGCCTGGCCTTTGGCAATGGGAACCCTGTGGCAGGTGATACTTGCTGAGCAGATTAACTTTTCTAGTTTGATGCAGACAGACTCTGGGGCATGGCTCAGATAGGCCAAACTCAGAGCATGCTGACATCTGCATATAGAAGACATTTAATACATGATTCTGTAATTGCTTAGATAGCAGCCTAAGGTCAGCAAAAAGAATGCCAGAGAAACAGACAGAATTCCAGGGTGCTAGTTCTAGCCTTTGAAAAACAGTGTGACTAGAGCAACTTACTTGGCCTCTCTGAGCCTCAACTTCCTGATATGTAAAATGAGGACAATATCTGTTTTCTGTTTCACTGTATGACTTGCAAGGACTAGAAGAGTGCATGCTTATGAAAATGTAGAGGACAGTTTAATTTGCAAATTATATGAGGGCTTATTATTTGATGAACCATATCATTCAGTTTACTAAACAAACTTCTCTATTTTCTTGGGCAGCAAGGAAAGGAAGCATAAATTCTCAGAACTCTTAAGTGGCCAGAAATGTCATTGAGTCAGATTTCCCATTCAGCACCTGAAAAGACCACCAAGCAGAGATGTTGCCTTTCCATTGTGGAGACTCTGGAGCTTGGAGAAGTTTCCTTGTCTGGCTGGCCCTGGAAGGGTTGGGCTGGATGAGGTGTCTATCCCAGGTGGGGCTGAGCAATAATTTTTCAGCTAGCATTTTGAGTGTACGCCAGGCTGGTTAAGGGCCCACTGTCTTGAAAACTCTCTGAAGCTACAAAAATGGCTCTGACACTTAGTCTGTATTCAAGAACCTTCCAGAGTTGAACCATTTCTTCATTCAACAAGCATTTATTACGCTACTGTGTGCCAGGCACTGTGTGAACAATCAGGATGCCATGGTAAACAAGACAGATACTGTCTCTGCTCTCATGGAAGCTACGCTCTATTGGCTGTGGATGGGTTTTAGGGCAACCATGAATTCCTTGAAATTGGATATAAAATTGTATGTGTTTGTGCAGTTTTTTCTTGGGGAAAATGTTTGAACTTTTGATTGAGTTTTCAAAGGGGCCTAGGACCTCTCCAAAAAGGTTAAAAGCCATAGTCTGGTGGGAAAGACAAGCCATTCACATGAAACATTGACTACAAGGCAGAAAGTGACTTGTAGAATATACCGTGGGGATACCGAAGACGGAGGGATTCTTGTCAGCTGGACTGTTTGGGGAAGACTGCCTGGAGAAGGATGTGTTTGACCCGATCCTTAACAGATGAACGAATGCAGTCCAGCATCTGTTTATTGCATAACTCCTGGAGGAAACACTCATATCAAAGTCTGTGTGAATTGTGCCACTGGATCTGAGCAGTGCATAGCTTATACAGCCATACATGATGATCCTGAGGTGGTTGGGGGAGAGAAACTGTCTTTGTGTCAGTGAGTTATGGAATTTTTTTTTTTTTTGGACAGAGTCTCGCTCTGTCACCCAGGCTGGAGTGCAGTGGCACGATCTTGTCTCACTGCAACCTCCGCCTCCCTGGTTCAAGCAATTCTCCTGCCTCAGCCTCCCGAGCAGCTGGGACTCCAGGCACACGTGGCCACACCCGGCTTATTTTTTGTATTTTAGTAGAGATGGGGTTTCACTGTGTTGCCCAGGCTGGTCACAAACTCCTGAGCTCAGGCAATCTGTCTGCTTCGCCCTCCCAAAGTGCTAGGATTACAGGTGTGAGCCACCGTGCCCAGCTGAGTTATGGATTTCTTGAGCAAGTTATCCCTACTGCTCTTTATCCCATATCATGCCAATGGAATGGAAAGACCAACAGGAATAGTAAAGAAAAACTCAGTCACATTACTGCTTGTGGAGCAATCTCAGTGTGCATATAGGATCCATTTTCTTATTCTTCCATTTGATTCCTTGAAATCCTCATATGCCTTATTAAAGGAAGCCCAGACACTTCCACTACCCCTTAATTACCAAATACCCCAGGGCTTTGCTGAGCCCAAAGGGTGGTCAGTCTTTATTGGACACACACTGAGGAGCCTTGGACCGTGGCCAATCTTCCAGAGGTATAGTTTCTCACTGGCTCACAGTGCAACTGGTAAAGTTTAGTCCTGTACCATTCCTGGGTGAGGCTTCAGCTTAAGTCTTATCATGGTTGCACCAGGATCTTACTCCCTCTTGGCTCACCCTGACTTGTTCATCTGTCTTCTCAAGATGACGTTGTCAACAGCAGCACTGGCTGAGGCCTGGGTTCAAAGTCCACCCCTTCATCAGCCTACAATGTTTAGCCTTCTTCCTCGTCTCTGACTCCTTCCCCTGGGCTGGGGCTGCTTCTTTCTTCAACTCTTACAATGCAGACAGCTTTCTTATATTCCTATCTGAGAACAATTGAGTATTCTCACATCTCTGTTTTGAAGAAAGTTCCCTTTAGTGATTTAACTGTGCCACAGCTAGTAACTTCTCTCATTGAGGAGTAAAAGACTTAGCCCAAGCTCAGCCTCTCATAGGCAGTTCTTGGATAGGCTCCCTGTCTACACAAAGATTTCATACACAAGGCGGTATAATGGGAATATCATACTGCCTTGCCTATGAAGTAAGGCATAAGTTTGGATTTGGAAGGTGCATTAGACCTGTGACCCTGGGGTGTTTATTTAACCCTCTCTGAGCTTTAGTTTCCTTCTCTCTAATATCTTTGTGTATTATCAACCTCCTAGCGTTGTTATGCAGTATATATAAGATGATGCATATAAAGCTGTTGGCAATGTGCCTGGCCTAGAGGTAGCCTTCAATAAATGTGATCTAGAAACAGTAGTAGAAGAGGAAGAAGAAAAAAAAGAGGAAGAGGAAGGTGAAAATTGGACAGGTTGCTAGAATGGAGGAAGCTGTAGAGACCCAGGTGGACAGCTAGCACCCAAAATCACCCTGCTATTCCCCTGTTTTATGCACCAGCACCTTCCATTTCCTCCTTCGTTTAAAAGCAGAGGAAATTGCAGCCAAAGCTTTCCCCCAGCTCCAGGCACATGGATGCCAACCCCCTTCACTGGGAGCTTTTACGTCCCAGCTTTCTCAATAGGTGAAATTCCTTGGATGCCCTGAGCAAACTCTATCTAGCTATGAGGCCTCAGCTATCCCCAGCTTCCAAACACACCCCCTCATTCTCCTTTCTAGGTCCACCCAGGAGCCCCAGACAGCTTCCTTCTCAGCTTCTTATGGCTGGCCTTTCCCCTTTGTGCCTGGAGGCACTGGTGGCTCTGAGCCTTCTTTCCCTTAGCCCTGTTCTGCCAATGCTCTTTGAGGGGAAATAAGAGAACTCTTCCCAGTAAACTTGGGATCTCCAGTGGGGTGTTCTGGATCTGGCCAAGTGATGGCCTCAGGAATTTTGTAAGAGGCGGAGGCCTGTGTTCTGTGATCCAGCTGTTCCTGGTCCAGACAGTGACCCTCTGGGGTATGCTTTAATGAAACTTGGCATTTGAGCTCTTCTTGGCACCCACTGGGCAAGGAAAGAGTGATGTGCTGTGACTCTAATCTCCCAAGTAGAGCATAGAGGAACCCAGAATCCTCTCTGCTTCCTTAGCTGTAGGCAAGCTGGACTCAAGCAGGCACTATACCTACACCCTGTATCCAGTTCTGAGCAGGCATTGTTTGATGCCTCAGTTTCTCATCTGAGCAATGAGGAAATCAGTCCAGCTGTACCCCAAGATAATTAAAAAGTAGCTCCAGCATGTCTAGGGGTGGGGAAGATGACTACCACCCTTGTCCCTCACTGACACATCAATGTGAGCTCTACCACCTACTAGTTGCATTACTTTGAGCAAGTTACCGCTTTTCCAAATAGGTTTCCTCATCTGCAAAATGGCAACAGAATGGTTACTTTGATAAGATAACGCTTGCAAGCCCTTGATACTGTGCCTGGCATGTAGTAAGTGCTGTGTAGCATTTGTTACTGCTATTATTATTTGTTTGAATAGCTCTTTCAATTCCCCAAAGTTTTTTCACACCTCTTATTTAAAACTTCAAGCTTCATGGAACATCTCTGCAGGAAGGCCATCTCATTTAACGTTAAAGAAGTGGAGGCACAGAGAAGTAAGGTGACTTGACTGAGGTGACACAGGAATCCAGGGTCAAATCAGATCTTCTGACTCCTGAAGGTGTTCCCTCCTGGGATCAGGAGTTCCATCTGAGAGTAAATCCAGGGACTTCCTCATCTCCGGGTACAGCCTATATTCAAAGTTCACACAACAGGCTTTGCTCCTCCCTTCATATGTTGATTCCTTGAAGACTTGTGGCAAAATCTTATTCCTTCTTTAAGGTTCAAATATTATGGACTCTGTAAAGAAACTTCTCTTGATCCCCAGGTTGAACTAATCCTTCCTTCCTTGTACTTTGAACAAGTATCTGATTTGGCACTTATTACATAGCTAAATTGGAACTGACCATGAACTCTGTGAAGAACAATATATTTGTACTCCAACCTGTTCAGACTAGGTGCACCCTAATTGTCTGTTGAATTAATAATACCAATAATAGCACGAGTAACTATGATCTTGTTTAACTCTTACAAATATGAGAAAGGTACTGTTATTCTCCCTACTTTTCTGATGGGAATACTGAGGTTTAGAGGAGTTAAGTAACTTGTCTGAGGTCACACAGCTAGAAGGCAGTGGGACTGAGATTTGAACCTAGATATGATCATCTCTAGAGCTGAGTTCTTAACCAGTTCTCCCATTCTTCCATAGCCATTCACATGGAGCTTTTTCCTCCAGGTGATAAACACCTACCTCAAATGTTCCCTAGAAGCTGGTCTAGGTGAAACTGCCAAGACGGATGAGTAGAAGGGAGTTGGAGATTTCAAGCTGAGTTGGAGCAGAAGAACCTGAACCCATGTCTTTGCCTCTATATGGAGTTAAGAGGCAAATGTATTCAACGTTTCAAAGTATCTCTTCCTGAACAACCCCATGAGTCAGACACATACAAGTGTTGTGGCATGTTGGACAGCCTCTGAGAAATGGTACTTCTTTTCTTGTAGCTGACCTTTTCTGGGGCCTGTGAGCCAGCTGACCTTTGCATATCCCCTCACCTGCAATGGCTAAGGGATAACTCTTTAGTAACCACTCTTTGCCTGTCACTTGCATCAAGTAAATGGAAGTTGCCAAGGTTCAGCCGTGATCCAGAGCCTGAGTCTCACTAGCTGACATTAGGGTGAAAAGTGCATATGGAGAAATACCAGTAAGAACTTCAGTGGGACTGAAACTATGGATCATATGTAATGGGGAGTTGGGCCTTCTGGGTCATAACGGTGCAAAGAAGAGGCCTTTTCTGAAAGCCCTTGGAGCAGGTCACATATATATTCAGACATCCAGAACATCAGCATGTCCCTTAACCTAGTTTTCTCATTTAAGTTCAAGAAAGAAACCTGATTCCTGCTCAAGGCTCTTATTGCAAAATCTTAGAACTGGAAGGGACTTCGGAGATGACCTAACCCGACAAATATATAATATTCATCTTTCTACTGTCCAATCCTGTGCCCATAGCAATGGCAGCCATTGCTAATGGATGACAGTGTTCTCTCTGGAAAGGCCTAAATGCAGCCTCAGAACCCTTTAATGCCTAGTGATCCAAGCAACAGTGGAGTTGACCACCAACTCCAACCAGGACCTTCAACGTTTAGCTTCGCTCTCTTCACATGCTTCCTTCTTGGGTCTGTAGGATGAGGGACTTGGGGAATCTCGCATGGGCAATACAAGAATTTCTGTCTTCATTTGATGTTACCAGGAGCAACTGGAGATCTTGGGAAAAAGCAAATAGGTCAGGAGATATGAAGTTAGGGTCTAGTCTTGGTATTGCCACAAAGGAGCTGAGGGATCATAGGCAAGACACAAGCTCTCTGGACCTCAGTTTTCCTCATCTGTAAAATGAAGGGCTTGAGAGGACTACACAATGGCCCTGGGCCTTCTTTCAGAAGTGTGGCCTTGGGATGTTTTTGGTATGTTGAGATATATAGTGCTGATAGATGTTCCCTGCTCCTGAGAGGCAGGGTCTATGTTGTGCACATGCCCTACTCCAGCAAGGGCAAGCATGGGACCATCCCGCTGCCCCTCCATACTCCCATGCCTGTAGCAGACATTGACAGTCATTCACAGCACTCTTTTCTGCCCCATATGGATTTGATCTTAGAATCCTTCTCACTCTCTTTGGCAAGGGGTCTGAGCAGCCACCACCAACTGATCAGAGTTTGCAAGAGAAAAGAAAACCATCTGCCATCTGTTATGGGCTGAATTGTGTTCTTCCAGAAGTTGATGTTGAAGTCATAAACCCCCACTATCTCAGAATGCGGGCATATTTGGAGATAGGGTCTTTACAGAAGGAAAGACGAAACCGTGATAGAAAAAGGAAAGAGAAAGAAAGATTGCCACTTAACTCCAGATGGAGCCTAAGCCATCCTCTAGACTGCTTTGGGAAATTCTATTTTGTTTTGCTTTGGAAAAAATCACCTGAAGGCTGGGCGCGGTGGCTCACGCCTGTAATCCCAGCACTTTGGGAGGCTGAGGCGGGCGGATCACAAGGTCAGGAGATCGAGACCATCCTGGCTAACACGGTGAAACCCCATCTGTACTAAAAAAATACAAAAAACTTAGCCATGTGTGTGGCGGGTGCCTGTAGTCCCAGCTACTTGGGAGGCTGAGGCAGGAGAATGGCGTGAACCTGGGAGGCGGAGCTTGTGGTGAGCCGAGATGGTGCCACTGCACTCCAGCCTGGGCGACAAAGCGAGACTCCGTCTCAAAAAAAAAAAAAAAAAAAAAAAAAAGTCACCTTAAGTCCCAAGCATCAGACGCAGACTGTTGGCTCACCTAGAACGTTCTAGCTTTTTCTAGGAACTAAGGCCACAGATGGAAACAAAATCAGGCACTGGAGAAATAGGGGTGATTGGAAGACACTTAAATCTTCAACAAGGCTAAAGGGTTAAATCACATTTTTTCAGACCTGTTGGGGTTTGACTGGCTGAGACTTAAAAAGAGAAGCTGGGAACCAGGGAGCCTGCAGCTGGGAAAGTTTTTCTTCTCGCCTCTCAGCTAAGGGTCTGGCATTTCACCTGCTAGATGGCGCTGTCCTCTAAGGAAAGGCACCAGCTCAGCTTGAATGGGGGCTCAGTCAAGGAAACAGGGAACAACTAAAGTTGAAAAGAATTGATGGGCGGGAGTAGAGGGGATGGAGGCAGCCCTTTCCCCAGCAGCAACATCTCCTTCTGTGGTAGTGGCTCTTGTTCTCTTTATAGCTTTTATTTTGCAGTGTGGGAGTTTTGTATACTTCATCTGAAAAGTTACAGGGCCTTTGCTCTGAAGGAAAGTGAATAAGAAAATGAGCATGTGTGTGTGTGTGCGCACGTGTGTGTTTTGTGTATTATTGTCAGGAGGCAGGGATGGTCATGGAGGTCCCACCCCAAGGCTGCAACCTACAAATGACACGTCTCAGCCCTGGTCTTTGGCCTTGACTTACACCAGATCAGTGGGAAAAAGAAACAGTAAGTCCTTTCTCTATCCTGCCTGTAGAACCAGATGCCTGGGACTCTTGGTGGCTTTGCTCTGAAACCTTCTAGCTCAGCTCCATTTAGGGGCAAACTGCATGTAGGCACTGAGACCTCCGTTTCCGTGCAATTTTATTGTTAGACTGACAGGCTGGCTCCTGGTCTGCATGTGAAATCAGGGACACAGCCTGCAACTACTCCCACTCTATCAGCAGCCAGAAAGAAGGAAAACAAAGATAAGGGGAGGGGTGATGGGGGGATGGAAACCAGGAGGGGACCCATGAGGGAGGGGAGGGAGGAGCAGAGAGAGGAGACAAGGGACAAAGAACAGAGGTGAAAGATGAAGGGTGTGGGGAAGGGAGAGTGGGGCAAGGATGACCAGGTGTCCAGAAAGGAAGAAAAGGGCAATGGGGAGAGGCCACTGGGAAGCAGAGAGGCCGGCAGGCTGGCAGAAGTGGGAAGAAGACACAAGTGAAGGGAGGGGAGGGAGGCTTCCTTAAGCAAACAGGAAGACAGGAGGAAGGGAAGTCTAGTAATTAGGGAAAAGCTGACCAAAACCCAGAAAGGAGGAGAAGACTACTACAGTAAGGAAGCTGCAGAAAAGCCAGGCAGGAGATAGAGACAAGGAAGCTTTGAGGCAGGAGGCTCTGGAAACAAGGGAGGCAGAGAGCAGAGCTGAGCTAAGAAAGGAAAAAATCCAGGAGAGGGAACCAGGAAAACAACACAAATGAGAGTGAAGGAACAGGGAAAGAGCCATTAAAAGAATGCTTACCTTATAGTCGTAAAAACTGGAATGTGTGTGTTTTGGCCTGCGGCCATTGTCCAGGAAACACAGTGTGGCTTTTAAGCAAGTTGTGGAGTGGCGGCATCCACATGTTAGTAGCTCGCCCTGGTCTGCTGCTTTGCAATGCAGCTGTGCGGAGCTGCCCTCTTGTTGGCTGGCAGCCTGGTGCTGGGGACATCTGATGGGGTCTGCTGTTTGGACAGAGGGGCATGCCTGCTCCATTTATGGTGCTCCAAGTTCAGGCATCAACATCTTTTCCAGGACAAGAGTTGAGATGTGGTCCCTTTGAGGATGTTTCTCGGAGGGACTGTGGTTGAGGTTCTCAGAGGGCAGAGGGGGAGACATGGTTAAAGGCCATAGAGGGTGGAGATTTAGGGAACGGCCTCTGGAGTCTGATGGCCACCATTCAGTTCCTCGTTTTATCAATTCACTGCATAAACTAGCTCATGTCACTTCATCTCTCTAGACCTCTCTGGGCCTCAGCAACTCATCTGTAAAATGGGGTCGCAATCATACCTGTCTCATAGGGTTCTGTCTGGTAAGGCTTAACTGAGATGATCATGTGTCTATCAGAGTGGCTAGCTCATATTAATGCTCACTCAATGTTAGTATGCTTATTGCTGTTAGTGTGATGTTAGCATATTAAATGTTAGTAGGATTCTGTGTATGATCATTAAGGACTATATAACTGTATGGGTGTCTGTGTGTGTGTTCTGGGGGACTGGTCCTTAATGCAGACTAAGGGGCTTAGATTTGAGGATATTTTATCATGAGAATTATCTGTGCAAAGCATTGTTTGGGAAAATAAATCCAGTGGTGACACATGGGCTTCTCTGGGGAGCAGGGAGACCATTTTGGTGACCAGAGCATGCATGAGAGAATGGGGTCCTGAACTAGGGGACATGGGTGCTAAAAAAGATTTAAAGGGCATTTTGAGAGACACCCCAAATCCAAAGAACTTTATGATTGGATGGGTAGGTGGTAGGAGAGGGAAATTTGACTCCAAGGTTTTGAGACCAAGAACAGGAGTAAGAGGGAGCTCTCAAGCTAAGAATGATTTTTACACTTTCAAAGGATTGAAATAAGCCAAAAACAGAAACAAAGGTATATGGCAGAACTGGTATGTGGTCTGCAAAACCTAAACTATTTACTATTCAGCCATTTACCAAGTTACCTCACCCCTGGTCTGGCCCAGGGACTCAAAAGACTCTGCCCCAGAAACAGAGAAGTCTGGAGGGATTTTTGACAGAGTGTCCCCCAGAAAATCAGAGTGATGGGACTAGCGCTGGAGCAGGATTGTACGAAGAATACATCAGTTTAAGAGTCACCTATTCATCCAACAAATAGTTTTTCAGTGTGAGCTGGGGAGATAGATCCGCTGTGACTTCTGGCTACTTGTGATGCCGGCCAAGTTATCAACCTCTGTAGGTCTTGGTTTCCCCACTTGTAAAATCAAGATAATAACAATGCTTACCTCCTGGATTTTTTTTTTCCTGTGGGGGGAGGAGGACTAAGTGCAATATGACATGTAAAGCATTTAAACAGTGGCTGTCACACACCTGCAATAAACATGAGCTTTTACTATTATGGAGGACCTAGAAGCCCAGAACTAGAAATAAACATGGGCATTTGCAAACCTGCAGTAAAAGACGGATTTGTCCGGGAAATAACAGTAAGCAAATATCAGTTGCCATTATCATCATCATCAATAGGATTACTCCTTTGCTGTTGTTAGAACTTCGGAGACTTGTCTTGGGATCCCACTGCCCTCATCTGTAAAGCACTTGCTTTATTTAGATTCCTTCCAACTCTGTCTTTTAATATTTTTAAATCAATGTCCTTCTTCTTCTGCATTTGCCTTCCTCCCTTCTCTCTCTGCAGTTACAGGCAGGCTTAATTCTCTTTGCCATTTCTGACAGCCGAGTCATCTCACCTCCATCCTCTTAAAAAACCCCAATCTTGTAAGGACTGTGTCTATTTTTCCCCCTCCCCATTCCTGGTGCCTTCGATGCCTTTTGCAGCCCCTCCTCTTCTGGGCCACACTTCCCAACAAAAGGGTGGTTCATTTTTCATGCAATATTAGCCAATGTCACCCTCCCAGGCGTTTGTCCTTATTTCTCTGAGTGTCGGAAGTTCTCCTTCTTCCCACTAGGACTTTCTGAGAGTGTGGAGTGGGTCCCAGAATTTCTAATCCTCCTGCTGCAACTGAGCCCCTTCCCACACTCAGCTTAAGAAAAAAGAAAAAGAAAAAAAGAAAAGAAGAAAGGCCCACGCGGAGCGAGGCATGCAGGCCTGGCCCAGTGGCCAGGCTGTGTTGGTGCTGGCCGTGTACTGCACCCTGCCAGTCCTCGCAGCTTCCTTGAGGGGCCAGGGATGGGAGAGAGATTAGGGCCATCAAGATAAGGCAGAGCATATTCAAACTGGAAGCAAAAAAGGGCTGTTTTTCCAATAGTAAGTAATCAGGGAACAGGAGGATGTAATTTGCAGATTAGGAAAGTGAACAAAGAACATAAAATTAACTTTATGGCAAAGAGGAGCATGGTCTGTTTGAAGAAATAAACCTCCATAAAGTATTACTGTTGATAAAATCGGACTGTTGATTTAAACTAAATAGGAAATATGACCAAATCAGCGAGAAGAGCGGGACTCAGTGGAAGTTGAGGTTGAAACTTCAAGGAGGCATGGAAGGCTGGGATGGGCCTGGGAGAGCTGACCGCTTGGTGTGTGTGTGTGTGTGTGTGTACGTGTGGCCAAAGTGAGGACACCTGTGCCAGGGGCACAGCTAGGAGGGCTGTGCCTTACCAGGATGCCTAAACTGCCTTTGTGTAGGGATTGTCTTTCTTTTAAAAGTGGCCTTCAATTCTAAGAACTGGTAAAAGGCAAATATGCTATTGCACAGATGCAATCACCCTCTTGCTTTCTCCTCCTATTTTTACTTCTCAAATACTCACAAACGCACACCAGAAACACCAGTGACTCTCCCCTCAAACACCAGCACTGACCTGGGTTCCAAAGCAGAAGAGTCCCTGAGAGATGCCTTTGATGCCGAGGTGATTGGAGCCAGGCTTCTACCTGCTTTTATCACAGACAGGTTGACCGGATTAGGATAATACCTCCGCAGTGGGCAGTGAGCAATCCGGCTCTATGCTGTGAGAAATGCTTTATTACCTAAAGCAAAGCCTTCTTGGCCTCACATTGACCGGGATGTGAGACTTTTGTTGTTTCTGTTGTCTTTGACCTGCTGACGCCAGACTCTTCCCAAGGATTGAAGTTCAGAGAAGCATCCCTGCCTAGCAGTGTGCCTCAGAGTCTTTATTTACCACTCCAGGCATTCTCTCCTCTTTTTTCCATCTTGCTCTGGGCCCCTGGAAACTGCATCATGGGAATCCCTCACCTTCTGGCTTTCCCTAGGGTTCAGCTGATGGGAGGCACCAGTAAAAGACCATGGGCACAAGGAGAGGGAGAGGTCTGTGTATTCATTCCCTCCCTGCCAGGTTGTGGCCGGCAGTGGCTTTCTCTACCCAAATTCAGAGCTTCCTTTCAGCTATAGCTACAGCCCCAGCTACAGTGCTCTCTGGGGTTAGGGCCCCAGTTTTGTCACTTCAGGCATTGGGTAGTCATGGACCCACTGATGCTGCTGCACCTTGGATGCTTCACAATCCTTTATTGCTTCCTTTAAATGGGCCTTCGCATCTAAACACTTCCTTTGTTAAACTCTCCTCTAATGCCCCCATTTGAGTGTGTCTTCCTTGAAGAGTCCTGGTGGATGTAAGTGATGAGAGCTCCTATGTGGAAACCAGAAGGCCTGGGCTGCAGCTGAAGACCTGTCACAAGTTCACCGTGTGGCCTTGGGCAAGTTGCTTCTCCTTTCTGGACTCAGTTTCTTTACCTGTGAAATGGAGGTGGTGATTAGGTGACTTTTCAGCTGAAACATGCAATGATTCTGTTTTCACTTGTGGCATAGTGAGCAGAGCTTTGAAAGAAAATAAACATGGATTTGAATCCTGGCTCTGACACTGACTAGGTATGTGACCTTCACCCAGGTACTTACCCTCTCTGAATCTTGGTTGGCATTATTAGTAAAACAGAGACAATAACCTGTTCCTTGCAAGTTTCAGAAGAGGATTGAATGAAATGACATGTGTGAAAGCAGCTAGAGCAGTTCCCATAAAACAGGCATCATCCAGTCCACTTGGGAGCCTTTCTCTTCTTTGCCGGCTGTCCTGGTGGGAACATGCCAGCATGAGGGACGAGAAGTTTGTTGGCTCCAGAGGTTCCCATTTGTCCCATCTCTAATACTGCTTATTTATTTTGCTGACAGCTCAGCCTGCAGACTCCTTTCCTTTATCCTTTCCAATCTGTTTGGTCCTTGCAGATTTCTCACTGGAGTCATTCCTTTAAAAGGAGAGTGGGATTGTGGTTCACCGAGGGAGAAAGCCAGAACATGGTGCTGCGTGGCTGGCCTCCTGTTCTGACCAGCACAGGGGTCTCTTTCAGCTCAGCTCCCTAGGACATTTGATACATTTCAGGGACCTTAACCTTTCTGCTTTAGGCAGATATCACTTTTATAACAGAGATGGGGCCCAGATTTTTCATGGTAATTACTTGGACCTAGATTTTAGGCCAAAAAGAACTCTCACCCAACTAGTCCTGCCCGGCCCCAAACTTGTCAGAAGTGATTGTGTACAGAGATTTTTTTTTTTTGAAGGATATAGAGAGGGGGCCAGGCATGGTGGCTCACGCCTGTAATCCCAGCATTTTGGGAGGCCGAGGCTGGCGGATCACTTGAAGTCAGGAGTTCAAGACCAGCCTGGCTAACAATGTGAAACCCCATTTCTACTAAAAATACAAAATTAGCCAGGTATGGTGGTAGGCACCTGTAATCCCAGCTACTCCCGAGGCTGAGGCTAGAGAATCCCTTGAACCCAGAAGGCGGAGCTTGCAATGAGCCCAGATCATGCCATTGTACTCCAGCCTGGGTGACAGAGAAAAACTCTATTTCAAAAAAATTTTTTTAACACTCTAAAAATATACTTTATATACTTTTTGTATATGAAGTGGGACTCTTGAAATTTTTGCTTAAAATTTCAAAATTTAAGTGTGTGACCTGCTGATAGGCCCAGGTGTGGACAAAGTCATGAGTGAAAGGAAGTTTATCAGTAATATTCTTCCATTCACACTCAGTGTCTTCTTCTTTCATTTCAGCATCTCAGTCTGCAGAGGCTCAACATCTGTAGCTGCCCATAGTTGGCTAGAGACCCCTTGCAGTGACTTTCAGGGTCAAAGTGGGGACCCACAATTCCGTCCCCATTGAATATAAACATATCTGCCTTATGTCTATCAGTACCCACTGAATACTCCAAAGTATATCCATCTTCTATCCATCTAGCCATCCTCCTATGCACAAAATGTTGTAGGCTTTCTATAGTAATTTCAGAAAAAGTATCAGTCACAACTCCAGGCTTAAAAAAAGTAAAGTGTATTTGCATACTCCAAACAAATAAAGATAAAATGTTCTCTCACAATATCAGGGCAAGCCAGGAACTAAGTGCCCAGTAGTGATAATAGGCATTGTTGAAGTTCACAGAAATCAGAAAGCACAATGTGGCAGATAACAAAGACTGATTTTAGAGAAGAAATGGAGAAATTTCTTCAGTCTCCTTTAAGTTCTGAAAAATAATCAGGCCTTAAAGGATGAGTAGGGTTTATGTGCATAGAAAGAAGGAGGAAAGCCTATGAGAGACGGCATGGGGGATAGGAGAAATGACAAAGGCTAGGAAATAGAAATCTGAAAGTAGACTGGTTTGGCTAAAGTGGAGTGTTTGAGAAAGCAACTAAGGTACGACTGGAAAGATTGGTTGATGCCAACCTTTCCAGGGAGAAGCATCTAGTAGAAGTATGCAGAATGACTTAGGCTATGGGTGTTTGCCTTACTTGTCAACTGATTCATAGATTCATTCAACACGAGTTGCATGAGGTTTCTTGTGTGCTTAATTCACTGGACATGACTTGGTACTGTTTATTATTATTATTATTTTTTGAGACAAAGTCTCACTCTTTCGCCAGGCTAGAATGCAGTGGCATGATCTCGGCTCACTGCAACCTCTGCCTCCCAGGTTCAAGTGGTTCTCCTGTCTCAGCCTCCCAAGTAATTGGGACTACAGGCACTTGCCACCACACCTGGCTAATGTTTGTATTTTAGTAGAGACAGGGTTTCACCATGTTGGCCAGGATGGTCTCAATCTCTTGATCTCGTGATCCGCCCGTCTTGGCCTCCCAAAGTGCTGGGATTACAGGCGTGAACCAGCGCACCTGGCCGGCACTGATTATTATGTCCTAGTTCTTTCAGAAGTCAAAGGAGACTTAGCCCTTGCTTTGGAGAGAGCTGCTTCTTCATCAAGACCAAATAATTAAGATGAAGAACAAGTGAGTAAACATTGCAGTTAACTTTTTTAAAGAAAATATTTCTGTTGTAAAATTAAACCCAGATATAGAAAACCAAACAAAACAAATATTTAGCTTACTGAATTATTATATAGTGAATACCATTGTTAACTACCACCTGCATCAAGAAATAGAATTGCTGGCTACCTGTGTAACCCCTTTACATGTCCCAGCCCAACACAATCCCTCCCTTCCTCTGAAAGTAACCATTATCTTGACTTTTATAGCAATCACTTTTTTTGTTTTTAAATGTTAACAGTCTTTTATTACCAAACCCCATGCAACTGGGTAACTCTAACCCAGCTAAGAGCAAAAACGGCATTGCTAACAAGATCAAGGATGGAGGGGTAGTCCCAATAAAGACGGTCTCTTAAAACAAGGATTGCGGGACATTATCCAGGAGAACTTCCCCAATCTAGCAAGGCAGGCCAACATTCAGATTCAGGAAATACAGAGAACGCCACAAAGATACTCCTCGAGAAGAGCAACTCCAAGACACATAATTGTCAGATTCACCAAAGTTGAAATGAAGGAAAAAATGTTAAGGGCAGCCAGAGAGAAAGGTCGGGTTACCCACAAAGGGAAGCCTATCAGACTAACAGCAGATCTCTCGGCAGAAACTCTACAAGCCAGAAGAGAGTGGGGGCCAATATTCAACATTCTTAAAGAAAAGAATTTTCAACCCAGAATTTCATATCCAGCCAAACTAAGCTTCATAAGTGAAGGAGAAATAAAATACTTTACAGACAAGCAAATGCTGAGAGATTTTGTCACCACCAGGCCTGCCCTAAAAGAGCTCCTGAAGGAAGCACTAAACACAGAAAGGAACAACCAGTACCAGCCACTGCAAAATCATGCCAAATTGTAAAGACCATCGAGGCTAGAAAGAAACTGCATCAACTAAGGAGCAAAATAACCAGCTAACATCATCATGACAGGATCAAATTCACACATAACAATATTAACTTTAAATGTAAATGGACTAAATGCTCCAATTAAAAGACACAGACTGGCAAATTGGATAAAGAGTCAAGACCCATCAGTGTGCTGTATTCAGGAAACCCATCTCATGTGCAGAGACACACATAGGCTCAAAATAAAAGGATGGAGGAAGATCTACCAAGCAAATGGAAAACAAAAAAAGGCAGGGGTTGCAATCCTAGTCTCTGATAAAACAGACTTTAAACCAACAAAGATCAAAAGAGACAAAGAAGGCCATTACATAATGGTAAAGGGATCAATTCAACAAGAAGAACTAACTATCCTAAATATATATGCATCCAATACAGGAGCACCCAGATTCACAAAGCAAGTCCTGAGTGACCTACAAAGAGACTTAGACTCCCACACATTAATAATGGGAGACTTTAACACCCCACTGTCAACATTAGACAGATCAATGAGACAGAAAGTTAACAAGGATATCCAGGAATTGAACTCAGCTCTGCACCAAGTGGACATAACAGACATCTACAGAACTCTCCACCCCAAATCAACAGAATATACATTTTTTTCAGCACCACACCACACCTATTCCAAAATTGATCACACAGTTGGAAGTAAAGCTCTCCTCAGCAAATGTAAAAGATCAGAAATTATAACAAACTGTCTCTCAGACCACAGTGCAATCAAACTAGAACTCAGGATAAAGAAACTCACTCAAAACCGCTCAACTACATGGCAACTGAACAACCTGCTCCTGAATGACTACTGGGTACATAATGAAATGAAGGCAGAAATAAAGATGTTCTTTGAAACAAACAAGAACAAAGACACAACATACCAGAATCTCTGGGACACATTCAAAGCAGTGTGTAAAGGGAAATTTATAGCACTAAATGCCCACAAGAGACAGCAGGAAAGATCCAAAATTGACACCCTAACATCACAATTAAAAGAACTAGAAAAGCAAGAGCAAACACATTCAAAAGCTAGCAGAAGGCAAGAAATAACTAAAATCAGAGCAGAACTGAAGGAAATAGAGACACAAAAAACCCTTCAAAAAATTAATGAATCCAGGAGCTGGTGTTTCGAAAGGATCAACAAAATTGATAGACCGCTAGCAAGACTAATAAAGAAGAAAAGAGAGAAGAATCAAATAGACGCAATAAAAAATGATAAAGGGGATATCACCACCGATCCCACAGAAATACAAATGACCATCAGAGAATACTACAAACACCTCTACGCAAATAAACTAGAAAATCTACAAGAAATGGATAAATTCCTCGACACATACACCCTCCCAAGACTAAACCAGGAAGAAGTTGAATCTCTGAATAGACCAATAGCAGGCTCTGAAATTGGGGCAATAATCAATAGGTTACCAACCAAAAAGAGTCCAGGACCAGATGGATTCACAGCCTAATTCTACCAGAGGTACAAGGAGGAACTGGTACCATTCCTTCTGAAACTATTCCAATCAATAGAAAAAGAGGGAATCCTCCCTAACTCATTTTATGAGGCCAGCATCATACTGAAACCAAAGCCGGGCAGAAACACAACCAAAAAATAGAATTTTAGACCAATATCCTTGATGAACATTGATGCAAAAATCCTCAATAAAATACTGGCAAACCGAATCCAGCAGCACATCAAAAAGCTTACCCACCATGATCAAGTGGGCTTCATCCCTGGGATGCAAGGCTGGTTCAATATATGCAAATCAATAAATGTAATCCAGCATATAAACAGAACCAAAGACAAAAACCACATGATTATCTCAATAGATGCAGAAAAGGCCTTTGACAAAATTCAACAACACTTCATGCTAAAAACTCTCAATAAATTAGGTATTGA